>NC_000005.10:160912839-161215869 GCF_000001405.40 Homo sapiens
GTAGGCTCCAGAATAGATTTCATGTAATTCAGAAGGTGTGTTCCCCTGCTTCTTTGAGAAATAGGTATTTAAGAAGACAGTACTGCAAAGAAGAGAGAATGGTGTTGAGGCCACTGGCCTCGTGGGACAAGAGGACATGCTGGCCATGACTCAATTACAGAGTAGTGTCCCAATGTTTCTCATATAACAGTCATTCTGAAGATTGTTGACAGCATTTCCAATGTGATTAAAATACTTAACTTTGTTAAATGAGGCAACAAGAACCCTTTCTAATAGGGCTCCAGGTAGCTAAACAGATGAAAGAGCTCTTTCCTCTTCTTTTATGGAAACTGGAATGGGAATTAAAAGATTCCAATTCTGGTCCCAGCTCTGTGCTTTCTGCAGCCCTCAGCAACACTGAACCACACTGTGAAACTCAGTAGGACCGGCTGCTCCCTGTTGCCCTTCTACTTCTAAAAATCCCAGAAGCTAAGATTTGATGGAGAAACTAGGATGCTAGAGAGATTCTCTTCTGGCTCCTCTTATTTCCTTCCCTCCTTCAGCATTTTGTTGGATCATGGAGGCCACACTGGCACTAGAAGCAGTTACTATGGGACTGCAGTCTCATAAAACCAGCTTTGGCAAAATAAAACATCATATTCATATTCCTAGTATTTGCATTTACAAGTGTCCTCCCTGAGCTCGTTATCCCGTCCATCCATTATCTTCTTCACCTCTATCTACTTGGCCCAAATCTCCCATCCTAATTTGGTTGTGCAACACATTTCTTTAATTTCCCTCCAACTCAAGGCCCCTAAGAAGAAAGTGCTGGCAAAAAAGCTGACGGCATTTAAAGAACCTCAGTGTTCTGTCTCCTTTATGTATTCTTTATGCTCTTGCACTTTTTATGGGGTTGAAAACCTCGCACTGATAACAATGAGTTATTCAGAGCATGCAGTGTTACTGGGCCTGGGTGTAATGTAAATGGAATTATTTGCCGTGAAAATACCCAGTCCAATCTCTTAGCAAATTGCAATTCCTGAAACTCGGTCCCTTTGGAAGGTGCTTAAATAAATGTGTATCTTGTTTGAGAGATTTGCAGCAATTCAAGAAAAATATTGGTTTCTCTCTAATACGAAAGTAGATTGTCCTTGCTTGATGTGTCATAAAATTTAATTAACAATCATTTATCATAATTTGTTAATTGCCAAATTGTTCACTGTTTGACAGGTTAGGTTGAAAAAGTAAAATTCTTCAGGGTAGATTGCAAAGTAGTTGTCACTTCAATGTATATGTCTACATATGTGTGTGTTTATATATGTATATTTATGGAACAAAATTGAACAGGTTTTTTTATGTTTTGCCTGGATAGGTAAACAACTATTTGTTAAACTAAGCTTTCTTCTATGTTGAGAACTGTGTTAGAACCAATGTCAAAGAGGTCATAAAACACTACCCTATTCTAAAGAAAGTGTGTAAGTCTAATTGAGGAGTTATGTACTTATAAACATGAACCAACTATAGTCATCCCTCATCATCCATGTGAGATTAGTTCTAGGCCCCCCGATTCCCTGTAGATACTAAAATCTGTGGATGCCCAAGTCCCTGAAATAAAATGGTATAGCATTTGAATATAACCTATCTATATCCTCCTGTATAAATCGTCTCTAGATTGCTTGTAATACCTTATATGATGCAAATGCTATCTAAATAGTTGTTTTATGCTATTGGTTTTTTTGTATTATTTGTATTGCTGTACTGCTATTTTTTATTGTTTCCCTTTTTTCTGAATATTTTAAATTCAAGCTTGGTTAATTCATGGATGTGGAACCTGCATATGTAGAGGGCTGATTGGACATGAAAACTGGAAGGCTATAGGTAGGCAAGATCATACGCCCAGGTACTAACTACGCACCTGTTCAGGGACAGAAGTTACCAACATGAAATGGAGGAGGTAGACTTTCTGCAATTTTAATGCAAGTTTGTGGAAGTTGCTCAGTGCTCCATTTCAAAGGACCATGAAAAAATTCCTCTCCGAGTTCAGATCTAGGAAGATGCCTGCCTCTCCTGAGGAACAGCATGACAACTATAATTCTGGGCAAGGCTTGTGGCAGATATTTTGTAAAGCCTGGAAGAAGGTTCACTTAAGGCTGGAGCAGCACAAGGTGGAGACTAGTTTAGGGGCTTAGAAGTGGGATTTTATAAAGACCATAGTGCCTGCAATAGTAAAGGAAGTACCCTGAATTCAGAATCAGGAGTCCTGGGTTCTCATGCTAGCCTCACAAGTAACTCCCTCCTTGAATGAATCACTAAAACCTTTTCAAATCATATTAAATTATGCCTTTAAAAGTTTTTCAAAAATATGATGAAATAACATTTGAAGGTGGGGAAGTTGTTTGAAGGTTGTGCCATAGGGGAGTCACCTCCCTGGATATCTAGGGAAGGAGAACTCACAAAAATACAGGATGAGGTATTCTCCCCACGCTTTCTCCCTGGACTCTCCCTGAAGCACACTGACTTTTTTTTTTTTTGAGATGGAGTCTCACTCTGTCACCCAGGCTGGAGTGCAGTGGTGTGATCTCGGCTCACTGCAACCTCTGCCTCCTGGATTCAAGTGATTCTCCTGTCTCAGCCTCCTGAGTAGCTGGGATAACAGGCGCCTGCCACCACACCCACCTAATTTTTGTATTTTTAGCAGAGATGGGGTTTTACCGTGTTGGCCAGGCTGTTCTTGAACTCCTGACCTCAGGTGATCCACCTGCTTTGGCCTTCCAAAGTGCTGGGATCACAGGTGTGAGCCACAGCGCCCGGCCCCACTGACTTATTTTCTAGTACCATCACACCTTCTGGAGATTTGCCCCGTATGAGACAAAAGACAGGCAGGAATAGATTAGTGGCTTTCACATGATGTTCTCTGGAGCTGTAGGGTTTGGAAGAGATGATTTAGAGCCACCATGGTGGGCAAAGAGGCAAAACAGACATTCGTCCCACACACTCACCCCTACATCTCACACACCTTTGCACACACATACACTTGCATATATACTCAGAGTACATGCTCTCCTGTTCTTTCTCAGAGCTTTCAACTGTGTTTTATACCAGCATACTGTAAAAATCACACAGCACTGAATTATTTGCATTCCCTCAGCCCGCCATCTGTGTAGAGGGGACTCTTCACTTCCTAGAACAGCCCTCCTGTAACCATAGAAACAGGGAGTAGGATGGGGGTTGATCCCCTCCTCCATGTTCCCACTGAGGTAGGAACTTTATAACAACTCTTGAGTTATGGTATATCCCTAGTCTACAGATAAGGAAACTAAGGCTCAGAAATTTGCCCAAGTCACACAATTAGCAAGTGAAAAAGCAGCTATGGAATCCAAGTCTATGTGACCGCCCTTATCATGTCTGGATTTGGGGATGTATGTGCTGAAAAGTACACAAGGCTGAGAATCAGGAAGCCTGGGCTCCAGCCCTTGTTTTGCTGAACTTTATTAATTTTAGGCAAATTTCTTATTTGGAGCCTCAGTTTTCTACTGAAGACTTTGGACCAAATGCTCTCTGAATTGAAGGCAAAAGATGTTTTTTTTGTAGATAGCTTCCCAGGGTAAGACCCCATAGCTTTAACAGATTTACTGGGGTCCATGTGCCCCCTAAATGTTAAGCACCCATTTAATAATGCTAAGCAATGAAATCACAACTGCCAATACTTGTGAGTACTGATGGTGTTCAGCATTGTCCTAAGCATCGCACATGTTTAACTCCTTTAATTCTCATGACTCTAGGAGGTAAGTGCTCCTTTATCTCCATTTTAGTGTTAAGGAAATGAAAAGAGATTAAGAAGCTTTCCTAAGGGAACAGAATAAGTCATAGATGCCAGATTTAAACCCAGGCAGTTGGGCTACAGAACCCACATTTTAACCATGACATTTCTGTTACCCTCTAATAGCCTGAGGAGGACCATCTTCCCCTGATTACAGCTGAGGCTCAAGGGGCTGGCACAGTTTAGAAAGCATCTAGTTCAGTGGATTCTAAGCCTTATCACATTCCTTTGGACTCTATTCTCTTTCCATCTACAGTGTCGTGTGGTTTACAGCATGCTGGTATAGAACACAGATGAAAGCTTCTCTGAGAAGAGAGATCAGGAGTGCCTGTGCTGTGTCTGAGTATACGTGCAAGTGTACGTGTGTGCAAAGGTGTGTTAAGATATAGGGGTGAGTGTGGGGAATTAAAGTCTCAGCATTTTTCCCCTTTGCCCACCATGGTGGCTCTATAGCATCTCTTCTACCTTATACCTCCAGAGAACATCATGTGAAAGCCACTAATCTCCTCCTGCCTGTCCATTTGTCTTATAAGAGGCAAATGAGGCACAGAGAACAGGTAGCAGGAGACACACAGCACATCAGAGGTGGAGCTGGGTTGTGGGGCCAGGGCTCCTGATTCTAGGGTACTTCTTTTTTTTTTTTTTTTTTGGTGCATTATCTCATTACTGTAACCAGGCCACCACTCATTCATGTGTGAGGGACTGTTATCAGACAAGGACACAGTTACATATCTTCCAAGGCTTTCCCTGGGCTACCTGGATGTTTAAACACCTCTAACCATGAACAGGCTGGGAACAGGCAACAGAAGGCTTTCTAGGATGGGGCAAATGGAACAAACGCTTTGGGGTGGTTTGGCAATGTCAGTAACAGTATCCTGGTCAATGTCAATGGCAGAAAAACATTCAGCTACAAGTGGTGGGATTATAATGGGGGTGAGGGCATTGATCACCTAGAAGATCTTTACAATCCTCAAGTCAAA
The DNA here is from genome assembly GCF_000001405.40 of Homo sapiens. Lineage (NCBI taxonomy): Eukaryota > Metazoa > Chordata > Mammalia > Primates > Hominidae > Homo > Homo sapiens. The sequence goes on from NC_000005.10 coordinate 160,917,619, forward strand.
TCACACCATTTGTGTGCCTCGATTGGGCCAGCTTGGATAGGGGAGGAAGATAACAGATTTCACTCTGCCAGGCCCCCAGATTCAGGTGAGACATATTCTTGCAGACAGAACATGTCTGGGGATGTCAGACCTATTTACAAGCCACAACTCTGCTGGCGTCCCTGCCACCTACCCTCCCTTCCAGGTTTGCTGTCATGGTCCTTTGCTGCCTCAGCAGTTGTTAGCTGCAGCTGGCTGAGTGTTCCAAGGAGCAAGCTTTCGGGGAGCTGTGACCTGATTTAAGCAGTGAAGGGGACACTGTGGAGCAGGGTGAGGACCAGCAGCCACAGCTCTTCCAGGCAAGTCCCTGAGATGCTAAAGGGCTGCTCAAGGTTTATCTGCACAGTCAGCTGAGGAACATCCTCATAGGACCACAGTGAGGAAGGAGAGCTGCGTGTTCTCATTCTGTCTACTCTCCCTACTCTCCCTTTTCACACTGAGGGCCCTAATAGGGATGCAGATGATCAAGCAGTCATTGTCAGTGAGCACCTATGGGGTGCCAGACACTATGTTAGGTGCTAAGGGAAAGTGGAGATAGAGCAGGTCCCCATGAAGCTTTCAGCATAAAGGGGGAGGCAAACTTAGACCAAATGAGTATACTGGTTATAATTAGAAGTGGCAATAAACTATATCAAGAAGTGGTAATAAACTACAGAGCTAGAAGAACACATAAACAGGGGGCTTGATTGAGTCTAGGGACGTGGGCAGGGAAGGCTTCCGTGTGGCAATCACAGAATTTATCTGAGCTCTGAAGGGTTAAAATCAGCAGGAGAGGTAGGAAGAGCATCTGAATGGAGAGAACAGCGAGTATAAAAATCTTAAGGCTAGATAGACCATGATATTCACCATGATATTCACCATGATATTCACCATGAAATACCAGTGATACATCATACACATACCTGCACACACACATAAATCCTACTTACTCAGCACTTTCCATACTACACACTTCACATTTTCTCATTTCCCTTTCTTTAAGATGTTGGAGAGGCAGACACAAACAATGGAAAAGTGAAGAGAGAGGTTGGGTTGGATCATCACGGGGACAAAAGGGAGGTCTGTAACATCTCAGAATGTCCACCAGCCAAGGGAAATTTATGGAGTAGATAAACCTTGCTCAGAGGAGGATTTCCTAGGTAAAGGGAGAGAAGCATAAGATGACAATCTTAGGCAAGGAGGCACAACTTAAGTGAAAGCTTAGAGGTAGAAAATGACCTAGTACCTGTATAGGCAGCTACCAGCATTTTAGTGTTACTATGAGGGACAGTACAAAGCAGGGAGTGGGCCGGGCGCGGTGGCTCACGCCTGTAATCCCAGCACTTTGGGAGGCCGAGATGGGCGGATCACGAGGTCAGGAGATCAAGACCATCCTGGCTAACACGGTGAAACCCCGTCTCTACTAAAAATACAAAAATTAGCCGGGCATGGTGGCGCGCACCTGTAGTCCCAGCTACACGGGAGGCTGAGGCAGGAGAATGGCGTGAACCCGGGAGGCGGAGCTTGCAGTGAGTCGAGATCGCGCCACTGCACTCCAGCCTGGGCGACAGAGCGAAACTCCGTCTCAAAAAAAAAAAAAAAAAAAAAAGCAGGGAGTGGAAGATCAGGCAGGAAACCCTTGCATGGCATCCCTGTACACATTTATTCTTTCCATGAATATTTACTGGGGCATCTGCTTTGTACTAGGCCCTAAGGCTATGATACTGTGCAAAATCAGACTTGGCCCATAGTCTTGGAACCAGGACTCACACAAAGCAAGTACTCAATCCAGTGGGAAGGACAACCCAATAATCAAACAAATGGGATTTGGGGAGATGACTGGGAGGAGTCGCTAGCAGCCAACCTTTGTAGACCCTATTAAGAATGTTGGTACTCATTTTCATAGCAGTGAGAAGCTCTTAGAGGATTTTAAGCAGAGTTTTAAACAGGTTCAGATTTGTATTTTGAAAAGATGATTCTGATTGCTGTGGAAGGAGGATATCTATTCTCTGATTAGAAACCCAGCCCCTCTCTGCTGACTGATCTCTGTCATGTCAATGGAAGGGAACCAGGGAATCCACTCTACAGTGGCATCTACCCATGCAGAAATCCCAGTAGCTTCCGCTAGCTCTCTTTACACTTGGCAGCCATCTCGGGTCGCTAACGACGGCGCCTTCCTGACTGCCTCTGAGGCCAACTGCGATGTCTTGGCAACAATTCTATTAATATCAGAGCTAGGAATGAGCCAATGGAAAGCTGTTCATCCATGTAATGAGGTTTCAGTTATATTTTAGAAATGTGTCAGATAATTTGGTAAGAGACAGCAGAGTTTTTCTGTTTGTCAAGAAACAGGGGAGGTAGAACTCGAGTTCCTGAGCTTCAGCTGCAATGTGAAAATTGTCCTCTGTACTGAGATGCTTAAAGCAAAATAAGCAAATGTGAAGGGAAGGTGGCAGTGAGAGGGGCTCAGGACACCTGTGGGTGGCAATGGCAGGGAGAGTGGACACTGAATAGTGGTCAAGCACTTACAGTCGATCGAGCATCTCTGACACCATCTCATGACAGCCCTACGGGGTATGTAGAAGCTGCTCAAAGAAGAATTTGAATCGACATCTTTCTAACTCCAAAGTCTGATTTTGCCATTACTCTGATGTTTTGCTCAATTGCTGGATAAAAAAGGGCTTAATAGGTACATGTTTTGGTGTAGAGTGAAACTTATTTTATATTAGGAAGAAATGGGCTCAAAGCTATTAAATAAGAGCATCTTTCCCACCAAGCTTAGAAGAATCTCAATATTGCATGTTCCGTGTTCTCAGCATTCATGAGCTCTGACATGGTCATTCTGGGCAGCGCTCTCAAGCATGGGACATGCAAGGATCTTTGAAGAAGCACATGGAACTTACATTGAGAATTGAATCACATAGTAACAAAATGGGTCCTGTTTAACCACTTCAATGTTCCCAGATACGTAAGTCAGTGTTTTGCAACATCACTTGCCCTTCACAATCACCTGGTGAGCTTTCATAAACTCCTAGGCTCAAGCCACACCTCAGAGATGCTGATTTAGTTAGTCCCCGCTGCAGTGCTTCTCACACTTCAATGTCATGCAAACCCTTTGGAGAGCTTGGCAAAAATGGAGATTCTGATTCTAAAAACCTTGGTGGGACTTGAGATTCTGCATTTATAACAAGCTTCCAGGTGACGTCAATGCTGGTCAGGGGGCCTCACTTTGAGCAGTTGGAGTCTAGGGCGTAGTCAAAGTTGAGAACCACAGTTTTAAGGATACAGTCTCAGTTTGGTGCTAGTCTTTTTTCTCTCTTTTTAAAGGTTTAATAAATTATTATTAATCAATTATAATGAATTATACATGCAACACAAATCAAATAGTAAGCAGTGAACAAAGACACGACACCCGCTCCCCACCTTCCCCGCTATGGTCCCAGACACTAGAAGCTCATGTCCTCTATCGGATTAAATATTGTCATTCTTCCTCTACAGGATCAAATATTGTCATTCTTCCTCTACAGGATCAAATATTGTCATTCTTTCAGAGGGATCCTTGCATATACAACCATAAATGTACATGTGTATATAACCTTTAAAAAGCCACAAATAGCAGCTTTCTATTCAGCACTTTGTTTTTTTTTTTTTTACTTAATATATCTTAAAGATTGTTTCATAATTGTACATAAAGAACTGCCTCATTCTTTTTTATTGTGGTAAAATATATATAACTTTTACCAGTTTAAACATTTTTAAGTGTACAGTTTGTGGCATTAAACACATTCACAATGTTGTGCAACCATCACTACCATCTATCTCCAGAATGACTATCTTCCCAATCTGAAACTTTGCACTCAATAAATAGGGCTAGTTAATCTCAACTCTCCTTTTACAGGTCTCAGAACCAGAGCTTTCCGCAATGTCTGGCTAGAGTTTATACATGTTGCTCTGTGTTTAATTTTATAGTCACTCTCTGTTTGTGATAAGAAATACTCATTGTCCCATTAAAGTAGTCTTCCTTTTAAACAAACCTAAGTTCCATTGAAATGACAATGTCTTATAGTTATCAGTGAAGGCTGTACCTGGCTGTGCCACAAGATGTGAAAGTTGAACATGAAGGACTCAAACACAGGACATTCCCTTGGCCCTCTGCTGTGTGCCCAAATGACCTTTACCTTCACTCGCAGGAGAGCAAAGATGGCTTCCCTTTTGGGCCTCATGACTTATACCCGCAGGCAGCCTTTTCTAAGTGCTAGAGTTGTTTTCAGACCACAAAGCAGTTCCTCTTTTCTCATCCTTAATGGAATGGCAAAGAAGAATAAAGGCCTAGGCCTCTTACAGGATTTTGTGTCCTCTGATAGAGATGGGGAACACAACCCCAGGCATTTAACAGTAGGTGACATTAAGGAATGTCCCTTCTAGAAAATGACATATTTTCATGCGGGTGGGTGTCTGGCTTGAGAAAAGTCAGAGAAGGATCAGCATCTGACTCATATGAAAGTCTTCATAGCAGAACTCAGCTGAAGGGAAGAGGTAGATTCACTGTGTAGACCAGAGAAAGGGCTCAGGATTGGGAGTCCACAGACCTGGCACTGAGGTCTGGGTTTATCACCAGCTGGTTGAGTGTCTTGTAGCAAGTCACTTTTACCTCTCCAAGCACTGGTTTTCTTCATGTGCAAAATGTAGAGGTGAATATCTTATGAAGATTAAATGTAGTAATATATGGAGGTATTTAGCACTGGGCCTGCCACGTTGTTAGTGCTCAGTAAATAGAAATATTATAGTTTCAGATGATTCACTGAAAAGGAAGTAAAGAATGGAGGAGGATGTGGGCAAAAAGGCAGGTCCGAGGACACTCAGATGGTCACCACCCAGCCAAATTTTCACCTGTGACTACCCAGACTAAGTAGGCAGAGAAATACTGAGATGTCAATAGAAGACAATGTGTCTACAAAGAATTCCAATGACCCAGTACTTAACCTTCTCCCTTATTTTTACTCCTAAGCAAACCAAACAAAAACCAATCTGAAAAACAAATCTGCAATAGACACACACTTGTCTTAGAAGCTGACATACTGATTCAGTGAATATATCTTTGAGCAGCTCCTATGTACTTGGAAGCTGCTCTGGGTGCTGGGGACAGTGACACACAAGATGGAGAAGATCCTTGCACTCTCGGGCTTATATCCTAATGGGGCCCCTCCAAGCCCTTGGTCCAAGGCCCATTCAGCTGTCCCCACATATAGCCCCTGCTTTTTCTCTGAGGGTCCTGAAATGCAATAGTATCTGCTGACTTTTCTGCCCTGCAGAGGAAGGAAATAGGATGGTTTTATTTTCAGAGGTAAGCACAAGTATTTGTTTGGAAGACTTTTCAATTATTAGTAAAGAAAAAAGTTTACACTCATCGATGAAGTGTCTTTCTGTGATGTGGAGAATAGACAGAGCAGAAGAGAAAATGAGCTGTGGCCAGGGCATGAGACAGAAGCTGTGCTTGCCATCGATCGGAAGGCTGGCAAGCAAGGAAGAGCAGGGCAGCTTGACAAGGCTTGAAAACATGTCCTCAGTATTAGCTTCAAAAGGAGACTGTGCACACGAGAAACACTTGTGCATGATCTTGTGGTGGAAGAGGAAGAATTTAACATCAAATCATCCCCCAGTACATGACATTGGCCTGGAGAATGGATTCTGACATCTAAATAACTGGTTTTGAATCCCAGCTCTGCCATTTAATAGGCACTTAACCTTACCAACCTTAGTTTTCTAATCTGTAAACGATGATGACAGTATTTACCTCACGAGGTTGGAGGTTAAGTGAAAAGGTATACATATAGGAATCAGCACGGTGCCCAGGACGCTGTGAAAGTGTTATCATAAATGTGTGCAGAGCTGACCAAAATAAATGCAGTATTATGCAACTGTGGAAAATGCATTTATTCGTGATCACACAGACATTAAAGAGGATGATGTCCAAGCTTTAACTAGATTTTTCTGACTTTACGCACCTTCCTGATAACAGCCAGCTTGCATAAATACCACTTATGAGGAACAAACAGGATTTTCTTGACGTACAGCCACAATGGGACCACTGTTTTGTCTGTGTTTGTAAATGACAGGATACACAAGCTAGTCCTCAAGCCAAGAAGCCAGTTACTGAAATTATCTTATAGCACTGAAACTATACTTTAAGATCTGTGATCAAGTCCCACTTACTATTAAACCAGACTGAACAGAGAACAAGAAAGGAAAGAGAAATTGGAAAAATGCAACAGGATTGGTGTTCAAAAGGATGGGGCTGAGGCGCCTTGGAGAGACCAACACTCTGCCCTCATGTTTACCTATTGGGACATTCCCTTGATGAAAGGGTTGTCTGGGAAAGCCAGGCTGAGTAGTTAAGCAGCTCAACTATGTCTGAATAAGATTAGGCAAAAGAAAAACAAACAGGCTCCACCAGCTAGGCCAGGGCTGCAAGGACTCAGGAAAACAAGTGAGGCAGGTTTGTCCCCATCCCTTGCCAGCAGAACAGGTTTTTCAAGGATAATCTGTAATGTGTTATCAAACTACCTCTGTGAGCCCCATTCAGGCAATAGGAGTTTGGAGCAGCTGAACAGAGTTGAAGGGCATGTGTTTAATCACACAGGGTTGGGGTTAGGCCTCCGTGTTGCCACCTTCAGCTGGGTGCCCCTGGGCCAACTTTGTGTGCTCCTTAAGTTTCAGTTTCCTCTTCCTTAAAATAATGAGGATAATACTGGAATCTACTTTAGAGTGTTGCTGTGTTAGAATTACATGAACTAATTAAGTAAACTTACACATAGTAAATACTCAATAAAAGGTATTAATTATTAACTACTGTTATTACATGGGAAGCACCTGAGAGCCTTGCGTGTTTGGTGCAGACAGCAGAAGGATGACTGCTTTATCGGGGTCATGGTGCAGTGATCGTGTGCTGGGATTGCAGCAGAAGCCAGGGCCCACCTAGTTGGAGAATGATCCAGTAAAATAACTCTAATATCCAACTGGCTATCATGGCTTAAGGACACGAGAAATGGTAATTGTGTTTGACCAGCCCAGCACAGCCCTTGAAACAATTTCTTCTCGTCACTTATCCTAACATTCTAATTCAAGAGATTTTATATCAACAGATTTAAGCCAGCATAAGGAAATGTTATCACAGAGCTGAAAGAGGCCCTCAAAATGGCCAGGTCCAGAGCTCTGTCTTGGGGAACAGTAGCTCCACTGATTGCTTTTAATAAGCAAACTTATTACCTCAAGGCTTGTGTGGTTGCCTGCCCACAGAGAGAATCCTGAAGAGAGGAGAAAGTTCTGGTCAATCTGGTGAAATCCTAGAGACACAACTTAAGTCATTTGCAACAAGACACTTCACTTACCAGGCTAAAGATGACAGGACACCGATAATTACCTAGAAAGTAGATTGGATCTTGAGTATAAACTCCTGTCAAACTAAATTCCCAGTGGAGTTTATGTTTCCTTGAAAGTTTACTAAAATATGACAATGAAGAGGGAAGGCTGTGGATTATAAGAGTTCAAAGTTCTAATCCTGATTCTGGCCATGTGGCCTGCCTATTATTCATTAGTTCCTTACACTTATACAAGATGGGGATGATAGTCCCTATCTCATAAAAGAGTTGAGGGAAAAGTAGCAGCAGCAGCAAACTTTTGAAGTTCATTATGGACCTATCACTATTTAAGCTCGTCATACCTATCGATTTGTATAACTCTGACAATAACCCTAGGGGATGAGTTTATTATCACCCCCGTTTGTAGACGGGGAAACTGAAACAGAGTGGTTGGGAAAATTGCCCAAGGTCACACAGCTAGCAACTGGCAGTGCCAGCCACTGTAAGCCATGATCCAACCCCTTAGTCACTGTGATAAATTGCCTCTTGCATATAAGAGAAATGCTTCTATCAGTGGCAGATACGAAGTAGTAAATACATTTTGACTATCATGCTTATGTTATTAATTCCTCGCATGGGATACAGTAGCTGCAAATTCTCCTAAAAAGTTAAAGAATTTAAAACAGTTTGGTTTCAGCCTTGTAAACAATGTGTACTCTGAGTTAGTTGATTTCATGTTCTCCTTTGGTAAGTTGCATCTTTTTTCTTCTTTATGAAAATATCTGTCATTTTCTTTAAAGGCCATGAAATTAGGAAAATAGGAGTCCTTTTGGAACATTCTTCCTAAATCTTGGTAAACAAGACAAGTGGACAATGGTGAATAAAAGTGCACAGTTTCCAAGTACCTTCATAGGCCTCATCTCATCAGATAACATCCTGTGAAAAGCAGATGCCTGGTAATGTCAACTGATGTATCCATAAGGATTGCCAGGTAATATAGCCCAGTAGAAGGCATTGCACCTGGTGGATGAGAGCACGTGCTCTGAATCAACCAGTTTGCATTCTAATCTGGGTTCTATCACTTACCACCTGGTGACCTTGGAACTTTTAAATCTCACATTTTCAATTTCCAAAAACAGATAGTAGGCATGATAGTAGGCACTGGATAATCTACATGAGATTATCCAAGGAAGACTCTTAAGACTTAGTAAATTCTCAGTAAAAGTTCACTGCTGATATTGCTATTATCTCTATCGTGGCACAAGAAGTTGGAAAAGAATTCCTGGTAATTACCGCCAGGATTCAAGCCCGGGTCTTCAGAAACTTAATGTAATTCTCTTTTCATAATACAACATTGCTTATGGGCCCCTAGCTTCCCAGAAAATTGTTAGGGCTCTGAGTTGGCTTCTAATTCAAAATTTATTCTTTCAAAAAAAGCATTTCCTAAAATCTGCAAATGAAGACTAGCGCAGGGAAATAGAACAAGATAAGGAGAGACTTAAAAACAGGATCACAGGAGCCAACCTGAGGATCAGATATAAAATCAGATGTCTCTTAAATCAAACAGACAGGGCTGGGGCTGACGCCAGAAACGCTTAACACCCATTACAATGAAGAAGACGTAAGTGCAATAAGGGACCCATAAAAACCACCAGCATGTGAAATACTGCCAAACGCTGTGTGGTTGCCAAGGAGGAAGCATCACTAGGCTGGATTCAAATACTTCTCTCTGCAAAGCAAATAGGCTGAGTGTTAATTAAAGCGTGTAAGTTGATTCTTGAGGTAGCTGCCTGGAAAAAGAAATCCTGCCTAGAAGTCACTTCCTCTGATAGATTTCTTTTGGTACTGTGGATTTTCTGCAAGTGAAATTCTCCAAATCAAACACACCTTCCTGTGTATTCGCTGCTCCCCATTGCTTGTGGAGCTGTGTGCTTTTGAGCAAGAGCTGTATTGTGCTGTTTTCTACATCACTGTCACACTAAGTGCTTTGCAAAGGGCTCACATTACCTGTGCATCTCAAAACAACCTCACATGCTATAGAGAACAGTAGTTATTATTCCATTTTACAGAGGGAACAACATAAGAAATGCAGGCACTAAGTGACTTGCCCACAATTGCAGAGAAGAGTACAGCTCATAGAAACACCTTGGATCCCCTGATTCCAAATGTAGGCCTCTTCCCATCTTAAAAATGAATGACACCCAAAACAGAAAGAGATATGCGAGCAAAGTGCACTGGAAATTTAAGTGGGTGGCTTGATAAAGCAGGGTAAAAGGGTGCACTTTCAGCTTTCTGAAATTGTATTGGCATGACAAGTACCCCCACATCTTTAAGATCAATACCATACCTGGCATCTAGAAGGACAAGCTGGGGTGAGTCAGAAATGCTGTCGCTTTTGAAGACTGGTCAGCAGAGCCAGTCTTACCATACCTTGCTGTTTCTTAGGAGACTAAATCCATGTGATGCCATTTAGCCTTTTTATCTTACCCCAAGAATGAAATCAGCTGGTCCCTGAGCACTTAAAAATCCAGGTGTTCTTTACTTCTGTTCTTAAACCAAGATGTTTATCTTCCTGAGGTGGATTGAGCAGAGGTGTTGAATGAGAAAGAGGTAAACTGGTGGTCATGATATCTCCTGTTCCCTTCGATTACTCATTGACTCAGCAAGCATTAGGCAAGCCCCTGCTATTATTAGAGACTCTGCCAAGCCCAGCGGACACAGTAGTGTCTAGGAGGTAGAAGAAAGGTCTCTACACTCATGGGACTTTTGTGCTAATGGGAGAGTTAAAAAATAAATGGGAAGACAAGAATTTCAGATTGTGATAGGCATTATGAAAATAACACAGTGAGGGAGAGGAATTGGGGGCAGTATTTTAGATGCTGTGATCTGGGAAGCTCTCTGTGAAGAGATGGCCTTTGAGCCGAAACCTGATTAAAAATAGGAAGCTAATATTGGGAAAAGCCAAGGAATAAGTGTTCCAGGCAGAGGGAAGACAGAGTGCCAAGGTCCTGAGAAGGAAACAGAGCAACAGCCAGGGCTGCTGGCTCACTATAGGTTGGTGGACCTGATATGAGGTGAGGGTGGGGAGAGGGCCAGATTTAGAGTCATGAGTCCAGTGAACCATGCTTTGGAGGTGAGACTGGCTCGGTGTCCAGCTCTCCTTTCTCAAACACATTTCCTTCCCTTTTTTTATTGACTGCTCTAGAGCTTCAAGAATTAGCTTCACTTCTGAGTTGCACAGTCCCTGTATTCTTAATGGCACAGGCCACATGGGTTACATATTTTTGACAGGGACTCTTAACAGTCTCCAACCCCACAAGAGCGGGCCATTGAGGTCTGAGAGGAAACCAAGCTTTGAATTAGTTATTGAGCATGGTCACTGGGGATTGGGGCCGTCACCTCTGTTCTGCCTGGAGAAAGGCTATTTACAAACCCAAATAGTTCCTCACCAGCCCTGTACACTTTGAAACTGGAAGACTCTTGGTCAAATATGGCCTCATCGACTGAAGTCAAGCACATGGGTTCTGGGATCAGTAAACCCTCATTGGCTCAGTTAACTTCTCGGAGTCTCACCATCCTCATCAGTAATGATAGATAACACCTGCCTCATGGGCTTGTAATAATATATAAAGTGCTTCCCAGTCATGCTTTGCAAATCATAAGGCTTCAATAAGCTCTCACCATTATGATTTTTATTAGGCACCATCATAAAAATCCCAACTCTCTCCCTCTCTTCCCCACACACATTTCTTTCAAGTTCTTGCATAGTGATTTTGTAACCTTTTGGAAAGGGGCCTTGAAATAGTACAACTAGTGCCCAATGACTATGTGCTATAGACTGTCCAGACAGGCAACTCATTTCCAAGCAGTCAGTAGCTAAGGTAGAGATTCCTTGCAAGGGTGCTCTGCTCATCAGCATGTGAAAGGAACCACGACCACATAGAGCTATCACCATTATCATCTACAACAGCCCTCATAACACAGTCACCTGTATGCCCTGGGCAAAGAGCTTCCCAAATAGATAGAGGATTGGGGGTCCCTGGGATCCTGTTGCTGCTGGTGGCTGAGGGTGAAAACAGCTTGTAGCCCCAGGACCCAGAGTACTGAGGTGAAGGACAGCCTCAGAGGCTCCCTTTGAAGTAGCATCCCTGCCCCAGGCTGGCAATTGGTGGAGAGAACTGAGAAGAAAAATCACCCCCAAGCCTTAGGATCTAACAAGACACTTACCTCCTACCTCCTTGGTGTAAACTCCATAGCTGACAGGGAGGGTTGGCACTCCTTGGGTGTTTTTTTTCTGGTGGGACACTAGGGAGAAAGACTGAGCTGCTACCACCCCCAGATATCCCATCAAAGGGGAGCGACTGACAGAGAACCTCCTTCTCATGGGTGGCTGGAGCAGGTGGTCCCCACCCATATAGAAGCCCAGCCTTCAGTGTCACACGCCTGAACACAATTCCTCCACCCCAATTTCCTCCTCTCTGGGCCTGCTGCAGAAACCTGCTTAGCCCCACCCTCCTTATCCACTCTAGGCTCCTATTCCAAGCCCTGCATCTCCACCCTCCTCCCTTGGCTTCTGGCAGGACTGGCCTAACTAGCTCAGGCACCCGAGAGGCCACCTGTGTGCTGCTCTTAGCTGGTGGGTGGCTAACCCATGTCTCCACCAGCCCTGCTGTGGCCACACAATTGATTTTGAGAGAGCACCTGGGTTAATTAGAGCCAGAACTTGGGACTTTGGCCCTGCTATGAAAAAAATGAAGAGTACCTGTTTTCTGGTGCTTGATTAAAAATCTGTAGAAATATGAAGACCAGGTATCAGGAGATGGGGTCTCTGCTTAGCTGCTGCATGAAATGGCTTCAATACAAACCAAGTTGCCTCTGTCTTTGGTGCTAGAGATTTGGCCATGTTGCACCAGTACCTCAAGGTCGCAAGCTTTCCTCAGGATGATGCAGCATCTACCCTTATTCTCAGCAGAGAGAACCTGAGCAACAGTTTGAAATTTTCTCACAAGATGTAAAGAAATTCCAGTTTTTCCTCTGTGTAGTGTTAGGGAAATCACCAAGGAAAGTTTAGCAATGTACGGCGTGTCTGTTATTAAAAAGCAATTTGTCACCCCCATTAACACCTGTTCCACTGAATCCACAGGTGATCTTAATGGTGACTTAAATATCCTTGAAAAAGAACACTTATTCAGGTACCAAATCTAAGGATTTGGGATTTTATTTCCCTACCCTGGCAAGTTAGTATTACTTTCTTCCAGAAATTGCCAGATTTTAGGATTCATAAGTCTTATCTGGAATATGAAAAATACAGATTTCTGCACACAATTCTCAATTCCGAGAGAGCCCAGGAATTCATATTAAAAAAAAATTCTTTGAGGCGATTCTGATTTGGATTGTCTTGCACCTGTACTTGGAGAAATACTGCCTCAGAATAGATCTAAATTCTTTATTACCAGCCCGAGTTGAGTTGGGGACCAGCTATTTCACATTGTTTCCAACTCACTCTTCTACCCTCCCCTCAGGAATTCTGCAGCTGACTCCAGCATCTCCCTCCTCCCTTTAACTCACAAATGAGCTTTGTCAGAGGAGACAGCCTTGGCCTCAAAGATATTCCAGCTATAAGAGGCCTTAGAAATGATGTCATTGAACTGTTACTGCACCAGCACAGACACTGAGCTCTAGCCCTGCCCTTTCTCCACCTGAGGCCCAGGTCTCACACCTTGTCACCTACAGGAGATATGCAGGCCCCTTAAGATCACCTGTTCCAAAGCCAATTTCCCTATGCCAGCCCCTTCCCAGGCTCTCTTCTTTTGGAGAAGAACCCAGGTGTGTGGGCCCCAGAATCATCCTCTCCCTCCTCTATGGCTGAGGCAGTCTGTGTTCAGGTTCCTAATTTCTACAGTCAGACTCAGTTTTAGAATGAGATTCTCATATCCCACCTGCCTCACCAAGTGGAGTTATTATATGGGCAATTAGGTCTCATATGACCATTTGCTTATGTCAAGCATTTAATCATAAGATAAAGACTATAGGACCCATTTGATTCAATTCACATTAAGCACTTGATACGTACAGGGCATCTTGCTAGGCACAGCCAGGGGTGTGAAGAGGACCCAAGGTGTTGATGCTGTTGTTGTTACTATAATTTGCTTTGTTTTACTAGTGAATTGGGTGGAGGGCAATAATGACAGTAGGGAAATCTACCCTTAAATCTATACTTACCCAAGAAGACATGCTGTCTTGAGGCTGCTCACCCCCGTCTCATCGGAAGCTCAGGTGATTTTGTGTATACAATAAAGAATTGTTTCCTTGACTCATCTGTGCAGAGCACAACATTCTTTTTTCCCCCCAGTACTTATCACCTGGTCTCTGATTGTACCATTCATCAGATGAAATTAATAGCAGCCTAGTCTAGTGGTTACAAATACAGACTTTGGTACCAGACTGCTGGAATTCACGTCCTTGGCACCACCAGCTTTCAGCTGTGTGGTTTTGGGCAAAGTGCTGACTCTAGGGGTTTACACCACAGCAGATATTGATTGAATAATCACATACAAGTGGTGAAATGACAGTTGGGATAAATGCTAAGGAGGAAAGATACCCAGGGCTGTGAAAGCATGTGAAGAGATTTGTCCAGGTCAAAGAGTCAGATTAGAACTGGGATGGAGTTAACGATGCAGAGGAGTGGGGTTGGCATCAGATTGTTCCAGATAGAGAAACACCATGCACCCTGTGTAGTGGTCAGTATTGTTGCAGTAACAAATGATCTCCAAATCTCAGAAATTTCTACCACAAGGTTTATTAAAGGGAGACTATGCATTGACTGAAGCTTTCTTTGGCTGCAGCAGTTTCCCATTCAGGGACTTAAGCTGAAGGAACAGCTTCCTAAGTGGGATATGCTATTCTCATAGCAGAAAGAAAGACCAGGAGTACTGTGGACACCTGTCCTGCCTCTTAGAGTTTCTACTTGGATGTGGCCTCTGTCATGTCTGCTTTTGTTCCTTTGGTCAAAGCCAAAAGCCGATGGGACAGGGATGCATGGGCCTCCCACTGGGGACATAGAAAGCTGCATGGCAGTGGGCAGGAATGCACTCCTCTTACAGGGAAAGGGGTGGTGTCAGGTTTTAACTGGGGTCCGAGGGGAGTTGGTGGGGTGAGTGGCGGGTAGCTGGAGAAACACTCAAGGAATCGTAGACAGTTTTGACTTGGCTTTACTCTCTCTAAGTGCGAGTGAGTCTGGGCATGAGTGAGCCTGGGGGTGAGCCATATGTACAGCTTTAGTAGGGTAACCATACCTTTTACAGACAATAGTGGTTCTGAGCAAAACATGAGCGCACGTGTGTGATCACCTAATGCACCTCACATGGTGTGGTTACATAATGTGCAGGGCTGTGCACCTGTGCTCCAAACCCACTGAGTTATGCTGCTTTGGAAGGCTGCCTCAGCTTATTCCTGACTAAAGTGCAGCCATTTTCCTTACCCTCCACTCCCTAGGCCAAGAGTGTCCTCCGGGCAGAGACATGTGCCCATACAGCAGAGCCCTGAATCTATAACCCACAATAACAATACAGAGAGCAACAGCTACTAGGATCCCAGTTACGCTATTTATAACTATTGGGGCCCAGCATAGGCCAGAGCCTAGGGATGCCCCTCCTTCTCTGCAGGGGTTCATCAGTAAGGCTCCCTAGAAACTTATTCTCCCATGAGACCCCTTGAAGGGCTGCTGTTATGTTCTGCTGACTGTCAGGGATAAAGGTACAACATTGTGTTCCTAAAAGGGTACAGATGCCTCCTTGGGCAGCAGTTACTATGTCTAAGGCCATTCGGTTTTGCAACACCACCTTCCTGATCTGATCAACTGCATCAATTGACAGGAGGAGGGCCCCTCGGGTGTGATTCAGAGCCCGAGCGGTGTGCTCTGCAAAAGCAGTAACTTCTGCTTTTACAGTTATGATACCCACTCCAGGGATAGTCACTTCCAAGGTGAAGAACCACCAGGGGCCTCATCGCACTCACAAAAAGTGAGAGCATAGCACCTCCCAGTTATTCTGGCATCTGGGCAAAGCAGGGAGAACAGTGCCAGGTACGTAAGGCCAAACTCAGGTACAACGTCCAGGCCAGTCTGCTGGTAGGTAAGGACACCCTGTGTCCTCAATGACCCATAAACTCCCAGGGGTCATAAAATCCATCAGGGCCTGACCTTGGGTGGGGCCGCATGTTCCACCATACCTTCGGTGTGGTGACATGTGTTATGTTTACACAGGCCTTGCAGGGTAGCCATCCCACAGTGGTGTTACCCCAGTGTTCCTCTATGCACTGCCGTCCCTGAGCTGGGGGTACTACATATTTCCCCACTAGCCAGCCCCTCCCATCATAAATGCTACAGGCAAGATGGGGCAGGCATGCTATGGGTCTTGCGGAATTCTTTGTCTGCAGCTTGCCCTGTCGCATTCCAGGTGTCGGCCATGGGACTCAAAGTCTCCAGCCATGTCCATTTCTCTGCAGATGCTGAATGTATGTGCCAAGGCAAGCCATCTGCAGCTGCTCCTGGAAGGATGGTGCAGATCCAACAGTTGGAAACATTGGTCACCTCAGTGAAGGTGTGGGCCCAGTCCACAATGCAGTTGGAGCATGTCAACCTACGGTCGAAATGACAGAGCAGGCACAGGTACTAACAGAGTTAAATCATGTCCCTCAGGCAAAATACAGTCTAACCTTTCATCTCTGGATAACAATGCAGATGCCAACAGTTTTTGCCCTGGGAGATGGTGCCACACTTTATCAGCTCCGCATGGTTCCTTTGAGTCTTGTATCTGTGCCAAAGTCACAGGGAAGCTCATGATAGGCCACACAGACAGTACATATGTCCCCTGGAGAAGGGTTCCTTCCCTGGCCATTTCTCTATGAACGGTCAACCGCAGGGGCCATGTATTGAACACCCAAGGAGTGACATGCAAGTCATGATGTAGGCCCTCCCCCAAGAGAGCTATGATGGCCAACCACTGGCAGTGGGGTCTTGGAGGGTCCATGGCCAAAGCCAGGTTTTCTGTTCCCTGCCTTCAGGGGCCACAGGGGTAGGCCACAGGGGCAGGCAACAACAGGTTTCCATTCATCCCCATACCTGGTTGGAGGAGGTAATTCTTGGTGTGTATCTGCAACTGAAGGTGGTTGGGGGGTGGGCAGCCCAGTGTAACAAAGCCTTCACCAGGGCTGGACCAGCCACATTTCTGTGGCTCTTCATTCAAGGTTTGGAGCACCAGGTCCAACCTTGAACTGCGGCCCCAAAAAGATGGGGGTGTGACATGCAAGCATAACCTATTCTTCAAGAGCTCATTATATCGTTCAATCATACCCACAGCTTGCGGGTTGTATGGCACACGGAATCCCCACTTTACGTCCATTGGTTGTGCCCATTGTTGTACCTGTTGTCCAGTGAAATATGTTCCCCTATCACGCCCAATGGCCAGAGGGCAACCATACAGGGCACATAAGTGTTGCAGGGCCCAGATGGTGTTCCGCTGTTCGGCCACCCTGCAAGGGTAGGCGAACAACAGGCCTGTGGCCATGCCCACAGCTGTTAGTGTATGTGTATACTCTTGCAACTTTGGCAGTGACCCGATGTAGTCTGCTTGCCACCTAGTCAAGGATACTTGCCCTGTCATTACCTGTGTAACACTGGGCAGCTTCCTCTGTTTAGGGTATGCCTGAGCACATGCTGGGCATTTCTGACAACCCTCCCAAATGTGTGGACAGGGACAGACCCCAACGCTTATTGACCTGTTGCATCAGTTTACTCCCCATGTGTCCCAGTTTCCAGTGTAGCCACAAGGCCACATCTCATGTAGGTGCCAACTCTAACCATCGGATCTTGGCCAAGGCATCTGCCTCATCATTGCCAGGGGTGGCCAAAGGCATATGGCCTGACACGTGATAAATAGTTCTTTTTCTGATGACCCATTTCCCAGAGGTCTTGCCACATGGCTTGGCCCCAAATGGGTCAGTGGCCGACTAGCCACTTCTCTATTTTCCAGGTAGTTAACAACAAGGTTAAGCTTCAATAGACTGCCCAGATATTGGTATAGATTACCACAGGTGTCACCTCCTTGGTGATCATCATCCACACTGCTCTGAGTTCAGCCCATTGGCTAATTTGTCCACACCTGGTTTCAAACCATATGGTGTCAGTACTATGTTGGACTGCAACAGTGGTCCAGGCAGCAATAGCACCTGGGCTAGATCCATCTGTGTACCATGCCCCATCAGGAATGGGGGAATGCCCTTCCTTAAACAGTGAAGGTTCAGGGTCTAGGGGTGCTTCAGGTCCCATGGCCTTATCTTGCAGTAGCACTACAGTCCCCAAGACCTCTTGCAACTCTGCTGCTAAGACACGTGTAGTCAGTGTACTCTGCTGCTCCAAGTAGAGGCCCCACTTTGCCAAAGTGGATGTCTGTGCTGTCCCAGTCTTGGGGGTCATTACCCGTGATTGCACCTATCCCACTATCGGGTAAGTTATCCACACAATGACTGCAGCCCATCTTGTCATAATTTCACAAGCATGAAGGGCAGCAAATACAGCTGTTAGCTGTTTCTCTATCAAGGAATACTGGAGCTCAACTCCCTTCCACAGTTGGTACTAAAAGCCTACTGGAATTCTCAAGCACTCCATGCAGTCCCACAGGTCCCAACCGGAACCATCTGTGGTCACATGCACATCCAGCTCAAATTGGCACCCCTGGTCAACTACCTGTAGGGCTTGTGCCTGCTGAATAGCCCACATGGATGCCAGGAAGGCAGTCTAAGCTGCACCATCCCAGTCCTAGGTAGCTCCCTTCTTTGTTAACTGATGCAACAGTTTTATCATTTGAGCTAAATGGGGCACAAATGCCTGCCAATATCCCAGGAGGCCCACAAAAGTTCGCAGCTACTTCACCATGGTGGGCCGGTAATATGCCTGAATCTTATCAACGATAGCCTCTGGGATGGCCTTTGTCTTACCTGACCAGATAACTCCCAGGAATCTCGCAGATAATCCAGGCTGTTGGACCTTGGATTTGTTGATGGCCCAACCACATGCAGCCAAATGTTGCCACAAGAAGGGCGCCACTGCTTCTAAATCTGCAAGAGAATCAGAAGTTAACATAATATCATCAATATAATGGAATAGGTGGACCCTTTCTGGACATTGCCACGTGGCTAAATCTGTGGCAACTAGACCATGACATTTGATAGGGCTATGCTCATAGCCCTGCAGCAACACTAAAAGTCCATTGTTGCCTATCCCACGTGAAGGTGAACTGTTCCTGGCTCTCTGGAGTGATGTCTATGGAGAAAAATGCATTGGCCAAGTCCACTACATAGTGGTGCTGTCCCAATTCCATTGTCAACTGGTCCATCAAATCCATGATTGATGGTACAGCTGCATGCAAAGAGGGTGTTACTTTATTCAGTTCTCGATAGTCCACTGTCATCCACCAAGTTCCATCAGGCTTTCTAACTGGCCACACTGGAGAATTGTAGAGGCTGTGGGTGCCACGCACTATCTGCACCTCCTCCAGCTTTTTGGTTGTCTCAGTTATCTCTGTATGCCCACCTGGCGAATGGTATTGATGAGTGGAAGTAACTCGTTGGGGTTGTGGCAGGACCTGAGGCTAGTGATGTGTATGTCTGCACAGCACCAGCTTCCACATACACTTGGTGTCTGAATTCCCTGGCCGTGGTTTGTAACACCAGGCCATGTAAAATGTCCACCCCTAGAATGTATTCTGGAATGGGAGAGACATACATAGTATATAAATGGGGAGCCAAGTGGCCAATGCTGAGGTACAGAGATACAGGTTTCACTTTCACTGACCAGCCTCCATAACTGTCAGTGTAAGCAGGTTTGCCGGGAAACTTCTCCAGGTTCCCATAAACAAGGCTGCAATCTGCACCAGTATCCAGCAGTGCCAGCACCAACTGCACTTTGTTGGGGGACTAGTGGATCCCTAATTCCATATGTAGCCTCCAGTCATCTGATTTCCCCCCAAGCTGGGTGCCTCTGCCAGTTCCCTAATCAAACAGAAAAGCCTCTAGATTTCTGCCCAGCTGCAGCAAGTAGTCTTTGAGCTGAAATGCCTGGGTGGGACCTGGTCACGCAGCAATATCCTTATCCCCCTTGGGCATATTCTGGAATTGCTGCTTCAGAGATAACTGTCTCCAGAAAGTTAAGAGAACTTCATTGTCTGCTTATCGATTTTCTCTTGGTCAACCCTGGCCAAAATCAAATATACCCACATATGTGAGTGTGTCATTCATTGGAGCCCCCTTTTCTCCCATGGGGTGCCCCCAGAAGGCAGGGCATCTTCCCCTTTTGTATGGCGCAGACCCCTTGGTCCCACTGGCAACCTTCTGCTTCCCTGAGAGCCACCATAACAGTGGTCATTCCATGTATGCGGTGCCCTACCTCTGGGGTGAGGACTGTAGCCAGGGAGCCAAAGGCACTTGGGGGCACAGAACCCAACACGAGATCCCTCATGTGGGAGGTGAAACATTCATCATCTGGCCCCTGGTTTTTCAGGTCAAACAGCCTGCCACATACCCATCTCCCAGATGACTTGCACCAAATCGGCATACGACTGCCATTTACTCATGGTTTTGAGTATTTCTTCGGCATTGATCCACACTGTCTGTACGGCTGGCCATAGCCACTCAATCAGGGTGTGGTCACCTTGCCCTTGCGCCAACTGCCTGCTCACCTGCAACTGCTGATGGAGGGAGGGGTGAGTCATGATAGAGGCCAGCTTTTCCACCTCAGAGGCAGAACAGGAGATGTTATCTGCTCCCTCGTCCTGCAAATGAAGCATCCATGTGGACAGAGGTTCCTCTGGATACTGGAGACACTGCTTGCCTAATTCCTGCAACTCAGTTGGGGTATAGGCAGTATATAAAGTATTTCATATTACAGTGGGGGGTCCCTGAGCATGCCCTTGTGGCCTCAATGGCTGTTCATGATCTACCTTCTGATGGACCACTGGGTGAGCCCGCAATGGGGGTTCTTCCTCCTTCGTATCAGACGGAGTGGGGGGTCTCGGGCCAACATGATGCACCCAGGCTTGCATTCACAGCAGCCTCTAATTCCTTTTCCAAGCTCTGTAGCTGAGCCTCCAAGCATCCTGCCTGCTCCTGGAGTTTCTCATTCATGGCAGCTTCTAACTCTTTTTCTGAGCTGTGTAGCTGGGCCTCCAGGTGCCCAACCTGTGCCCAGAGGGCCCTTACCTGTGCTTTACCCCTCAGGGACTTGGTGTGTACTTCTTATAGCACAGTCAAAAATGCCATCTAACTCTGCCAGCAAAAGCTTGCTCCTTCTTTGTGCTCTGTGCTTCCAGCTTCATCTGAGCAGCATAGCTGCCACTGGGTACCACAACCCATGTTGTGGCCACATGGCTGACCCGGAATCTGTGGGGACCAAAGGCTCACTCACCTCAGGATCTGTTCATGGCGCCAAATGTCAGGTTCTAACTGAGGTCCAAGGGGAGTCAGGCGAGTGGCGGTAGCTGGAAAAACACTTAAGCAATTGTGGACGGTTTCAACATGGCTTTATTCTCTCTCTGGGCACAGGAGAGCCTGAACGTAAGCCATATATACAGCATTAGCAGGGTAATTATACTTTTTACTGACAATAGTGGCTCCAAGCCAAGCACAAGCTTTCATGGGTGATTACCTAATGCACCTCACATGGAATGGTTACATAATGTGTGGAGGGGTTGTGTGCCCGCACTCCAAAGCTGCTGAGTCATGCTGCACCAAAAGGCTGCCTTGGCCTACTCCTGACGGAAGTGCAACCATTTCCCTCACAGGTGGGAATGAACAATTGAAAAAAATAATACAATTTACTATATTAAGGCTCTGTGGTAGCAGGAAAATAACAAAAGACCTGGAGACCTGCATGGCTAGAGCTGAGAGAGCTGGTAGAGGCATAATGAGAGAGGGGATTGGGGTGGCAGGTGGCGGCCAACCCGGGTGAGCAAATCTGACCTTGATACTGTGAGCAGTGGGAAACCACTGACCTTTACCCATCTAATGTCTCTCTTTAGTGGTTAACTGAATACTTTTAATGTTTTTCTGGTCTCTGAAGTGATACCTGTTCATTATAAAAAATTTCAAAATGACAGATGAATAAAAAGAAAAAAATACAAATTACCTTTAATTTTACAACTCAAAGAACCATCATTGGTTTAAATTTTGGTGAATACATCTCTAAATGTTTTTCATGCAAATATTTTAAAAAGCAAAATTGGATCACCTTCATCCATTGTTATGAGTATTTTTTACCTTATTAAACATTCTCTCTATGATAATTTAGTCACCATATGGATGCACCACAATTTAACTGATTTCCTACTATTGGACATCTGGGTTTTTGTAATTTCTCCATTTTAAAAAAATTCCACAATGAAGTTCCATATATTTAGCAACATTGATGCAACTTTTAAGAAGGGGCATTTTTATCTTAGAGGGTATGACAGATTTTAGGCCATAGATATATGTTGCCCATTCTCACTAAAAAAGAGTTGTAGCCGATCACACACAACCTCAGAGCATGATTTGCCAGCTCTGATTATAATTATTTCATATTGCAAATTTGATCAGTGGACAATATTGTCTTATTTTTACTTTGCATTTGTTTCCTAATTAAAAATAGAACTTTTAAAAAAACAGTTCGCCATGGTTTCATCAGGGAAAGACTCATCTGATTCAAAATCTGGGCCTTTGGATTTGCTGCCTAGAATGCACTCCTGATTTCTCTTCAACAAATTATAGCTACTTTGTCCCTTATGACTCATTGCAATATTTTCTTCGGCTTTCTACAAGACTCTTTCTCTTATTTTCTCTGTCCCAATTGTCTCCTCACTGTAGAAGCTGCTAGTGAAGATACAGGTAGTGGGTTCCGCAATGTGGTGAGATGACATGACTCACATGCACATTGTCTTCATACGGAGAGGGTGCTCTCCTGTGATTTAACTTTGTGACCTTCTACAGTGTCTCACCCTGTGTTCTGCACATGTTATGGTCCATAAATATTTGTGAGTGAATGATAAGAAAAGTCACCATGGCACAAAAGAGTGGATAATTTTTGACTTGATGGATGACTCAACTGTGGAGCCTTGTATACAGATATATTAATAAAATATTGCAGACCAAAGTCATCACGAATGCCGCTCAAGATCTCTTTTTAGATTGTGCACCTATCACCAATATATTTGGATAATTTCAACTTTATGGATTCGGGGGTACACGTGCAGATTTGTTACATGGCTACTTTGCATGATGCTGAGGTTTGGGGTATGAATGATCTTGTCACTCTGAGAGTGAGCACAGTACCCAATAGTTTTTTTACCCCTTATCTCCCTTCCTCTCTCCCCATTCTAGTAGTCCCAGTGTCTATTGTTCCCATCTTTATGTCCATGCCCACCATCAGTTTTTAAGCTTTCACACTACAGCTCAGCAACATAGAACATTTTGATTTAACAGAAGCCCAATTACGTTATCTCTTTCTGATATTTTTATTTTTCCCTCTGGCTTAGAGACAAAAGCACTTACATCGATTTGAAATGTGACATAGTTTCCAGCTAATTTTTATTAAGGGTTTGAGGGACTTTTTTCTCTGGTTATAGGCTGTGCTAATGTCTTGCCACGCTAGTCTGACAATGTAAATTGCATCTGTAGTCTTCTTTTCTTATGTTATGGGGAAAGGGCAAAAGACTTAGAACTTGCAAAGGCCATTAACACAGCATTTGGCTGTGCCAGTGGTGAAGGCGGAGGAAAGGACAGCCTTGACATGGCCTTGACATGGCCTTGCCTTCAGCAGTAGTGGGTTATGTGCTCAAAGTCTCTCAGGGGCCTCAGCTAGACTGGGTAAATGATGACGTCTCTCTGTCTTTGTCTTGGCATCGTTCTAAAACTGGCCCTTCTTTATCTGTGGTCACGCGCTTGTTCCCTTGTCCTGAAGGAGCTGGGACTCAAGCATGTCCAGCCTTTGTCCCATGATGTCATGCCTTCTAAACTGATAAGAAGTGCAATTTAGGATTACTCTTTTTTTATTATTTTATTTTTTTAATTATACTTTAAGTTCTAGGGTACATGTGTACAACGTGCAGGTTTGTCACAGAGGTATACATGTGCCATGTTGGTGTGCTGCACCCATTAACTCGTCATTTACATTAGGCATATATCCTAATGCTATCCCTCCCCCCTCCCCCCACCCCACGACAGGCCCTGGTGTGTGATATTGCCCACCCTGTGTCCAAGTGTTCTCATTGTTCAATTCCCACCTATGAGTGAGAACATGTGGTGTTTGGTTTTCTGTCCTTGCAATAGTTTGCTCAGAACAATGGTTTCCAGCTTCATCCATATCCCTACAAAGGACATAAACTCATCCTTTTTTATGGCTACATAGTATTCCATGGTGTATATGTGCCACATTTTCTTAATCCAGTCTATCATTGATGGGCATTTGGGTTGGTTCCAAGTCTTTGCTATTGTGAATAGCACTGTAATAAACACACTTGTGCATGTGTCTTTATAGCAGCATGATTTACAATCCTTTGGGTATATGCCCAGTAATGGGATGGCTGGGTCAAATGGTATTTTTAGTTCTAGATCCCTGAGGAATTGCCACACTGTCTTCCACAATGGTTGAACTAGTTTACAGTCCCACTAACAGTGTAAAAGCATTCTTATTCCTCCACATCATCTCCATCATCTGTTGTTTCCTGACTTTTTAATGATCGCCATTCTAACTTGTATGAGATGGTATCTCATTGTGGTTTTGATTTGCATTTCTCTGATGGCCAGTGATGATAAGAATTTTTTCATGTGTCTGTTGGCTGCATAAATGTCTTCTTTTGAGTAGTGTCTGTTCATATCTTTTGTCTAGTTTTTGATGGGGTTGTTTGATTTTTTCTTGTAAATTTGTTTAAGTTCTTTGTAGATTCTGGATATTAGCCCTTTATCAGATGGGTAGATTGTAAAAATTTTCTCCCATTCTGTAGGTTGCCTGTTCACTCTGTGGTGGTTTCTTTTGCTGTGCAGAAGCTCTTTAGTTTAATTAGGTCCCATTTGTCAATTTTGGCTTTTGTTGCCATTGCTTTTGGTGTTTTAGTCATGAAGTCCTTGCCCATGCCTATGGCACGAATGGTAATAATATAGCCTAGGTTTTCTTCTAGGGTTTTTATGGTTTTGGGTCTAACATTTAAGTCTTTAATCCATCTTGAATTAAATTTTGTATAAGGAGTAAGGAAGTGATCCAGTTTCAGTTTTCTACACATGGCTAGCCAGTTTTCCAAACACCTTTTATTAAATAGCGAATGTTTTCCCAGTTTCTTGTTTTTGTCAGGTTTGTCAAAGATCAGATAGTTGTAGATGTGTGGTATTATTTCTGAGGGCTCTATTCTGTTCCATTGGTCTATATCTCTGTTTGGTACCAGTACCATGCTGTTTTGGTTACTGTAGCCTTGTAGTATAGTTTGAAGTCAGGTAGCGTGATGCCTCCAGCTTTGTTCTTTTGGCTTAGGATTGACTTGGCACTGTGGGCTCTTTTTTGGTTCCATATGAACTTTAAAGTAGTCTTTTCCAATTCTGTGAGGGAAGTCATTGGTAGCTTGATGGGGATGGCATTGAATCTATAAATTACCTTGGGCACTATGGCCATTTTCACAATATTGACTTTTGCTATCCATGAGCATGGAATGTTCTTCCATTTGTTTATGTCCTCTTTTATTTCATTGCACAGTGGTTTGTAGTTCTCCTTGAAGAGTTCCTTCACATCCCTTGTAAGTTGGGTTCCTAGGTATTTTATTCTCTTTGAAGTAATTGTGAATGGGAATTCACTCATGATTTGACTCTCTGTCTGTTACTGGTGTATAGGAATGCTTGTGATTTTTGCACATTGATTTTGTATCCTGAGACTTTGCTGAAGTTGCTTATCAGCTTAAGGAGATTTTGGGCTGAGACGATGGGGTTTTCTAGATATACAATCATGTCATCTGCAAACAGGGACAATTTGACTTCCTCTTTTCCTAATTGAATACCCTTTATTTATTTCTCTTGCCTGATTGCCCTGGCCAGAATTTCCAACACTGTGTTGAATAGGAGTGGCGAGAGAGGCATCCCGTCTTGTGCCAGTTTTCAAAGGGAATGCTTCCAGTTTTTGCCCATTCATTATGATATTGGCTGTGGGTTTGTCATAAATAGCTCTTATTATTTTTAGATACGTCCCATCAATACCTAGTTTATTGAGAGTTTTTAGCATGAAGAGCTGTTGAATTTTGTTGAAGGCCTTTTCTGCATCTATTGAGATAATCATGTTGTTTTTTTGTCTTGGTTCTGTTTATATGATGGATTACATTTATTGATTTGCATATGTTGAACCAGCCTTGCATCCCAGGAATGAAGCCAACTTGATCACAGTGGATAAGCTTTTTGATGTGCTGCTGGATTCGGTTTGCCAGTATTTTATTGAGGATTTCTGCATCAATATTCATCAGGGATATTTGTCTAAAATTCTCTTTTTTTGTTGTGTCTCTGCCAGGCTTTGGTATCAGGATGATGTTGGCCTCATAAAATGAATTAGGGAGGATTCCCTCTTTTTCTATTGATTGGAATAGTTTCAGAAGGAATGGTAGCAGCTCCTCTTTCTACCTCTAGTAGAATTTGGCTGTGAATCTGTCTGGTCCTGGACTTTTTTGGTTGGTAGGCTATTAATTATTGCCTCAATTTCAGAGCCTGTTATTGGTCTATTCAGAGATTCAACTTGTTCTTGGTTTAGTCTTGGGAGGGTGTATGTGTCCAGGAATTCATCCATTTCTTCTAGATTTTCTAGTTTATTTGCATAGAGGTATTTATAGTATTCTCTGATGGTAGCTTGCATTTCTGTGGGATCAGTGGTGATATCACCTATATCATTTTTTATTGCATCTATTTGATTCTTCTCTCTTTTCTTCTTTATTAGTCTTGCCAGCGGTCTATGAATTTTGTTGATCTTTTCAGAAAACCAGCTTCTGGATTCATTGATTTTTTGAAGGGTTTTTTGTGTCTCTATCTCCTTCAGTTCTGCTCTCATCTTCATTATTTCTTGCCTTCTGCTAGCTTTTGAATGTGTTTGCTCTTGCTTCTCTAGTTGTTTTAATTGTGATGTTAGGGTGTCAATTTTAGATGTTTGCTGCTTTCTCTTGTGGGCATTTAATGCTGTAAATTTCCCTCTACACACTGCTTTAAATGTGTCCCAGAGATTCTGGTATGTTGTGTCTTTGTTCTCATTGGTTTCAGATGAAACCTTCTTTATTTCTGCCTTCATTTTGTTATGTACCCAGTAGTCATTCAGGAGCAGGTTGTTCACTTTCCATGTAGTTGAGTGGTTTTGAGTGAGTTTCTTATTCCTGAGTTCTAGTTTGATTGCACTGTGGTCTGAGAGACAGTTTGCTATAATTTCTGTTCTTTTACATTTGCTGAGGAGTGCTTTACTTCCAACTATGTGGTCAATTTTGGAATAACTGCAATGTGGTGCTGAGAAGAATGTGTATTCTGTTGATTTGGGGTGGAGAGACCTGTAGATGTCTATTAGGTCCACTTGGTGCAGAGCTGAGTTCAATCCTGGATATCCTTGGTAACTTTCTGTCTCGTTGATCTGTCTAATATTGACAGTGGGGTGTTAAAGTCTCCCATTATTATTGTGTGGGAGTCTAAGTCTTTTTGTAGGTCTCTAAGGACTTGTTTGATGAATCTGTGTGCTCCTGTATTGGGTACATATATATTTAGGATAGTTAGCTCTTCTTGTTGAATTGATCCCTTTACCATTAGGTAATGGCCTTCTTTGTCTCTTTTGATTTTTGTTGGTTTAAAGTCTGTTTTATCAGAGACCAGGATTGCAACTCCTGCCTTTTTTTGTTTTCCATTTGCTTGGTATATCTTCCTCCATCCCTTTATTTTGAGCCTATGTGTGTCTCTGCACATGAGATAGGTTTCCTGAATACAGCACACTGATGGGTCTTGACTCTTTATCCAATTTGCCAGTCTGTGTCTTTTAATTGAAGCATTTAAGCCCATTTACATTTAAGGTTAATATTGTTATGTGTGAATTTGATCCTGTCATTATGATGTTAGCTGGTTATTTTGCTTGTTAGTTGATGCAGTTTCTTCCTAGCCTCGATGGTCTTTACAATTTGGCATGGTTTTGCAGTGGCTGGTACTGATTGTTCCTTTCCATGTTTAGTGCTTCCTTCAGGAGCTCTTTTAAGGCAGGACTGGTGGTGACAAAATCTTTCAGCATTTGTTTGTCTGTAAAGGATTTTATTTCTCTTTCAATTATGAATCTTACTTTGGCTGGATATGAAATTCTGGGTTGAAAATTATTTTCTTTAAGAATGTTGAATATTGGCTCCCACTCTCTTCTGGTGTGTAGGTTTTCTGCTGAGACATCTGCTGTTAGTCTGATGGGCTTCCCTTTGTGGGTAACCCAACCTTACTCTCTGGCTGCCCTTAACATTTTTTCCTTCATTTCAACTTTGGTGAATCTGACTATTACGTGTCTTGTAGTTTCTCTTCTTGAGGAGAATCTTTGTGGCGTTCTCTGAATTTCCTGAATTTGAATGTTGGCCTGCCTTGCTAGATTGGGGAAATTCTCCTGGATAATATCCTGCAGAGTGTTTTCCAACTTGGTTCCATTCTCCTCGTCACTTTCAGGTACACCAATCCGAAGTAGATTTGGTCTTTTCACATAGTCCCATATTTCTTGGAGGCTTTGTTCATTTCTTTTTATTCTTTTTTCTCTAAACTTCTCTTCTCACTTCATTTCATTCATTTGATCTTCAATCACTGACACCCTTTCTTCCACTTGATCAAATCGGCTACTGAAGCTTGTGTATGCATCACATAGTTCTCGTGCCATGGTTTTCAGCTCCATCAGGTCATTTAAGGTCTTCTTTATGCTGTTTATTCTAGTTAGCTTTTTGTCTAATCTTTTTTCAAGGTTTTTCGCTTCTTTCTGATGGGTTTGAACATCCTCCTTTAGCTTGGAGAAGGTTGTTTTTACCGATTGTCTGAAGCCTTCTTCTCTCAACTCATCAAATTCATTCTCCGTCCACCTTTGTTCCATTGCTGGTGAGGAGCTGTGTTCCTTTGGAGGAGAAGAGGTGCTCTGATGTTTAGAATTTTCAGCTTTTCTGCTCTGGTTTCTCTCCATCTTTGTGGTTTTATCTACCTTTGGTCTTTGATGATGGTGATGTACAGATGGGGTTTTGGTGTGGATGTCCTTTCTGTTTGTTAGTTTTCCTTCTAACAGTCAGGACCCTCAGCTGCAGGTCTGTTGGAGTTTGCTGGAGGTCCACTCCAGACCCTGTTTGTCTGGGTATTACCAGCAGAGGCTGCAGAACAGCAAATATTGCAGAACAGCAGATGTTACTGCCTGATCCTTCCTCTGGAAGCTTCGTCTCAGAGGTGCACCTGGCTGTATGAGGTGTCAGTCAGCCCCTACTGGGAGGTGTCTCACAGTTAGTCTATACAGGGGTCAGGGACCCACTTGAGGAGGCAGTCTTTCCATTCTTAGATCTCAAATTCCATGCTGGGAGAACCACTGCTCTCTTTAAAGCTGTCAGGGACGTTTAAGTCTGCAGAAGTTTCTGCTGCCTTTTGTTCAGCTATGCCCTGCCACCAGAGGTGGAGTCTACAGAGTTAGGCAGGCCTCCTTGAGCTGTGGTGGGCTCCACCCAGTTCGAGCTTCCTGGCTGCTTTCTTTACCTACTCAAGCCTCAGCAATGGCGGACGCCCCTCCCCCAGCCTCGCTGCTGCCTTGCAGTTCGATCTCAGACTGTTGTGCTAGCAGTGAGTGAGGCTCCATGGGTGTGGGACTCTCCAAGCCAGGCACGGGATATAATCTCCTGGTGTGCCGTTTGCTAACACCATTGGAAAAGTGCAGAATTAGGGTGGGAGTACCCTGAATTTCCAGGTACCATCTGTCATGGCTTCCCTTGGCTAGGAAAGGGAATTCTCCAACCCCTTGTGCTTCCCAGGTGAGGTGATGCCCCACCCTGCTTCGGCTCATGCTCCGTGGGCTGGGCCCACTGTCCGACAAGCCCCAGTGAGATGAACCCAGTACCTCAGTTAGAAATGCAGAAATCAACCGTCTTCTGTGTTGCTCACTCTGGGAGCTGTGGACTGGAGCTGTTCCTATTTGGCCATCTTGGAACCTCCAATTTAGGATTATTCTATTTGAAAAGCTTCATTTTATGATCTATGTGTATCACATCAATCATGTTGTTAGCTCCAAATGGGCACAATAAAATTTATTTGAAAAAAGGGAAAAACTGCATAGCCATCTGCAGTGCCTAGAATGGCAGCATGAAATCAGACCTCAGTGCATCAATATTAGATGGTACATGAATCTACATGCAGCCTAACATATGTTTGCACTGCCCTCCCCTCTTTTGCAAATATTATCTATGTCTTCAAACAAGAGATGCCCATCTCCTCCCAGGAATAGTAAGATTTTGGTTTTTAATCATTGTTTTCCAAGTAAAGCCAAGGCACACCTGAACAGGTGTTCTCTCCATGAATTACTTAATTAAAACAGCTCCCTGAAGCCCTTTGTAATAGCAGAGGAAGAAAGTGAAGCACAGAGATTTAATCTGAAGTAATTCCTTTATTAAAATTGGAGGAAATACAATCTGGCCTACACATAGGACTGCATAAAAATCCATTAGTGAAGAATGGTGCCCTTTAATAGAGCAGTGTTTCCAGAGTGTGATATGAAGACCACCTACCTTAGAAAAGTTTTGGAACTTGTGAAAAATTTAGGTTCATGGCATGACCCCGGATGTAATGAACTCTGTGAAGGTGAAGCCTGGGGGTTGCATTTTAACACCCATCTCAGAACATTTCTATGTACCAATACAGGGCTTAGGGATATTCTGGGAAAGTCTGAATGTGATATTGTCTTGTTAAAACTCTGCGTGTCAGAACATAATGTCTCTACAACTAAATTGTTAGGTCCGTGAAGATAAGGATCAAGCGAATTTGATCTGGTGTCCCCAGGGCCCAGCACAATCCTTGTCACATAGGTTTCCAGTAATTAGTTAAAATAATTAGTGAATGAATCAGGTACCATATGGCCAACTCAATTTTCAGTGCACAGGGTCCCCTCTAAACCTGATAATGTCTTGGTAAAAAGTGAGAGGTCATGGTTCCTTAAGAAGGAGAAATTGGGTCATTGGAATATTTGAGATACATAGGAACTCTGCAAGGTTTTTTTTTTTTTGTTGTTGTTGTTGTTTTATGTTTTAGACAGGATCTCTGTGGCCCAGGCTGAAGTAGTGGCATGATTATGGCTCACTGCATCCTCAGCCTCCTGGGCTTAAGCGATCCTGCTTCAGCTTCCCGAGTAGCTGGAACTACAGGCATGCATTATCCCATGAGGCTAATTTTTAAATTTTTTGTAGACAGGGCCTTACTCTGTTGCCCAGGCTGGTCTTGAACTCCTGGGTTCCAGTGACCCTCCCACCTTGGTCTCCCAAAGTGTTGGGATTACAGCTGTGAGCTACCACACCTGACCATCCTCTTTCATTTATAAGGAGGAGTTCCTCAATTATTCTTAGAAGTGTTCAAATGGTGGGGGTGAACATCTTGGTTAGAAAGAAAAGGTTGGGATCTGGAGTTAAATCTGATTCTCAATCTCTTCCTTTGTTGGTGCTGGTGAAAAAGGGTTCTTAGAAGTTACCTGGTCCACATCCTGTGATCCTTCTCATCCCTGCTGTGATGCCTAGCCAACTTCAGGGTAAGGGAGTGTTTTATTTAGATCCCTGATTCCTCTTTCAGGTCTGTGATCTAGCCATTCTCTTCTTCATGTTTTCAGTGGAAACAGAGGCAGAGGACCTACTCTTTGAGTAAAATTATATCTGAGCAGACTCTGTTTTCATTTCTGCCCCCTGACTCATTCTAATTCGATGCCCTTTTGTACCTCAAATCTTGGAAATGAAGGAGTACTCTTAGAAATGTAATAGATGACAACATTCTCAAAACTGAAGTTAAATATATGAAAAATTAACTTCTAATTCAAAAGAGAATAATGTGCTTTTAGAGAGTAATGAGCTAATAGGCAATGCTGAGGCTCTGAAAGATTTAGCATGGGTATACTGCAACTGAAGACAGTCTCTGGCTTGTTCTCCAGAAATGTGCAGCCCATCCATTGCTTTCTTGGGCACTTCTTAGTAGATGCCAAAATAGTATTTATTCATACCAAGTATTTGCTCTGCACCGGGAAATGTTATAGGTGCTGGGTATTGGTCTTGATGTCCTCAAGATACCCAAAATATGTGGCCTGAGGACTGAAAGCATCTCTACTACCTAGGAGCTTGTTAGAAATACAAACTTTCTAGCCCCATTCCATATTTATTTCAGCAGATACTCTGGGGGCTGGGCCCATCAATCTTTATTTTAACAAGCCTTGCAGGTGAGCATGGTTTATGTCCAAGGTTGAAAAGCACTGGTTTAAAAGAACCTTTGTAGAAGAAGTATCTGCTCCTTAAAAGTAGTAACCTATTGCCTTTTTGTCTCCAATTCAAATGGGATGTTCTTTGGCATGTATGTTATTATAATCATGCATCTTTTAAGATTAAAGTATATTAAATCCCAGGCATGGTTTTGAAAAAAGCAAACAGCTGGAAGCCTATTAGATCCACAACATGCATTATATCATTTAACCCAACAAGCTGGAATGTTATCCTCATTTTACAGTAGAGGAGAGTGAGGCTCATAGAATATAAAAACCTAATGTGAGATAATACAGCTGATAAGGGGCAGACCTGAGGTTTAATTCAAGATCTCGGAGGCATTAATGCCTGCATTCTTCCCCATTCTTCTGCAGATTCTTCAGGTCCTGAATTATGTTTTACTGGGCTGCACGAGGCCTTTTCTGAGTGAGTTTTAAGGGGGAAACTACATTGTTTTCACATCTTCTTGTATCATTAATAGCATCATCTTTGGACCCACAGAACCTTGAGACTTGAGCAGTTTCCTGAATATACCATACAGAGCTGGCTTGGAAAGACTCACTGGAACTTACAGGCTGAGAGAAGCCTGATTATCGTGGGATCGTCCCTCCTAACAGCTACCAAGCAGTTCCTAAAAACCATGTGTTTTCTTTATTCTGTTTCAATAGCCAAAATAAGTCATATTTCATGGGCTGGAGGAAACCAGAGTAAGCCCGGTGAAAGGATATTCATTGGGAATAAGTGAAAATTTGTGCTGAAGGCAGATCTGTGCTTTCTTCGAAATCAGAGTTATGGGGAGGAACTCATGCTCAGTTGGCCTTGAGCAAAGTAGGCAACATCACTTATTTATTTATTCATTCACCCTCTATGTCCATTTTGAATCCACAGTCACATGAATCCAAACACACAACAGGCAATTTGAACATAGCAAGACTAGTGCCGTGACAAGCAAAGGCAAGATGCTGTGAAAACTCAAGGGGGCAATCTGCCAAGGCCTGGGAGCTGAGAAAAACTTTCTGAATGAAGCATGTGGTATCTAGGCTGGTACCTGAGGTTGTTAAAGGCACCGCCAGCTGGAGAATGGGCAAGGAGAGACCTGTGGGAAGAGAGGAGGGGTTTCTCAGCAGAAGGAGCAGCATGTAGAGAATAGATTGCAGAGAGCCAGGTGATCCAGGCCTTGTAACTCTGCCCCACCTCCCTCTGCTTTTGCGGGAATTCAAACCAAGATGGAGATGGAATATGAACTTTAGTTCAAGCATTCAAATCTTGGCTTTCTTATTATTTTTGTTTATCACCATCATCATTATTGTCACTTTACTATTTTATTATTAATATTGCTAATAGGATTGCTGGCTATATTAATATAACTGTGTACTCAGAATAAGAAAGGAGAGTCCTATTTCTCTCTTCTCGGATTAGATACATCTGGGGTTCACTTCTGATGGTCCCACTTAAGGAGTATAAACTGCAGTGTTTCCAGAGATAGAAAATGGAAAACATCCCATGTGAGGAATATCTAAAAGAACTATTCTTCTTCCTTTAGGAGAGACAGAAGAGATGCCTTTCAATTGTTAAATGCTATTATGGAGAGAGGGCTTTCCTGACATTTAACTGAAGGCTGTCTCATATGAAACTCTCATAACACTCTTTAAACCATAAGCTTCCTTGGGGCAAGGACCAAGTTGTCCTACTTCTGCTTCCTAGTGCCTAGCACAGTGCCAGGTACACAATAAGTGCTCTATAAATATTTATTGAATGAATAACTGAGACAGAGTACCATATTAAGTACAATCTCTGCTAGGTTTTTCCAAGCTTTGTATTATTCCCACCAATTCTGAATGCCAGAGTCTGTTTGCACTCCCTCTCAACCAGAAATCTGTGCCTGTTTGAAAGCTCCAAAGTACATCACATCATTGTAGTTGGCTTCATGGTCTATCTGTAGATAAATCCTTTTAGAAAACTTCACCTGTAGATAAGATACAGCATTTAATGGTTCAGTAGATCAGCCTGGAGGGTTTATTTTTCACAATATGGTTTATGATGCATAAACCAAAATATACAATTGGAATCAATGATGAGAAAGTGACACTACATTTTTCAGATCCAAAGGCCTGGGAACTGAATGCTACACCTAATCTACTGCCAAGCACCCTGAGAATGCACAAGAGGAAAATAAATATGAATGAAAATTTTAATCATAGAGCTGACAGGTCCAAACACCCCAAGTAGTTTTCTGAACTCCTCAAGCATCAGATCATCTCTCCAAAGGGACACTGGAGACCATTTGGTCTAACAGCTTTTATATTTTATATGGGGCAACCTGGGCTCCCAAAAGCAAAGTGACTTCCAGTCTTCCAGATTAAAGCATCCTATAAGTGGCAGAGCAAGTGTCCTTACTCAAAGACCTGCTTTGGAGACTTTCTACTACTCTTTCTTCTTCCTCTGTGTTCAGCTAAGTATTCTTCCTCTAAAAGTCAAAGATAAGCCATAACATTAAGCAATCTTTCTTCAATTCCTCACACCTAGTAGCATGTTCTCTGCAGTCACCTCTTTTTATAGTCAGCCCATAGCAGACTTTCTTTGCCTGTTACTTCCCCTTTGGATTTTCTCTTTAGCCAAAATGGCCTATTTAAGTTGCAATGATCATTCATGTCTTGGAATTCTGGCAACCTACAGAAAAATAACAGATGCAGGAAAATCAAGTGGAGGAGGGCAACTTGAAGATCTGAGCTTTCAAAGAATAAAGAAACAGCTTCACTGACTTCTTGTTCATATTTCTAAGATTAATGTATTTAAGTACATAAAATACAAGCTCATCTCAAGCAGCTGTTCATTTATGAGGCTTTTGGCACCAGTTGCCTAGGTGTGACTTTTTGAAAATCGAATGATTGATGTTCTCTTTAATCTTGACTTTTCATGTTTTTTGGTGTGTGGATGCTTGTTCCTAACTAGATCTTAAAGCAAGTTGCAGGCTAAGAGATTTGAAGGGCACTGGAAAACTTCCCCACTCTAGATTATCTTTCCATTGGCCTATTAAACAGTCTAGAATAGACATAGAATCTTTTCATAAAGGCATTGTGTCTCCAGGGGTCTCCTATGAAATAGTTAGGACTAGCACACCTAAGGTACGATGAGCCATTAGCTATTGGATCATGGATTAGTTTATCAGGGAACCAATTTTTACCATGAAAATCTGAAAACATAATTTCTTACATAAATGAGAAGTAAAACAGTAAGTTTTGACACATGGACATTTGCAATATATGTCATGTCTAGAGGGAAAGAAGTAGGCAGAATGAGGAGATTTGGGTGGGAATAGTAAGTAATAAAAGAGTAGCAATGAGGGTACTTAATTAAAACATATTTCTTCCTTATTTTAAGGAAGAGGCAAGACTTGATAGAAAAAAAGTGCTAACTCTTTGAGAATCCAACTGTACTTATCTATTTTCGTTTTTTACCAGATACTTTGTGGATGCTTATTATACGCGCGCTTAGTGGGCAAGGCGAGGGAACAATACAAAGAGAGATACAATATTTGGTCTCAGTCTTGTTTGAATTCATAATACAGAAATGGGGGAAACACTTAACTAAAGGAAGCAAAATTGGGCAGAGTTAAATATGAGGGCAGGAAGAAGCATGTTAAGAATGAGGGCAGAAAGGAGAATAATTAGTAAATTCTAATAGTGTCAGCTTTCTGTTTTTGAGGCATCTCTGTGCTGCCTCTGTGATTCTACTTTCTTTTGGGTAGAAAGATATCCTTCCTTCAGAAAAAATGTAAAGTTTGAATTGAACACAAACAGATATTTGTCTCAGTTATGCTGAAAGATGTTTTTTCTTAAATGTGAAGCCATCCTCAACTCACCTTCTCTCTATACTACCCCGTCAGTGACTCGCTTTAGCTGATACTCTGGAAGAAGATTTGCTATCTCCACCATTTCCTATTTCCTTAGGTGGTTGCTCTTTCATTAGATTTCATCCTTTTGGTAAGAAGGGAAATGAATGCTTTTCTGTATTAACCCCAAATGCAAATACCACAGCTAAATTTACTATAACCAGAGTTCAGAATTCAGATTTTTAACCATTTACTACTCTTTGTCCCCCAAAAAAAGCTTCAGATGGAAACATCTAATTCTAGAAGTTCTCAGCTAAATTTTAATGAATCACAACATCTTCTGAGAAAAAGTTATCCATCAATTCTTGTCTCAAGCTGCTGATTTAGCTTTCTTTTATCAATTTGAGTCCTTGGCCAAATTATGCAAGTCTGGAGGTGGTGTTACGTTGCAAGGTATCTTTTATCTTAGCTCTCTGAGCTCTGGTATGTGGAAGAGATCTCATCCAGCTTCAAGGTTTTCTGGAAAAGTCTGTTTCTAAAAAAAAGTACTTGCTTATTTCAAATTAGGATAATGTAGGGCAGGACATAAATGCTGTCTCCATACATTAATCCTTAGTGGATCTCTTTTTTTCTTTCAGGTTGTCTTTTGCTCTCCCAACTCACTCTTCATTTGGGTGTTTGTGTGTGTGTGTGTTTTTTTTTTCCCCAAATCTATTTAAGAAATTGTCATGGGCTTTTTGGGCATTAGGCTCAGGGTTTCTAGAGTTTGGTTTACTATCTCATAGGTAATCCCAGATCACACAGGAGATGAACACACTACTATTACATTCATTAGTGGAAAAATGTATTTCTGTTTAGGAGATCTTTAACTTGCCTCTAAGGGCAGTAGGTGAAAGGGGCTGCGCCATGAGTTAAAAGTGCTATTGTGCTTTATAAAAGATGAGGAATGAGCTGGGCACGGTGGCTCATGCCTGTAATCCCAGCACTTTGAGAGGCCGAGGTGGGCGGATCATGAGGTCAGGAGTTTGAGACCAGACTGACCAACATGGTGAAACCCTGTCTCTACTAAAAACACAAAAATTAGCCAGGCATGGTGGCACATGCCTGTAATCCCAGCTACTCAGGAGGCTGAGGCAGGAGAATCGCTTGAACCCTGGAGGCGAAGTTCCAGTGAGCAGAGATCGTGCCACTGCATTCCAGCCTGGGTGACAGCGTGAGACACCGTCTCAAAAAGAAAAAAAAAAAAGATAAGGAATGAAGTCATATCTTGCTATATTGCCACAGAAGAGCTTGCTCCTCATATTTGCTTTGCAATAAAATCTTGTGTTTTATATAAATATGATTCAATTATGGTGCTTGAATATTAACATTTTATTCCCAAATCTGCTGACAAATCACAAATCATATTAATAAATATCCATGGATCATGTTCTTTTGTTTCCTAGAAAAGTATAAAGAGTAGAGAAAACTCTATAGGGTCAGAGCTTGAGGTGTGGCAGAGGATAAGACTGAATATCTGCAGAGTTAAGCTAGCAATAAATTTGGGTTTACATTCGTAAAGCTTGGTCACAAAATAACCTCAAGAACTTTCAGAGATAAATGATGCTGGGAAAGGATGAAACTAAACTTTCTGGCCCCAATTCAAGCACAAACAAGCTGAGGTGCTGGAGTATTGATAGCAAATGGTGCCTCAAGTAATAGCTAGAATGTTGTAAAAGGCTTTAGAATTTACCAATCATTTGCACATCTATTGTTTTTACCTGGTGCTGTGAGATGGCTGAACCATTATCCCCAATTCCAAGACAGGAGACTATTTTAAAAAATTAATGACTTACTTATATGTACAAAGCTAATAACTCAAAGAATCGGGCCTTAATCCATGTCCATTGACTTCTGGTCCAAAATCCTTTCAGGTACATCTAATCATTCAGGTTTCAGCTTAGGATATTGTTTTGTCTGGTAGACTTTTTTTCCCACCTAAGTCTATATTAGGTACATATCTCTGTGCTCCAAAAAGTACTGTATAATATACCCTATTATATATATAGCCTAGTTTGCATTGCATTGTAATGATCTATTTCCTTGACTTTATTTTCCACTGGACTGTGATCTCCATGAGATAAGTGCCTAGTTTACCATGGTAACACCAACACATGGGGCCTGGAACATGGTAGATGTTCTTCTGTAAGTATTTGCTGAAGTGGACCAAATCCCAACACTTATTTTGTCAAAGTTTGGAGGACAGCAAGAGGCCTGCCATTTAGACTGAGAAGATCCAAGTTTGAGTAAGATGGATGTTCTCAAAGAATGTCAAGTCTCTTGTGCTGCCATCTTGAAAAAATCTCATTATGGATGCCCCAGAGGGGATTCAAAAGTTCTTCCTAACACAGACCATAGTTCTTCTTTGGGAATTGACCCTGTTTATGTCTCAGTTAAAAGGTGTTTCTGCTCAACTGCTAATTGAAACTGGTAAATAAATGAGGGATCCCAAAACATCTTTCAACACACAAAACCTTTCCTGTTGCTCCCTCACCATTGTCCACGACCCTGAAGAAGAGGGGGTACATGTACTTGATTCACTGGAGAAGCTGAGTCTTTTCCCCAAAACAGCCATCCTCTGCCTGGCAGATAATTGTGGTGAAGAGATTGGCAGAAATGCCAGATGATGTCTCATCATCCCCAATAGAAAAGGAACAAACATTAAGCAGAGAAAAACAATACAAATGTCCATTTAAAAGCCATAACCTGGGTGATCCAAAATTGGAAGTGGGATGCAGGACCTCACTCCCCTTTCAAATTTGTAAATTCTACTCCATTTCTGTAAGATTTTCCAATGCAACCAGCCCAGCTAGATTTGGCTGCACTCCCAGGTACAATGCAGAGTCCATCTGTTTGATCCCTCTGTCTGGGATGGGTTTGGAAAATGAGTTGAGTGCATGGGACAATTTCCAGTTAAATGTGGATTTTCTAAAGATATTAAAAATGTGGTTATGGGTCCTGAATTTAATGAGGTCTAGGAGCTAGTGATTCCCACTGTGGGTTCTTTCCCCGAATTTTTTAGTCATACACAGCACTCCTTCACTCCCTTCTTTTTCTTCCTGTCTATAAATTTTCATTGAGTTCCCTCTACATGTCAGATACTGTTCTAAGAGCTCAGACTGTGGTAATGAACAAGCGACATTATGCATCTTAAATTATAGTTGTAGGGATAATAACAAGCCAGTAAACAAACACCACAAATACAGATAGTGATACATATTATGAAAAGATAGATAAAACCGTAATATGATTGTGACCAGGAAATAGAGGACTACTTTCTGTTGAGTGTACAGGAATAACTTATCTATGGGAGAAACATGTGAACTGACACCTCGATAAGAAAAAAATTGCCATATTACAGTCTGGGAGAGGAAGGGAAAGGAGAGTTTTCCAGGCAGATGAATATTCTGAGATAAATGTCCCCAGTGAGCCAGATTTGTTTGTGGAATAAAAAGAAGCAAGCATCTTTGAGCAAGATGCACAATGGTGAAGTAAATAGTACAGATAGAAAGTTGAGGAGGAAACAGGATAGCAGATCATGGAGAGATTTTGGAGGCCATGGAGAATAAGACTTCAAAGTATCATCTTATTTCACCAACACAATAACTGATGATATAGGTGCTATTTATATCTCTATATGTAGAGGGGAAAAGTGAAACTTAGACAGGTGAAATAGCATAGACACCGTCACCTTGCTGTCAAGTGGCAGAGTACAGGTTTGAAACCAGGCAGCCTGGCTGCAGAGCTTGTCCTACTAATTCCAACAGAAATCCAGACATTATCAGAAGTATCTTAGAGTCATACCCTTCCATCTTT
Source organism: Homo sapiens (assembly GCF_000001405.40). Taxonomy (NCBI): domain Eukaryota; kingdom Metazoa; phylum Chordata; class Mammalia; order Primates; family Hominidae; genus Homo; species Homo sapiens. The sequence goes on from NC_000005.10 coordinate 160,957,200, forward strand.
CATACCACTCAATTGATCTATGTTCCCATCCCCAACACAGAACACTGGGTACCAGCATGGATGTAGGAGTTAGAGCCACATAAGTTCAACAGAAAAGATCAACTCTGCCTTGACTGCTGTGTAATCTGGGAAATTCGTCTAATTTCTATGCCTTCAGTTTTCTCATCTGCAAAATGAGAGTAATAATAGTACTTTCCTCCCACTTCTTAAAGTATTGTGAGAATAAAGTGAGATCATACCTACCCATGGTAAGTGCTCAGTGAGTTCTTAACTACTAACCAAACCAAATAAAACACCCACCACAAATACTCATTTACCACAGCCCATCTGTCCTTCCTTTGCTCTTTCTCAATGTTATCTGGGTTGCAGACCACTACTACTATCATCTAGACCTCCTGAGTCATCTGGAGATGGGATCCAGAAAGTTGCATTTTAACACACTACTCTGCTGATTCTGATGCAAACCAGAGTTTAAGTTCCCAGATGAATAGACCATAAGCCAAGAAACAGGATCTCTGTACATCTCAGTGTCAGCCTTAGAAATTGCAACTATGTTTGCAGATACATACAGTGTTAGTGTTAAATGGGATCTTGGGTCTCTTGCATGGCATTTTGATGGTAGTACAGCTAGAGTTTTGGTAGCTCATGAATCCTGACCTGCTATTGCATATCTTCCATGTTTCCTTGTTCTCACAATATTTCTGTCTGAATTATATCCAAGGAATAATAGCCAAATGGTATTTCAAGTACAATGTATAATAATTCTCAGTGCACAATTATGGTAAAGCCTAGTTTGATGCACCTGTTTAGGCTCACATATTAATATTTAATTCAAATGTTGACATCTCAGCTTGGGTCTTCAATAGGAATTTTAAATTTAATATACAAAACTAAATTCATTTTCTTTCTTCCAAATCTTCTCCTTCAATAACCAATAACCTTTCCCATTTAGGAAAAAGAATATCTATCCTTCTAGCTGCTAAAACTAAAAACTTAAAGGAATCAGTTTCTCTTCTATTTTCCTCATGACCCATATCAGCAAAATATGTTGGTTTTGTTTTTAAAACATTTCCAAGGTATGGCTTCTCAATACCCCTGATGAACCATCATTATCTCTTGCTTAAGACTGAACCATCATCATCTCTTGCCTAAGATATTGCAAGAGCAACCTAATTGGTTTTTTTGTTTCTGCTCGTACAGTCCAAAAGTTCATTTTCAACAGAGCATCCAGATAATTCTTTGGAAACCTAAATCCAACCAGATTATCTTTGGTAGGCTGAACAATGGCCATAGAAATAAGTCCATGTCCTAACCCCTGGAACCTGTGAATTTTACCTTATATGGAAAAAGAGGCTTTGTAGAAAAAAGTAAGTTAAGAATTAATTTTTTTTTTTTTTTTTTTTTTTTTTTTTTTTTTTTTTTTAGTGACAAGGTCTTGCTCTGTCACCTAGGCTGGAGTGCAGTGGCATGATCATAGCTCATTGTGGCCTCCAACTCCTGGGCTCAAGGGATCCTCCACTTGAGTTGCTGGGACTGCAGACACACACCAGCATGCCTAGTTAATTTTTTTATTTTTATTTTTTGTGGATTCAAGGTCTCTCTATGTTGCCTAGGCTAGTCTTAAACTCCTGGCCTCAAGTAAGCCTCCTGCCTTGGCCTCTCAAAGTGCTGGGATTACAGTGCTGAGCCACTGTACCCAGCCAGCAAGTTAAGAATCTTGAGATGGGGTGATGGGCCTGGATTATCTGTGTAGATCTGATGTAATCACAAAAATGTTAATAAGAGGGATGCTGGAGGAGTCAGATGATAAAGTACTGGGATGAAGGCAGAGATTGGAGTGATGCACTTTGAAGATGGAAGCAGGGCAAAAAGCAAAGGAATATGGGTAGTCACTAAACCCTGAAGAAGGCAAGGAAACAGATTATCTTCTCATAGCCTCTGGAAAAAAAAAAAAAACAGGCTTGCTTACACCTTGATCTCAGCCCAGTGAAGCTGATTTTGGACTTCTGACTTTTAGAACTATAACAGAGTCGATCTGTGGTATTTTAAACTGCTAACCATGTGGTAATTTATGACAAATTTGAAATAGCATCAACAGGAAACTTAGACAACCTGAAATGTCTTTGTTTATTCCCTCTTTCCCTGAGTAAAACCCAAAGCCATCATAGTGACCCAGAAGTCCCATGCAGTTTGCTGCCCTCTGTCTACCTGGTAACTCTGATGTCCCATCCTGTCACTCTTCTCTTGCTCACTCTGTCCAGGCAACTCAGCTTCTTTACTACTCACAGACACACAGAAATGCCTCCTCCTGTTTGCCTTTGCTCTTTTTCATATCTGGATTTTCCTTGTCCCCAAATTGTCACAAGACCAGATCCTGGCTTCTTCAGGTATGATTCGACTGTCATTTTCTCAGTGAGGGCTTTCCTCACCATACAACTTGAAATCAGAACACATCTCCCTTCCCTCCCTGAATTCCCTGGTCCACTTGCCTGTCTAATTTTGTTCCAAAGCACTTACCACCATTTGATGAACTCTAGGTTTTACTTAGTTATTGACTAGAATTATATATATACACAAACATATGTATATGTATATATATATAGTTGGATGGATGTATACCACCTACAATGATGTCTACACATAGTGGGTGCTCAAAATATTTTTGTTAGAAGGAATTGAAAGTGAATGAGACACTAACCCATTGCCACATCCAGAGTGATTTAGCATGCAGGCAGCGTGATGGCAGGGCTCCAAGGAAAACCCTGACTCAGCTAGGTGAGTGTTTCTTGAAGTTTCAGAACAAGAGAGGCAGCTGACAAGTTCTGCCAAGGGCAAGTCCTAATTTGACTTACTGACCAAGCTGTGTGTAGTGTAGGCACGTAGAGAATAGCTGAAGAGGAATTAAGGCCTTTTAATGCAGTGGCCCTATCCATTAATATTCATGGTGCAATTAATTCTTGATCTCTGACCAATTATTCCAGCAGTTTTCCCCTCTCTCTTTTAAAGGAGACCTGGGAAGGGGATGGATAAAAAGAGGTTAAAATGCCTTTCCCCTACACAGAGTTATGTCTGTACGTTTGTTTGTTTTTAGAGTCAGAGTCTTGCTCTGTTGTCCAGGTTGTAGTGCAGTGGTGTGATCATAACTCACTGTAACCTCGAGCTCCTGGGCTCTCCAGCATAGCTAGAACTACAGGTACATGCCATCATGCTAGGCTAATTAAAAACAAAATAATTTGGAGACAGAGTCTTGCTATGTTGCCCAGGGTGGTCTCAAATTCCTGACCTCAAGCCATCCTCCTGGATCACTTGTATTATAGGCATGAGTCACTGTGCCCAGCCCTAGAGTTGTATTTAAACTCTCCAGAAAGCCTCAAGAAAGTGAGTCCACATTTCGAGACTTTCTCTCAATGACAGATGACAATTCATAAGCAAAGTTTGGCTTTCTTTTCAGCATAGGGATGTGTTCCATGCAAATTAAAAGCTTCTCAGCAGTCACCCATTAGTGATGCCATGATCTACTAAATTACACACACAAACACTGCACCACGCAAATGCAAGGGAAATTGACTCCTTTGGCACCCAAACCATGGCTAGGATTCAAAGAAAATGCCTGGCTTAGCAGCTGCAGGAATGGCAAATAGACTGTCTTTACCTGTCAGTTCTAAAGTAACTGCCTGAGGTTCTGAGGTCTCACATCCCAAAGCAGTAGGAGAAAGTGGTGCTGTAAACAATTAGCAATGCTGGCTTTGGGTTTAAGAAAGCCACATGTGTCTCAATCTTGGCTGCTTTGAGTTAGAGATTTTTAGAGACTAAGAGAATAACTTTAGAAATTAAGATTAGCTTAACAAACTAATAAGAAGGCAAAGCACTGTATATTTTATATGCCTTCTTTTCCCTGGATTGTTACCTTGGCTGGTGTCCTACTTTAGCAAGGAACAAAGCAAGGGAGGAATGGGTGAAAGGATCTGGTTGAAGCTGCACGGTTAATATGAGAAACAGCAAAATTTCCCAGGTTGACAGCAACTTTGGTTTATCATTAAGCAACTGCATGTGACACACTGAAGGTCAGGCACTCACAGAGCAGTGCTTTAAGGGTGTGGAATCTTCCATGGGTGAACAAAAACCTATTTTCTTCATCCTGATCTATTATTTCTCACCATGTGAACTATTTATCAGAAAATTGGCTCTCTAACTATCAAATATATGATGGTTATTGATAAGACAAGAAGACAAGACTAAAAGAAAAAAATCAGGCATCCAGAAAAGCGCTCCTCCCCTAATCTCTTCCATTATTGTAGAATAGATTGCTCAATCTGCCGTGCTCTTGAGATTGGCTTTGATTCAGCCTCCTTTGGAGACCTGCTATTCATGTCACAAATATGGGTTTGATGTGTAGCAGATGAGGGTTTTTCAAAACACATGTTCAGTGAAGAGGGTGGTCACAGCTTAAGTGAAATCAACACAGGTTCTTGGCCTGGCTCAGACAAAAGGACCTGGGAGGAAGGATCTCTCCAAGGTCATATAAATATACCCAGTAATAATCTTACACCTTCTCCTCAATGTGCAGGTCTTCAGAAGTCCCTTGCCATGGGGCACTTTGCCTGGTACTCCTGTGATCTGTTGGTGCTTTGGCCTGTTCTGGCATTCTCAAGTATTTTTATAAAATCCTCCTCCAACATCTCTCTGCTTTGAAATTACTTTGTGGATAATCCTGGCACCCGGTCCCATACAATGCTGCTCTTGGAATTGCAAAGCTTCTGGTGGTAGAATTTTTTCCTGCAGTGTTTACCCCTGATGGTGGGGATAGTATTTGCCAGGTAACACTAGGTAGAACAGATGGCCTCCTTTTCTGCCTGGTTCCTGTTTCAATTCAGGTGATCCTCCTTTGTTGTCATGCATGTCGAAAGCCTCTCTTAAGCAATAATCTTTACTTACATTTATTGTTCCTCACTCTGCTTTTCCCTGAAAAAAATTACATGTAATTAAAAAATTTAAATGTATTTCTTTTATAAATTTAAAAGTGCACATAGTAAAATAAATTTGAAAACTGCACAGAAAATCAAGAAATAAAAAAGTCTATTTTCTGTCTACCTCTTCTACTGTGTCTCTTATGAAAGGTAAGCAACACTGATAAACTTTACTGCATACCAATGAGAAGTAAATCTCTACCTATTTCTACCTCTATCTCTATCTCTCTATCTTTATTGACTTTTCTGTATCCATCAGTCCTTTATATAATTCCTATAATTGGGGTAACATCATACATACTCTTCTACAACCAGCTTTTTATTTTTATTAAGAATATGTCAAAGAGAGAGTGTCATATAATCCCATATATTCTTTTAACCCAGTCTTTTTAAAATTTTTTTTTTGGTAGAGATGGGGGTCTCTCTGTTGCCCAGGCTGGTCTCAAAATTCTGGCCTCAAGCAATCCTCCCTCCTCCGCCTCCCAAAGTGCTGAGATTATAGGTGTGAGTCATCACACCTGACCTAACCCAGTCTTTTTTATTGACAATATATTTTGCCTGTTTGAATGCCATATGAATGTTTCAAAATGTGTTTCATTAGGTTATTTCCAGTAAGTATCATTACTTTTGCTCTTACAAACATTGCTGTGATGAGCATCCATGTGATTGGTGCACTTCTGCATAGACCTAATTTTTTTTAATAAGACTTTGCCCCTTTCCTTATGGCCTTAAGTACTTTTCTGGCATCTTACCTCATTTTGTTTTCATAGCATTAACTGTTATGTGACATTACTGATTTATTTCTGCTTATTTCCTATTGCCTCCAAATGAGAATATTCAGTATCACAAAAATAGGCAGTGTTGCCTTATTAAACTCTGTATTACCAGCACTTAGAATAGTACATGACATGTAGTGGGTGCTTAATAAATATCTGTTAATGTTTTTATAAAAATGAACCTCAACATATCTGGTGGAATGAATTTGGCTGAATGTAACCGAAAACTACAATGCAAACCAGCTAAGGCAAAAAGAAAATATATCTCACAAAAACCTGAAGTCTAGAGTTACAGCAGGCTCTAGGCATTTTTGATTGGCGCCTTAATAGTGTCATCAAGGACCCAAATTCTTTCCATCTTTTTATTGTGTCAACTTCAGCATAGGTTTTATTTTATGGAAGGTAACAAACTCAATGATGGCTGTAGGATTTGCATGTCTCACCTCCAGACATGATAATATCCAGAGAATAATGGCTCTCTCTTTCTGTGTTTCTTTTCTAGGGATAATGAATGTATTTGATAGAAGTCTCCAGAATACTGTCTTCTAACATTTTCTTAACTAAGTGAGACTTATGTAAATTTCAGAGGCAATCATTTGCGAAAAACAGAATTACCTGGCCTGGCCTAGACTAATTACCTGGAGTAGAATCAATATTGTGGAGTCATCCATAAACCTCCACACCACTTGAGCTTTGGAGTCAAACTAACAGTCCTGGTACTCTGGAGTTCTAATACTGGCCATGGGGAAGTCATAGTTAGTTATACGGTATAAATGGGACCAAAAAATGGAGGCGGAGGGTTGGAACTATTGGAGCTTTAAGGAGCTGAACTCTTCTGTAATCATGTAAAACATTTTTTGTGTTGTACACAAAAATGCATATCTTCAGACTCTCTTTACTTCAGTGATAATTTTACTAAGTACAGGTTTAGATTTAAATGTAACTAAAATTGGTGGCTTGCTCTAAGGTATTGTGTACTTTTTATTTGAATAGTAGCTCACAGAAATCAGAGGTTGTAACATGGAAGACTTCAGGAACATTCTGTGAGCATGCTGGCAGGACTGTACAACTGAAAAACCAAGATCCTATTGGGTCTACCTCCCCAACATATCACAGAACCACATCATCTCCACTCTTACAAACATAGTTGGAACGCCTTTCATCTTCTGCCTGGACCACTCCTGCCTGGTATTGCTGCCATCTCTCTTGCCTCCTGTCAGTTGTTTCTCCACATAGCCACCAAGAAAACTTTTAAAAACAAAATCATTTAGCATTAGGTATATCTCCTAATGCTATCCCTCCCCGCTCCCCCCGAGTTAATGGGTGCAGCACACCAGCATGGCACATGTATACATATTTAACTAACCTGCACATTGTGCACATGTACCCTAAAACTTAAAGTATAATAATAATAAAATGAAATAAAAAACAAACAAACAAACAAACAAAAAATCAGCATAGCATTCCCTGATTCAAATCCTCACATAGCTTTTTATCTTGCTAAGAGTGAAATGTGCTCTCCCTACCCATATTCCCTCAAGCTCTCCACCACGAAGTGATAGACCATCACTCTTTCCCTTAGGCACTGCACCCTAACCCAGTGGGATGCTCTTCTTTTTCCTTGAAGATGCCAAGTGATTATCATTTTAAGTTCTTTGTGCTGGACTTCCAATTGTCACATAATTGCTTCCTTCGGATTATTCAGGTCTCACCCCCAAAGTCACTACCTCCAGAGGTCTTCCCTGAGCACTGTAGCTAATGTAAGTCTACCCTAACTCCCAGCAACTCTCTATCTCATGTTATATTTTAATTTCTTCATAGTTTTATCACACTATAATATCTTATATATTTATTTGTTTATTTATTTTCAGTCTCTTCCAACCTGATGGTAAACTCTCTTAGGGTAGGGATTCTGTTTAGCACCTTACTCCCAGCACCTAGAACGATGCTTGGCTTAATTCAGATTTGAGTGCTTAATTAATGTTTGCTAACGACACTACCAACGTCTGTTCTTTCACCCTCTTTTTGCATAAGAATTTCACATCATATGTTACATATGGAGGCCCAGAGACTTCACAATGGGCATGGTTAGTTTGGAGAACAGAAAAGAGGGCAGTTACAGGCTTAAGATATTTTGTTAAATATGAAAAGTCCTGTATTGTGAAAGAGTGACTCTAGGGTCAACAGGTTCAGTGGGAAGAAATTAGGGGACTGATATGGTTTGGGTCAGTGTCTCTGCCCAAATCTTATGTCAAATTGTAATCCCCCGTGTTGGAGATGGGGCCTGGTAGGAGGTGACTGGATCATGAGGTGGTTTCTAATGGTTTAGCACCATCCCCCTAGTGCTCTTCTCATGATAGAGTTCTCAAGAGATATGGTTGTTTTAAAAGTGTGTAGCACCTCCCCCCGCCCCCCTTTCCTCCTGCTCTGGCCATGTAAGACGTGCCTGCTTCCCCTTTGCCCTCCACCATGATTGCAAGTTTCCTGAGGCCTCCCCAGCTATGATTCCTGTATAGCCTGCAGAATCATGAGCCAATTAAATCCCTTTTCTTTATAAATTACCCAGTCTCAGGTATATCTTTATAGCAAAGCAAGAATGAACTAATATGAGGACATTTACATACACTGACACAGCCCACAAAAGAGAATCCCAAAATTGCCAGATAAATTTCTCTTCTGAAGGAGTGATGCTTTCTTGCTAAGAGAGATGCCAAGTCAAACTGTAGAATAAATGGTTGGGAAAGAGAGGGTAATTGAAGTGAGAGGGAAAAGAAGCTGCCTTAATGGGAGCAGAGGAGGAATTTTGATAGGGAGGTTGGTGTCGAACAGCTGCACATTGAGAAAAAAGGATGAAAGAAGAAAGAGAATTTCATTATATACAGTTGTAGTCCCTTTATTTGGGTCCCTTCTCATGCTCTTGAGTGTAGAATGAAATTCCTTTCTCATTATTATTGCATACGGACTGTACTTCTTGAGCATGAAGTCCTTTGAGATTGAATCATTATAGAGATTTTAATAACAATACAACTTTAAAACAAGTGACTGAAAATAGGGAAAACTGCCTGATATGTAGTTGTAGCATGTTATTCAAAATTTAAGCAGAAACTCAAAGGCAATTTGCTGGGGACTAAAGTATAGATTAACTTCCAAACTCTGCTCCAATTCTCCCCTGACTGTGTCTACTCTATGGTCAAATAGGAAGTGCTTCTGGAGGTAGAGTGGCAGAAGCCTTTATATTTTATGACACATGGCCTCTTGGATGAAAGTTGGTCCTTTTGAATTTGGAAATGGGTACAGTAATGGCATATTGATTGCATCTATTTTCCCATCTAGAACTTTATGCCAAAATCGCTTGCAGGGTGAAGAAAATGGAGATATCATGGGACTGTGGAGAGATGAGTATGGCATCAGTTCTGGCCAAGTTGGTTGTGTGACATGGGCCAGCCCCTGATCTCTCTGTGCTTTCCCTCCTGACTCCTGAAAGCAGGGTAATGATATTCTCTTTATGTAGAAAAATGATGATCTGGTTTGGAATCTGCTCTTACCTCAGCAAAAACTGAGCCCCTGGAACGAGTTGAGCAGGCAAACAGGTGATGGGCCAGACACAGAAAACTGATGAGGGCACTGGACTGTGAGTTTGTCTGTGTGACCTTGGGAGAGCCCTGTCCCTCTCTGGGCCTCACTGTGTTGATTGTGAACTAAGGGGACTGGTTGAGACACTCTGAAATCACTCTTCCCTCTGATAATTCTGATCAGCAAAGCTGCAGGTCAGTATGTTTTTGCTGTTTCATAATCCTTAGAAAGCTGAGGTTTAGAATCAAATTAGGATACAAAAATAAGGCAGAGGATGGTATCAAGAAAGGAATAAAATAATTAGACAAGAAAGGCATCCATTCTAGTGTGGAAAATTATAAATTTGGTTAGACAATGTAATTTTACAATTGGTCAGGGGGAAGAAATTTTTAGAAGTCTTTCTGGTGAAAGTATTTCTGAAATGTGAAGAACTATGGAAAAGAAATCATTTTCCTTCTTCCTTACTCTTCATAGCTGGTCTGGAAATTTGATCTTCTTTAATGACAGGCACAGCTCTCCAGGATCTGCCCCCATCTGTCTTTTTCTACTTTATCTCCCTATAATCCTTTCTGGTCTTTCATCATTCTGTCTACTTCAGGCTTTTCCTCACAAAAGCTTTGTACTTTGCTATCTTGCAGCCTCTGCTCAAATTTTTGTCTCCTGATGTGTCTTCTCCCTTTGCCTATCTTTCAAAATCCTATACACCCTTTAATCCCGTCTCAAAGGCCCCTTCTTCCCTTCTTTCGTTCTTCTCTCCCTCTATACCCCCCTTTCCCTGTAAGTAACCTTTCTTTTAATTAAAAAAGTAACACTTGTATATGATGTACGATAAAAGCACAAAAGAGCTGTCAGGTAAATGATAAAACTTTTTCACATCCCCCCAGCTCCCCATCCAGAGCGCCCTTCTGCAAGCAGATGTTTATTACTAGTTTTTGAAGTCTCTTCTGTTACTCATAACACTGACTTCCTGGCCATTAGGCCACACTGGCTAGAGGGAGGGTGTAAATCTAATTGAGGGGTGGACAAAGACATCCTAGTCCGCTGTACACACTCATCATACAAGGTGTTCCTCAGGTCCTTATGCTGAGGAGTGTGCCCCCCAGAACAGTCCTGGGGTTTATGAATCACACAGGCTGCTATGTGAATCCACACTCTAGATCTTCCTACTTGTGTACATTGAACACATTGTTTCATCACTTTGGAGACTCTTGTTTTCTTGTCTATAAAATAGGACAAGAATTATACCTTCTTCAGGGAGTTCTTCCCTTTCACCCCCTTCTGGGTTTCTGCAGGACTCTATGTCTACTTCATTATCACAATGGCTCCGTTGAGGGCAGGGGCCATGTGGGTATGTACAGCTTCGTCTTTGAAGACCCTATTGATTCTAGCTCAGTGCCTATTTAGGTGATTAATAAACACTAAATTAAATTCAAAATTGGATCAATCTGGCTCACAAAAGGCAAAGTGTGATTTTTTTGTGGGGGAAGACATGGTGAGCAACCCAATTCTATCACCGAATTGAGGAGTGGCCTCAAGCAAGTCATTTATACATCTCCTATGCTCAAGTTTCTTATCTGTCAAATGTGGGTGGCCATTTCTACTTTACAGGACTTTTGGGAGGAAAAAATGAGAGCAGCACCTGAACTGCTGCAGGACGCAGAGTTCTGTAGCATTACAAATACCTTTCTTACCATTTTTTGTTCTCCCTTTTGCATAAAATTCTTTTTTGCAGGGACACACCATGTTCCTGTTGCTATTCCTACCCCTTCCTCCATTGAAAGCTTACAATCCTCAAGGGCTAGAGAGAAGATAAGAAACTAAGGTCTGTGCAAATATCATGAGAGTTACTTCTTTTCTAAATTCTGACAGTTTAAAACTGCATTGTTGCAACTTTCTGTCCCACTGTCAAATTGACTTGAGTGAGTCATCTCTATGGTAATTACTAGAGAAAGTCTCACGTGATAATTTATTTAACGATGGGATCCACATAGTTCTGCACATGCTTGTTCTAAAATATAGTCAGCAACTGTGCAGCAGGGCGTCAGTCACTGTGATCCATTTGGTGCCACTCAGCATCTTCTGTGCAAGTTCTAACTGCGATGTTTGATTCACTGGTACCTCATTTGATATTCAAGAAGCTTTCATGTGACTGTCCCTCAGGGCAAAACATATTGCGTACTCTCTGACCTCATCCCATGTCTCCATCTCCAAGAACGTATCCTGAGTTGATCTTAATATTAAAAGCAGAGAGAGCAGCCTTGAAATAGAAGTCAGGGAAGGCTGTCAGGCAGGTTTGGTGGTAAAAGTGGGTGGTGAATGTGGAGAGAAGTTTGGAAGGAGGCAACGGTATGTCCAGGTCAGTGGTTCTCAAACATTTTAGGTTCAGGACACTTTGCACTTATAACAATTACTGAGGACTTCCCGAAAGGTTTTCTTTACATAGATTACATCTCTCCATATTTAGCACATGGGAAATTAGAAAAAAAAGTTAAATTTTTGTAAATTTATTTCAAAATAGCAGTAATAAACTCATTACATATTGACATCAAAGAAATGATATCAATACATGTCAGCCTCTGAAAAACTTCATTTTACCCTCAAGAAAAAAAGGAAAGTGAAAAAGGCAATTAATACTGTAGTATTACTACAAAAACAATTTGAGCCAATGAAAAGGGTCTTAGGGACTTCTGAGAACCATTGGTCTAGGCAAAGACATTGGAGACTAGGGGCTGAAAGTGTTTGTGTGTGTGAGTACATATATACACGAATCTCTCTCTCTCTCTCTCTCTTTCTATAATAATGAATAGCAAATTATTTACTGTGGATTAAATATTATGCTAGTTTGCAGCCATTATTTTATCTAGTCTCCATAATAATAATGAGAGGGGATATGATTATACCCATTTGGTAGATTAAAAAATAAGGTGCAGAGAAGTTAAGAGTCAAAGTGGGACACAATTTATATGACAAATGTCAGAAAAAGATGAGTTAGACTTTTATCTTATCATAACATAGGCTATTGTATCCTGAGATATTATAGAAAAGGGCCAATGCAAACGATTGTATGTGGGGTGGTGGGGGAGGTATTCCGAAGCATGCAGATAGAAAACAAAAAGGCTTGAGGAACACTCTTTTGTGAACAACTGCAGGCTAAAGGTTATTTAGCTTTGGAGTATGACAAGAGTAGCTTCCTGGTTGCATTCTAGAGAGACAGGGAGAGATGCTTTAGTGGATGCTGTCAGGACCTGTCCACATGCCCCTTTTAAGCTGAGGCACTCATGTATTGACAGCTGACTGCTTTCAGTTGAATTTCCCTCTGAGAATTATTCTCAAAGAAGGCTGTTAATACAAGATCACACCTTTGCCCCTGGGGCAACCCCAAAGCCATGACTGATTAGCAGGCATATAACAGTCTAGCTTCCTTGCCTCTTTACAGGGCAACTGTAAAGGCCATTCCAGCTCTAGACCTCCTCATGGAATCTGCTGAAGCCTTTCTTGATTGTGTATAACTGCTCAATGCCTCCCTCTGCCCAGCCCTGTTTCCCTCACTCCTCCACAGGTACTGATCCCAAGAGCACTTCTCAATCAACATCCTGAACTCAAATCTCCCTCTCAGAGTCTGTTTCCCGGAAGAACCAACCTAAGACAAAGACAGATTCCTAAATCTTCTCCCCTTAAGCACAGTTCCCTCCAATTTCTTTTAAATATTAGGTCTCTATGAGGTTAATATTAAGCCTCTTTAAATTTAACAGTGTAATAGTTTCGACTTATACTTCTCCAGCCTTCCAGGGACAGCCTTTTCATTCCATGTTGGACACTTTTGATTTTGAGGGTTCTTTTTTCTACTGAGTTGAAAAAGCCTATCTAGTATTCATGCATTATTTTTAGTTTTCCATGTGTAACTTTACAGATTGGCCCATTCATTCTTCCATGATGCTGTTCACGTTACTATCTGGGTGGGGTCTTTAAATTGAATCAGTGAGGACCTCACCACAGTCTGAAAGCTGAACCAGAAACCATTTTAGGTACTTCGTAGTCCTGAGGTTTTCTGATTCCAGAGAGTTTTTTTTTTTCTGGTAAGTTGTTCATAATGTTCACCCTTTACATGCACCACCTTCCAGGCCAATTTGGATCCCCCAAACCATGGAAAGATGTTAGCACAACAAATTTGCTTCTAATTCTTTTTTCTATTACAGTAAAATGGGGGTAAAGATTTAAGGCCCTTTAGCCCCATGTGTTTCAATTTGACCCCATATGTCTTCTTTCTTGTGATCCAACTTATTTTTGTGCAGTGTCATCTTCCCTGCTGTGTTCTGGAAGTAGGACAATTTTCAGTGTTATTTTTAATCATGTAGCACTCAGGGAGATAATGATATTGATTAAAGTGTGAGTGTAAAGAAGGTGTTTCTTTTTGAGAGGGATATATGGAGGAAGTGTGTTTTGCTTCCAAAGCTCCACTAGGTGGCATTTTATTAAAGCAGTATTGCTACTGTGGTTTTAGAAGTAAGTGCTCACATTATTATTCTTAAAGGGATAGTATTAAGCTCCTCAAAATACGAAAACTCTATATTTTCATGGATGATTATAGTAAGGATTTTAAAACAAAAGCTTGCATATTAAAAAAATAAAATATCCAGATCCATGTCTGCCAAATCCAGCTTATTTTAAAATAATGTTTGAGACAAGATTTCTAACTTGGGCTCTGACGCTAATCTACCACATGACCTGGTGTAAGTCACTTTCTCTCTCTGGACTGATTTCTTCTTCTTTGAATGAAAGACAACAAACAAGTTAATCTCTAAGGTCTTTACTTCGAATACTTAATTTAGTAATTCTATTTCATTCCTTACTGGGTTTAAATTACAAGTTTTCTAATACCATCATCACCAAATTTATAATAAAGACAACATTAGACCATTGGTTTGTTTATAAAAAACTTTGTATAAAACATTGTGGCAATTTTAAAACATGCCAATTTTTGTCATTGAGGAGGTCATGTTAGAAGCATTTCTTTTCATACTGAGTTTCAGAATCTTTTATGTCAAGCCAAACAACTTTATCATCTGACAACCTCTTTTCTATCCTTTCAAGCTGTTGGGGAATTAGTTCCTTTTGAAACCTAGAGAAACTCATCTGAGAGAGCAAGAGAGGTCTTCACAGATAATTATCAGCATTAGCCAGGTGAAGAGGCCCAACTCTTTTGTTCCATTCTGCAAAAGAAACCTCTTTAAAGTTTTCATTTTCCAGAATGCTTTTACTTGAATTATAAAAATCCCACAGAACAGAGGCTTATAATATTTTATGTTATAGAATTTTTTCCCATCTTTCTATTAGCGACAGATAAATAGACTTAAAAAAAAAAAAAAAAAAAAAAGGATAACTCCTTTAGATCCCAAACTCCTCTGGGCCTGTGAATTTGGGCTTAAGGGAGGGCAGTTTAACTCTTTGAGAGCATTGCTGCTCTGCTGTGGATGTTGAATGAGGCTGCACTGAATCTATGGTTTGAAATCTGTTTCTCCTTCATCCCTGCTGCCATATTCACCCCAAATTCACAGAAGACTAGGGCTAGAGCTGCCAAAATCACAAAGGACTTTGCTGGTTGCCTGGCTCCATTTTTTTTTAAAGGGTATTTCATGAAGTAAGCGCCACAGTGGGAAAAAAGGAATGGCTCTTTCATAAAAGAAATTTTAGAAAGACTGTAAAGTAATCCCTGCTCTAATAGCCACGGTGCACATTGGCATTTCAACTCACTGGGAATTCCTATAGCAAGGAAATCTATACACCTAACCCATTGTTTTGCAAATCCATGGATTGCTTTGGAGGGTATAGCTTTAATGTAATAATTTTATTTTAAAGATAACGAAGAAGCAAAGTTTATTCAAGAATAAAATCAAGAATTTAGTCATAATAAAAACATAGGAGAATTGGATTCAGAACCTGAATCTCTTGGTTTTGATCCTATTCTTTTTTCTATACATTCTAATTGCAGATCCAGATCTAGAACATTCTCTAAAATTTTTCAAAATGTAATATGAATTTCATACGCCTTAAAATAAAAATGGACCTAGACGTATTTCTTGATGTTATGTTACTAATGAGCAAAGTAAGACCTAGAAAGGCTAAATGACTGTTTCATGGTCATGTGACTAAATCAAAGCAAAACTCGAGATAAGAGGTAAATTTTTTGGAGTGTCTGTCCATGAATGGTATCCATAAACATGCCATCCATCCATGATAACCCATGCCTTTGAATTAAGAATGAAGAAAATTACATCTAAGTTATTTTATACCTTATGTCCTTATCAGCCATTAATGAGTTCAGTTGAATAGGATTCTTCCTTTTGCCTTAGCAGAAGATTGTGACAATAGAACCGGTAAGTTTTGATGATACCATTGCAACCAGGAAGAGCCAATAAAAATAAGCATTAGATTAGAAATGTCAAATATATAACTTTGAGCATAAACTCACCTCTTTAAAGGTTAGCTTAGACTAGTTAAATGAGAAATTGTATTATTAATAGATTTTTGTATGCAGTTTCAGCTCTAGGTAGCAATGATAAAGAGCACACATATTAAATATAGTGATAATTATAGAAATAAAGACAGTATTTGCTAAGTGTTTATGCAGTACCAGGCACTCTGGTAAGGACTCATCTACTCTTAATACTTACCATAATCCTGTGCTCATTTTATGGAAGATTGAGCTGAAGCTCAGAGAGGTTAAGAGACTTGCAAAAGGTCACACAATAGCAAGTTATAGAATAAGAATTTGAACTTAGGAATTAGTTTCTAGAGCCAATATTCTTAAGCATTTTATAATATTAAAGAAATGTCATAATGAAAATCAAATCTGAAAATGCTATATTAGAAATGTCTTCCTCCACAACGTGGTGATTTTTCAAAGACTAAAAGACAGAAATGCCATTTGACTCAGCAATTCCATTACTGGGTATATACTCAAGGGAATGTAAATTGTTCAACTATAAAGACACATGCACACGTCTGTTCACTGCAGCATTATTCACAATAACAAAGACATGCAATCAACCTAAATGCCCCTCAACGATAAACTGGATAAAGAAAATGTGGTACATATACACCATGTAATACTACACAGTCATAAAAAAGAATGAGATCATGTCCTTTGCAGGGACGTGGATGGAGCTGGAGGCCATTATCTTAGCAAACTAATGCAGGAACAGAAAACCAAATACCACTTGTTCTTATAAGTGGGACGTAAATGATGAGAACACATGGACACATAGAGGGGAATAATATACACAGGGGCCCTCTTGAGACTGGAGGGTGGGAGGAGGAAAAAAATCAGGAAAAATATCTAATGGGTACTAGGCTTAATACCTGGGTGATGAAATAATCTGTACCAGAAACCCCCATGACACAAGTTTACATATGTAACAAATCTGCACGTGTATCCCTGAACTTAAAAAGAACAGTTAATAAAAAAGAAAAAAAAAGAAATGTCTTTTTCTCTTGAATGCTATTTCCTAGGAGGAAGCATGAAGTCTTTATTCTCCACCCACTTAAGTCAGTGATTTCTTTGCTGCTTACCTCTCAGATAAGCTCATGCTACCTTGTATTCTGATGGCTGTTTAAAGAAATGCACAGAAATGCATCTAGTTCAAGTGAACTGGAATTATATGATTTGGAGAAGGAATTGGTTAAGCTTCCATGTTCTGGGAAGAAAGAGTTTGGCAATGCAAACAATGATGTGAGAAAGGTGACCCTTAGGTCTGCATTAAAAAACAAAACAATAACTAGTCTCAAGTAAGTGGGCAGCTTTAATGAATGTGCTCATTTGCGAGATACCTGCGTATCTAAGTGTACTCTGTAATAATCTTTGTTTGCTTTCCCTTATAACTCAGGTTATAGCAGTGGCATTCTTGCCTTTTGGCGAACAAAGCAATCTTGGTTTGAATGACTAATTCCGAAGCTCCAAGATTTTTAGGAGTCCCCAGGACCTTGCATTCTCTTGATGACTTCTGTCCTTATCTCCTGCAGTCAGTTGTGCCATTGGCCCATTCTCCTGTTTTCAGGGAAGTAAAGCTACTCCCATTTTGTGAGCTAGATCACCTTACTGAAGATTTGAGGGGTCAAGGGGAGAGAAAACACGGTATCCTACAATGTTTTCTGCCACTCTTGTCTCTCTCCCCTCCTCTCCTGTTCATTCCTTGCCATTTTCTTTTTTTCCCCTCCCTTTTAGGAGCAAGTTTTCTTCCCTGCTATTAGGAGGTAGATAGTTCTGCCCTTCTCTGAAGGCTCTGTGTAAGCTGACATGCATTCCCCACTGCAGCTCAATGACCCCAAGACAGTGTCTCGGGACATTGTTCAAGAAATATGGTTTGCATATCTTAAGAGGAATTCTGTAGCATTATCACCAGAAATAAATTTTTCTCTACTTGTTATAAATGTATATACTTGAAAATAGCAAAATTATGTCTCTTCTTTCAAATTCTATCCTTCTGACTTCTCACCAATGTAGTCTATCTGTCTTACTGGTAATTTAATAACAATATTTTATGAAGAAAATAGCTCTATTTTCTAAAAACTACCATGCTATTTTTTTGTTGTTTTCCTGCCATCTAATTCCAGGTTATAAAAGTACTATGCCTCTAAGTCATTTGTTATCTCATGACTCCTCACCCCCCACCCTGTACAGGGAAAGTAGAGAGGATGCTGTTTAATTTTCTTTAAAGATGAACAAAATCAAGGCCCAGGGAGGTGAAATGATCAAAGCTCAACATGCCACATAACTGGCACCAACACCTAAGTTATTTCTAGATGTGCTCCACTGCCTTTCTCATATGCATCTCCCCAAACTCAATTTAGGAGACCACCAGTTTCACCAGCATGCACGCACCATGATAAGTTCTGCAGTTCAATTCTGGGGCTGGAAACCACTACAAAGCAACAGAAGAGTGGAAGACGCAGAGACCAAGAACATGCTATCACACTGGCCTTCCAAAGTCTTTGGTCAAGCCATCTGGGATCAGTTCTCCACCTTGCAGAAGGAATGTGCTTTTAAACTTAACTGGATTACTGTTCATGTTTAATGAGCTTCCCTTTGCCCATGGGTTGCATCCAAACTCCTGACACAGCCCTGAGTGATCTATCCTGCTTCTTTTCCATCCTCACTTGAGTTACCTGCCCCTCCTTCACTCTTTTCTAGCCACCTGGCTTTTTCATAATTTTTCAAACGTTCTACAGTACCTTCTTTCTCAGACTCCTCCCACAAGCTCTTCTTCCTGCCTAAAATGTAATCCCTTCACCTCACCTGCTACCTTCCCACCCAGTTCTATGGTTTCTACCTACTTGTCTCCTCCTTTGGAAAGCCTTTCCCCACTGGCCTGTGTTGAGGAGCTTGTCCTCACTTTTTCCCTATTTATTGATGCTATAGCAGTTATCAAAATGGTAATCATTTGTTTTTCTGATTTTTTATATTTTATGATCTCTCACTCCCGCTAGACCTTTATGACCTTTGAGTGCAGTATTTAGAACAGTCCTTGACACATAGTAAGCTTTCAATAAATAATGTTGAATGAATGTTTGAATGAATAAAAGAGTAAGGCAGCTTGGAAGAGTGTTTTCTTCTGCCTGTTCATTTATTTGCCCATTGGACAAATGCTGCTTAGACCTCACCTCCTTCTGTGTGTATTGAGGGGACCCAGGATTTGATCTGACAGGGGTCCTGTCATCCAACATTTGCAACCAAGTGGGAAGCCAGTTTTGGAGCCCAGTGAGTGAGCACAGACATGGTGTTTGCCAAACCTTCTTATCTGAAACCTTCCAGAATCTCCTTAAGGCTGCTCAACACATTCCATACCCAATACACCACGATGACCTTTAAGCTGCCAGGTCAGCTGTATTAAATGAGCATGGCTTCTTGGTTCTGTTGCAGTCCTCCAGATTTCTAGGCTCCCGTTTTGCAATTTCCTGACAAATTGCAAGGGCTCATGGGATTAGTAGCTACATTTAATCTGGTTGTTTATCATGAATTGAGAAGGCCAGAATGCATATTTTCTGCTAGAAGGGAAAACATTTTAAATTATATGTTAGGGTGCTTTTCCCAATTCTTCCCAACCCTCAGAGTCCACACAAGCCCATCTCCTTTCCCTGAACTAGACTGGCCTTTTAAATTTTCTGTATACATTCTCTCTGCCTGTCATTTTGTGACACAATCACTTATATTTGCATATTATCACCTAAATAATATTCCGTTATTATTTAGTTACTTTAGTACACATGTATTTATGTGTACATGTGTGTGAGCATGTATATGTGTGCATGTGTATTTTGCGTTCCTAGGGAGTTTCTTGGGGACAAGAATGTGCACCTCCTTTATAAACCCCACAATGTTTAGCATGGTCCTAGGAATTCACTAAAAGGTCAAGGATGTAGGTCCTAAATAATATGTCATATGTTGGCTTCTCTGGTAGCAGACATTGAGACAAAGTTTGGCTTGTAGGATTTTTGTTAGAGATCAACAAACATGGAGGGAAAGTTGGAGAAGAAAAAGCTAGGCAGATGCAGATTTGAACTGGGATGTGGCCTGACAAAGCCTCAGCCAACCCCACAGAATTGTTCTTCTGTTGGCCAAAATAACCTGGTTGTTTGGATCTTCGGACCCCTGCCTTGATCAGTCATTGTATATGAGGGTCCCTAAGAAGGGCATGCCCTTGGGTGTCTTTCTGCTGCTGAGGCAAAGCCTGAAGAAACTGTCAGCAGAAGCTGCCCACTGTCAACTGGGGCAAAAAGTCCTTTCATGAAGGGAAATCTGGGTGGCACATCTCCTTGTCCACCATACAGCAGATGATACCATCCAATCAAAACCTATCAGATTGAAGTTTGGTAAATGTTTGTGGGATTGAATCCCATTGACCAGACCTCTGGTTAAGCTGAAAGACCAATCCATGAACCCACACTTGTCCTAGTAAGAAAAAACAGTGATGCTACCTTGGCCTGAGAATATGGGGGAGATAATACATTGAAATTTAGAAGGGTGCTGGACACATAAAAAAATTCTCACACTTCCAAAATCCAGCCAGAACTGTTTCTTGTCACAGATAACTCTGCTTTGTTGACTCTAGAAATTCTCCCTGCCTTATCGTGTACCCAAATAAAAATATTTTCCTAACAATACCTGAAATCTTTACCATTTTGACATACATGATATCATCTGACTCATGTAAAAACATATGAAATAGCAATATTGCTCCCTGTCAAAAGCATTCAATGTAGGCATTTTACAGATTTATTTTTTATGTTTATGGGGTTATATTTCTGGGTTTGTGCTAAGCACTTTTCTTGGATTGTCCCATTTAATCATAAAAACAACATTATAATATAAATTCTTTTATTCCTATTTTACAGAGAGGGAAACTAAAATTCAACAAGGGGGATCAATTTGCCTAAGGTCATAAGCTAGTGAATTGTAGAATCAGAATTTTAATCCAGGCCATCTGATGCTATAGAAATTTTAAAGTTTTCTTTATAACAAAGACAACTTCTTCATTAAAGATACCTGCCTGATTTGTTTTTGGAAGTCCCCTTAGGGTTTCAAGGCCCCAAGGCTTCAAAGAGTAGAAAGCTATTCTGCATAGTAATAGTAGAGTAAGGAATTCAAGTTCCCTAGGAAGGGAATGAGAAAGTCCAGGTAGACCAGACCCTCTGCTGAGGAAGAGTTAGAAAGCACTTCTGGCTCCATCATACCCAGAGCTGCTCAGCTGAAGGTCTTTAGGAGAGCAACAATGAGTAATGAAAGTTAAAAAAAAAATCATGTATGTAATATAAATTTCCTCTTTAATCTTATAAAAGCTTCAGTAAAATTGACATTGCTTATGAAGACACTTGTAGGAGCAGATTTTTTTTTTTTTTTTTTTTTTTTTTTTTTTTTTTTTTTTTTTTGAGACAGGGTCTCGCCCTGTCACTCAGGCTGGAATGCAGTGGAGCAATCATGACTCACTGCAGCCTTGATCTCCTGGGCTGAAGTAATCCTTCTGCCTCATCTTCCTGAGTAGCTGGGACTATAGGCAAGAGCCACCATATCAGGGTAATTGTTTTTATTTTTGTAGAGGCAGGGTCTCACTATGTTTCCCACGCTAATCTCAAACACATGCTCAAGCAATCCTCCCGCCTCAGCATCCCAGAGTGCTAAGATTATAGGTGTAAGCCAATGTGCCTGGCAGGAGTAGATTTTTTAAAGCAACTTAAGGAGGTGTTGAGATTCTCATCCCTGGTTTCTGGAGACCAGGGAGACAGCCTAGTGAGACAAAGGATTCCCAGAATAATAAAACAACTAATAACTGGGTTTCCCTTTCATTTACAGATACCCATCTGAATAGTTGATATTTCTATTTCATAGCTGAAGAAATAGTGACTGTGAGACATCAGTTTGCTGACTGTCATATAGAGAATAATGACAAACCAGGCCTATAGTCTAAACTTTTCTTTATAACCCTAAGCTGTCTTCAGAAAAGATCAGAAGAAATACTGAAACAAACAAATCAAAAAGTACTAATATTTTTATTCTTCCCCTAGGTTCTTAAGTTTAATCTCTTTGACCTGAGCAGAGGAAGCCAAATGAAAAGTGAAAGCCACAAATAAGAATCCTTCTGAGTGACTGTGTGTATAATGGGAGGGAGCTCTGATCTATCCATTGCAAATACTCAGTCTTTCCCCATAAATGACAGTAATCACTGCATAATGAAGTTACAGCTCTTGGAGGTGATACAAGGAGCCAAGGGATTTTCAGCCTCAGAGACCTGAAGAAGCTACACACCATAACCCCTCCAAATGGAGGATCCTATTCCTACCCATGACAGTTTCTGCAAAGCAGTCATGAAATTTAATTCCAGGGAGATTAAGGTGCTGTTTTAGGATGCAAGCACGTAACCCTCCAAAGAGCAGCAGTGTTTATATATAGAAAAAAAACCCTGAAACATGAAAGCTTGCTATCAATTTCACATCCATAACCCAGCCAGAGCACTCTCCTCTAGCCGTCTCATTTTCACTGAAACAGGCATGCATGCCAGTAGGTTTTGTGGTCCCAGATGCCCTCATCGGACCCACAGATGGGAGGGTGGAAGAAGCAGACCAACTCAGGCAAAGGTTCTGAGCTTCAAATGTTTACTTTGTACCAGGCTTTCTCTGTCCCCAGTGCAGGTGACACAACAGAGAAGAAGAGAGATGTGAACCTTGTCCTCACAGAGCTCACAGTTTCATGGGCAAAATGAATTGGAAGATCTGGAAAACAAGACAGAGAACCAAGAGAAGTTCTTAAACTCAGGATATAAGCCTCTCAATTACTTAAACTGAGTTAGAAAGGGGATTTGGGGATAAAAAAATAAGTGAAAATTCAGATATTAAAACATTTCTTTCTAAGCCATTGATTCAGCACATAGGGCAGGGTAAAGGTATTAGTGTCAGAGGCATGTGAACAAGAGCAGTTCCATCTTAAACAGGAGCTGGGTAAAATGAGGCTGAGGCCTACTGGGCTGCATTCCCAGATGGTTAAGGCATTCTAAGTCACAGAATGAGATAGGCGGTCAGCACAAGATACAGGTAGTAAAGATGTTGCTGATGAAACAGATTGCAGTAAAGAAGCCGGCTAAAACCCATCAAAACCAAGACGACCAAAAGAGTGACCTCTGGTCATCCTCACTGCTACATTCCCACCAGTGCCATGGCAGTTTACAAATACCCTGGCAATGTCAGGAAGTTACCTTATATGGTCTAAAAAGGGAAGGCATGAATAATTCACCCCTTGTTTAGCATATCATCAAGAAATAACCATGGGCAGCCAGCAGCCCTTGGGGCTGCTCTGTGTGTGGGGTAGCCATTCATTTATTCCTCTACTTTCCTAATAAATTTGCTTTCACTTTACTCTATGGACTCACCCTGAATTCTTGGTGCGAGATCCAAGAACCCTGTCTTGGGGTCTGGATCAGGACCCCTTTCTTGTAATATCTTTCTGGTGACCACAAAGGGACAATAGTGCAGAAACCCCCAACCTAAAGGCTAACTTTGGGTAAGTGTTGGGGTACTGTAAAATCTGGTGACCACGGAAGCAACTATAGTGAGAAAACCCCTGACCCGAAGGCTAACTTTGGGTAAGTGTTGAGGTCCGATGACGTATTTCTGGTGAACCCTAAAGGGATGATACTGAGCAGATCCCCCGACCCAAAGGAAATAGACTACAGCACTGATTGGATGACTTTGGGTAAGTGGTGGGGTACCCGGGTAAAGGATGGGATTGGGTTAGAGTCCCTTCTAAGATTTAGAAGGTTGGAGACCCCTCCCAATAATGTCCCTTTCCGTTAAGAACCGATTTGGCACTACGGGATGTTAACTGTTATTCTCTTTGGGTTAACTGCCTTTGCTGATGGCTGTGGGTGACAGGGTTCCATATGTACAGGATTGTGGGACGTGGGGAGCTTTTTCCTCCCTAAAAGGAGAAACTTGAGAGATGATGGGATTGCTGGAAAAGATCCCTTCATGACAGACAGGCAGCCGCTGAACTTTTCACTGTAGCTGCAATGGGTGGGTCTTTATCTGGCCTCCCTGAGCGCCTCACTTTCCCCACCCTGCCTCAGGCAATGCTTTCCTTTCTCTCTGCGTGCAAACTGGTTGAATGGTAAAGATCACTGTTTATCTCCTGTTAAGTTTTAATTAATGGGAAAAAGAATTTGTGAGGCTATACTTAAGCTATAGTGAATCTGTTGTAGTCTGTGCTATGAATTTGTCTTTCTGTATTGTTCTGTCATAATGAGGGGTACTTTAGGATACAACGTGGGCTTAGGACAACTTAAAAGCCCACTGTTAAGACAAACCAGCAAACTGGTCAGTCATGTCCTTGGAACATGTAACTTGTAACCATGTGGCTGTGCTTTCTTTTTTCACAATGGAGGCTGAGGTTCAGGGTTCAACTCTGGCTTAGGGGATGATCCTTTATCTTCTGTCTGTCTGTGTATTTACATGTATTATATGTGTGATGTTTATATATGAAAAAGCTTTAATTAATTGGTTTAATAATAATGAAAGCTTAAATCAAATATTTTGTTAGAAAAATAAAAAGTGTAATGCCTTATAGTTCATGTGACCTAAGTAATCTTTGGGAAACAAAAACAGTTTTAAAGATTATTGGTAAAATAAAGACATTTGGTCTAAATTATACAGGTCAGATATTAAGTTCACTAAATGATTTAAGGTCATAAACTGCTTCTATGACTTTTGGAAATTGTTCAATTTACCTACTTCGTTTGTTTGTTTGTTTTTTGAGATGGAGTCTCACTCTGTTGCCCAGGCTGCAGTGCAGTGGTGTGTCTCGGCTCATTGCCACCTCTGCCTTCCAGGTTCAAGCGATTCTCCTGCCTCAGTCTCCTACTGGGTAGCTTGGACTACAGGTGTGTGCCACCAGGCCTGGCTAATTTTTTTGTATTTTTAGTAGAGACAAGTTTTGGCCATGTTAGCCAGGCTGGTCTTGAACTCCTGACCACAGGTGATCCGCCTGCCTCAGCCTCCCAAAGTTCTGGTGTTACAGGCATGTGCCACCACACCCGGCCCAATTTACCTACTTTGGAGCATTAGATTCTAGATACCGCCTGGGGACATGTGGAGTTAGCCACACCCCGTAGCTATGCTGGAGAGTCAGCTTTTATCTGCACTTCTGCCTGATGTGTCCTAGGCTAGGCTCCACACCTAGTACACAATTAAAAACCCAAACTTACCAAGGTTTTCATCAAAAGTAAAAGTCGCTAAGAGTTAACAGTATAACATACAATTGAGACTACAGAAGTTTTACATACAAGGTGTCTAAGGAAAGTAGAATGTACTTTTGGTAAAGATTGTAAGAAGGCATGGGAATATGATTTTTTTTTTTTGGCCTAGATTAAAAGGTTAAAGCATTGTTTTAAGTTAGATAGAATAAAGCTAAAGATTTGAACAAGTTATGGAAGGTTTGTAAAAAATTAATTGTAAAAGAGATTCTGTGTGTGAACATATAGGCTAAAGTAAAAGGGGTATTCTTCAGTTTTTCCATAAATTAAACATTGGAACAAAAGCACAACAGGTTTTTCTTAGAGCACTTATCTGCTCTTTAACAAAAATTGTAAAGGGAATGGCATGCTTTCCTTAAGCAATTAAAACTTGACTTATAAAGCCAATAAAAGCCCTTTGGGGAACTGGCCTCATACCTTGCCTATACAGTCCCTATATAACATTTCTGACTTGTGGTAAGTAAAGAATGTCACTTTCCAACAGGTCCAGGAGCCCCAAGTTATCTTGGGACCTCAAGAGAATGGGAATTTACTCAATTCATAGGTATTTGAGGGTACAAACCCATGGCAGATCTTGGCCTTAAAAAAAGTCTTATCTGAGATTCCTTCTGTGGAACAGAGTTCCATCAAAGCCAATTTACAAAGAGCTTATTTGAAAAATAATTATTCTTGCTGCACTTTATACACATAACCAGGCCAAGTGTAATAAAACAAATCAGTCTTACCATTATTTATCTTTAGTAAAAATGGGAAACTGGAGAGAGAAATGTTATGTTTCAAGAACTATGGTATGCTTGTTATTAAATTCTAGTCTCATTGGTTATTTTTAAGTTTGTTTCTGCAATTTAAGCTAACCCTGCTTATTCCTGTGAACCAACCGGTAATCTCCGACTGTTGCTTAGAAGAAACAAAAGGGATAGGTAATGTAAATATCTGGATGAATATTCTTATTATGGGCACATTACAATCAGCTAGCAATACCATATCAGCTTGGTTCCAGCAGTTGCCCAGTTCATGGAAAGCCTTCTTATTTAGTTTACTTGGGATAATTTTACTTATTTTGCTTTACTCTTGTGGAATATACTGTTGTTGTACTCATTTTATAGGAACACAGAATAAGCTTACTCAATGTTTTCTTAAATTGAACTCTTCCAGCTGTCACCTCTTTTCAGAACTCAAGAGTCATGAATGGCCCCCAGCATACTGTTGCTTTCTGACTGAGCTCCTCTCTACTCTGAACACAAGAGACCCTAATAGCTAGGCAGAAATATTATCGCCCCTATTCCGCCTGAAGAAGTTACAGAAAATGGATCTTCATCCCTTTGCAACCCTTAGGATTAAGGGTTCTCTTTTAAAAGGGAGGGGGAAAATGTCAGAGGTGTGTGAATCAGAGAAACTTCATCTTAAATAGGAGCTGGGTAAAATGAGGCTGAGATCTACTGGGCTGCATTACTAGACAGTTAAGGCATTCTAAGTTACAGAATGAGATAGGAGGTCAGCACAAGATACAAGTCATACAAACCTTGCTGATAAAACATGTTGCAGTAAAGAAGCTGGCTAAAACCCACCAAAACCAAGATGACCACAAGAGTGACCTCTGGTCATCCTCACTACTACACTCCCACTACCAACATGACAGTTTACAAATGCCATGGCAAGTCAGGAAGTTACCTTATATGGTCTAAAAAGGGGAGACATGAATAATCCACTCCTCGTTTAGCATATCATTAAGAAATAACCATAAAAATGGACAACCAGCAGCCCTTGGGGCTGCTCTGTCTATGGAGTAGCAATTCATTTATTCTTCTACTTTCCTAATAAACTTGCCTTCACTTTACGGAGTTGTCATGAATTCTTTCTTGCACGAGATCCAAGAACTCTCTCTTGGGGTCTGGATCAGGACCCCTTTCCCACAACATTACGACAGGGCCAGGATGGGCCGCGTTGCCTCTGCCTGGTTCCTCCTGTAGGCATGAAGACCAGCAGTGGTGTATCGGGTGGCTGAGGGACTTCTGTCATCATGCTACTCTTGAGGACCTCCCACAAAACCTTGTCCCTTTCTTTGATGACTCCTACCTCTTTGAAAACTTCTTCATCAGTAACTCCTACATGTGGCCATTCAATATTTTTATCTCAGTTGATGTGGATGGCAGTGAGAAAACATTTGGTGCCTTTTGCCACTTTGGCTTCAGTGGGCTAATAAGGAGTCCAAGATGACCCTAGAAACACTGTACCTTTAGGAAAAAATGTGGGATCTACCTTTGGTGCATGAGCTGTGGGCATCCTTGGAGGAAACCTGTCATGGCTCTACCAAGGTCATGAAGATCAGAAGGTGGGAGACTCAATTGGGGAATATGAGGACCATCCAATTCCTTCCTATCAACTGAATGATTCTTTATACTCTTCATTCTTTTTTGTTTCTTGCTCACTTAACCCACATTTTTCTCACCCTGTCTCATGTTTTCCTTTGGCACTGTGTAGCTGCAGTGTAAAAATGCCATCGTTGAGACCTAAATTATCTCTGCCTATAATGAAGTCAACCAGACATGCACTGGGCAGTCTCCCTGGGAGTGCCTTCCTTCCACAAGGAGCCTGCCCAGAAGGGTGATATCATTGTCGAACTCAAAGTTTATTCCTAGACAGATTAACACCCCAAGTATTAAGATGCTTAATCAATCATTCTTATTTTCAGCTTTATCACAATCATCTTAGGGCCCACCACACAAACACCCTAAAACATATACTCCCTCGTTCCCATGCAGAAAGCCCACATGACTTTGTGCCTGTTGGAAACTGTTATTATTTTCTACATTTCAGAATGCCACTATTTTAATAATATGTGTCTACCACTGAACTCCTTCTCAGTTTGGCTATTTTGTCATATGGGGTAGGAGAAGAAACCTAACCTAAGCCTGAGATTGATTTTCATATTTCAACCATTGAGTCCACTTTCTAGCCCATGGCTGGAGACAGACCTGAGTGCTACATGAAAATGGGAAGAGATGTCATCTCCAAGCCTGCGGATTTCATGTTTTTATTTCATGTGTGCACACACAATCTTCAGACTCTCAAAATCACTTAATCACTTTTGTTTTTAATGCCAGCCATCCTACATAATCTGGCCTTGCCTTGCATCTGCGACACATAAAATCCAGCCTCCCTTCAAGTTTACCCAAAATAACTGACTTCTACAGAAAAACATGAGTGAGTAATGTAGTCTCTATTAAAGACACAAAGAGTGACAAAGAGGGAGAGAGGTGCTATCAGGGCCCATAGCACGTATTTTAACACACACACCCACTCCCACCCAAGAATGCAGGAATTGTTTGTCTATCAAGTCTCTGTTGAGCAACTTAGTGCCCTGAAGCTTCTCAAATCTGCCATCTCAGTCCATGCAAGTGTCTTATTTTGCTGGTCTCTGTCTTCTAGTTTACCTTCCCCTTAGCATCCTCATCATAATTTCACCCACAATTATACAGAGTAGTTCAAATCTCCCAAGTTGCTAACTCAACCCCATTTCAATTTGGAGAGTGGGTGAAGCATTATCTTTAGCATAATCAAAGATTTTACGAGTTCTTGGCTCTTTTATGGAATGATATGTTTACTTTTTTTTTTCTCTCTTTTATACCTGTAGTTCTTTTCTCTGTGACAGTTTCCTTATTTTTGACTTTTACTTTCTTTTTTTCTTTTTAAATTTTGCCCTAAGTTTCAGGATACATGTGCAGAACATGAAGGTTTTTTACATAGGTATACAAGTGCCATGGTGGTTTGCTGCACCTATTTACCTACCCTCTAAGTTCCCTCCCCTCACCCTCCCACACCCCAAAAGGCTGCGGTGTGTGATGTTCCCCTCCCTGTCCATGTGTTCTCATTGTTCAGCTCCCACTTAGGAGTGATAACATGTGGTATCTGGTTTTCTATTCCTGTGTTATTTTGCTGAGGATTATGGCTTTCAGCTTCATCCATGTCCCTGCAAAGGACATGATCTCATTCCTTTTTATTTGCCTTTTACTTTCTAAGTTTTCACCAAAATTTCTATTAACCTTCAAATAATTCTTAAAATTAATTAATGAGCATCTATCTATCTAGCTGGCTAGCTATGAGATTTATCTTCCTCTATTTGTCAGGCATATAACAGTTGCTACATTGACAGCTTCATTATCAGGATGATAAACTGCTGAAATCAAGCACTGTATCAAGTTCTTGCTTTAAATTCCTCAATTCCGCTCTAATTCTAAGTAATCATCCTCGATCCAGGACACCAAACCTTTCCCATGCAGGTGATAAGTCTTTAACAGAGTTGACAGATTCCTTTCTTTGCATCAGCTGAGTCTCCATAGTCCCCTGTCCTCAAAGGACTTATTCTTCATATCCTCTCCCCATGGGAGAGGTAGGCTTCTCTCCAGGTAGGCTTTCTGTTCAGAAATTTTCCTCTGCACATCCGGGGATCTCCATAAATTGTCATTTATGGCCTAGTTGTGGTTCCTACTGGCCCTAAAAACTCCAGGATTCTCAATGTGAAAAACATGCTTCCAAATGTAAAGAGAGATAAACTGTAGAAAGAGAATTTCTAGGGAATACAAGATGGTATAGAAAATAGCCTAAATACCTTATTATTCAAAATAATCATGCCATAAAGGTAGAAAAAATTAAAGGTTAGTCCAGATATGATAGCTAAATACTAAGTGGGATCTTGTACTGGAGGAAAAACAATGCAATAAAAGACATTATTGTGTAAATAGACAAGAAATGCAGCTGGCAGCTTAGATGCAAGTTCTATACAAATCTTCAATTCAATGAAGCTGATACCTGCACTGTGGGGATAGAAGAGAATATCCTTCTCCTAAGGAAATACTCACTGAAGGGGTAAAAAGTGGTAACATATGCAACTTACTTTTCAATGTTCAGAAAAAAAGGGTAGTCATATATTAATATATGTATAGAGAAAGCAAACGGAATAAAAAGTTCAGGATAAGGAAATCTGGGTAAACAGTGTGCTCTTTGCTATTCATGCAACTTCTCTGTAAGTTTGAAATTCTTTTCTTTCTTTCTTTCTTTTTTTTTTTTTTTGAGATGGAGTCCCACTCTGCTGCCCAGGCCGGATTGCAGTAGTGTGATCTCGGCTCACTGCAACCTCTGCCTCCCAGGTTCAAGCGATTCTCCTGTCTCAGCCTCCTGAGTAGCTGGGATTACAGGCACTTGCCACCATGCCTGGCTAATTTTTGTATTTTTAGTAGAGATGGGGTTTCACCATGTTAGCCAAGCTGGTCTCGAACTCCTGACCTCAGGTGATCTGCCTCCCAAAGTACTGGGATTATAGGCGTGAGCCACCATGCCTGGCCTGAAATTATTTTAAAATAAAAAGTTTTATAAAATGATTCATGACTGTCTCCTAAATTTTACCACCACTTTGAGAGTCTCTGACTTCACTACTTCCATCATACAAGGCTCCCAGAAATGTGGTAAATCAACTGAAAATCCTATTAGGTGCTGTCCCAGCCAAAATCCCTTATCACAACTGCGGTTCCAATATTTCATCCCATATTCATATGGGATAAATGAGATTTTTAATTCATTATTGAATTAATTTTGGTAATTTGTGTATTTTTATGTGTGATATTGTGAAATACATGTTTGGTCTTCAATGCTGTTTCCTGACATAAACCTCTAAAATTCTTAGACTCTTTAAAGTGATGTCATTTTGTATGCTAATGAATTGACTGGTGGATGGCAGCCCCTAGGTAGCTTCAGGATGGTGCTGGTCACAAAAGAAGACATGCTTAGATGGTTCACATTTTTAGCCTTGTCCCGACATTTAGGGAGGGAAGAGGAGCTGAAGGATTAGGCTGATCACCAATGGCCAATGGTTTAATCAATCATGCCTGCATAATGAAG
Organism: Homo sapiens; assembly: GCF_000001405.40. Taxonomy (NCBI): domain Eukaryota; kingdom Metazoa; phylum Chordata; class Mammalia; order Primates; family Hominidae; genus Homo; species Homo sapiens. The sequence continues at coordinate 160,988,202 of NC_000005.10, forward strand.
CTTCCAGAATACCCAAAAGGACAAGGTTAGAAGTGCTTCTGAGATAGTTGAACACGTGGAGGTTCCTGGAGCTTGTCATCCCTGGGGAGGGCATGGAAGCTTAGTGTCCTTTTCCCCATAGCTCACCCTATGCATTGCTTCATCTGTATCCTTTGTAATATCCTTTATAATCAACTGGCAAACATAACTAAGTGCTTCCCTGAGTTCTGTGAGCCACTCTAGTAAATTAATTGAATCCAGAGAGAGGGTCCTGGGAGTCCCAAATTGAAGCCAGCCAGTTAGAAGTTCTGCAGCCCTAGATTTGTGACTGGTGTCTGAAGAGGGGACTGTCCTGTGGGACTGAGCCCTTACTTAGCCTGTGGGATCTTTAGCTGTCTCCAGGTGGATAGTGTCAGAATTGAGTTGGAGGACACCCAACTGGTGTCTATTGCAGAACTTATTGCTCGCTTGTTGATGGGGAGAAATCTCTACACATTTGGTCACAAAATTCCTCTGTGTTGATTGTTGAGGTGTGAAAACAGAGGAAAAACAATTTTTTTTTCCCACTCACACTATGAATTTTTTCTTTTTCATAAAAGTTGTATAATTTACTGATAGGAAATTATAGTATTTCTGAAAATTATTTTAATAAATTTGGTGATACTGCCCACTCTCATTTTTAATTTTAGAAATCTCTATCTTTTACCTTATTTACTATTTGTCAGTCTAAGTAATGAAAGACAATTAGCAAATATTTTGTTAATTTTGTTGATATTTTCAACAAGCCAATATTTTGTTAAATTGATTTTATTTTTTAAAATTTCTATTTTATTGATTTTTGCTCTAATATTTATTACTACCTTCCATATTTTGCTTTGGCTTTAGAGTTTAGGTATTTTTTTTCTAATTTCTTAAGTTTGAAGCTTAGATTCTTGACTTATGATATTTATTCTTTCCCAATATAGGTACTTAAAGCTATACATCTTCCCTCTAAGTGCTGTTTTGATACATTATAAATTTTGATATGTTTTTACTTCCATCCACTTCAAAATATTTGCTAATTTTCTTTGTGATTTTTTTGACTTACAGGTTATTTATTTTAATTGACATGTACTAATTATACATATTTATGAGGTAGAGAGTGATGTTTTAATAAATGTATACAATGTGTAATGATCAAATTAGGGTAATTAGCATATATATCACCTCAAATCTTTATCATTTCTTTGTGCTAGGAAAATTAAAAATCCTCTCTTCCAGCTACTTGAAAACATACAATAAATTATTGCTAACTGTTGTCACTCCACAGTGCCACAGAGCACTAGAGCTGATCCTTCCATCTGCCTGTAATTTTGTACCCAGTAACCAACTTCTCCATAGCCTCCTCCTCCGGCTACTCTTCCCAGGCTTTAGTAAACACAATTCTATTCTCTATATCCATAAGCTCAACTATTTTAGCTCCCACATATGAATGAGAACATGTACTATTTATCTTTCTGTGCTTGTTTCACTTAATATAATATCCTGCAGGCTCATCCACATTGCTATAAATGAGAGGATTTGATTTTATTTTTTATAGTGGAATAGTATTCCATTGTGCATGTGTGTATGTTTGTGTGTATAGATACATATGTGTGTGTGTATAGATACATGTATATACATTTGTTTGTCCATTCATTTGTGGATAGACACTTAGCTTGATTCTATATCTTGGCTATTGTGAATAGTGCTGTGATAAACATAGGAGTGCAGATATTTGTTTGATATACTAATTTCCTTTCCTTTTGATAAATACCCAATAGTGGGATTGCTGAATCATATGAAAGTTCTGTTTTTAGTTTTTTGAGGAGCCGCCATACTTTCTTCCATAATAGCTGTACTAATTTACATTTTCACCAACAGTGTATAAGAGTTCCCTTTTTCACCACATCCTTGCCAGCATTTATTATTATTTTGGTCTCTTTGATAATAGCTATTCTAACTGGTGTGAGATGATATCTCATTGTGGTTTTGATTTTCATTTCTTTGTTGATTAGTGATCCTGATGGTTAATATTGAGTGTCAACTTGATTGGATTGAAGGATACAAAATATTGATTCTGGGTGTGTCTGTGAAGGTGTTGCCAAAGGAGATTAACATTTGAATCAGCGGGCTGGGAAAGGCAGACCCAGTCTTAGTCTGGGTGGGCACAATCTAATCAGCTGCCAGCATGGCTAGGATATAAGCAGGCAGCAAAATGTGAAAAGAGAGACAGGCCTAGCCTCCCAGCTTACACTTTCTCCCGTGCTGGATGCTTCCTGCTCTCAAACATCAGACTCCAAGTTCTTCAGTTTTGGAACTTGGACTGACTCTCCTTGCTCTCCAGCCTGCAGATGACCTATTATGGGACCCTGTGATCATGTGAGTTAATACTTAATAAACTTAATAAACTTAATAAAAAGTAATGTCTATTCCATTACTTCTATCCCTGACTAATACAGATTTTGGCACCAGAAGGGCTTCTAGAGGAGCAGAATATTAAAGATGGAGCTCTTTTGTTGGTTTGGAAGTTTCTGGAGTTGGGTGCTTAATATAATTAGACCCCAAAATGCTAAGGACTCTACTTCTAATAGTATGGAGAACATTGATAGTCCTTGGCATGAAATGTTTAGTGAGTTATGAAAATAAATGCATTTGACACTCCTGATTCACTGCCCATGAGAGGCAAGGAGTTTAGTGACTCTATACATAACACCTTTGACCATATGTGGAGAACCAAGGAACATGATGAAGTTGATTGGTTGCTCCTAAGTGCAGTGGACAAAGTGATGAAAGAAATGATGAATTCAGAGATTCTATCTCCTGGCTTCAGAAGCAGATACTGAGTCTCAAATCTGCTAAGATTGCTCTGAATGAGAGTCTTCTGTAGAGAAAGAGCTGAAATTGTGGAAAAACAGACATAAGCTCTTATCATGTGAGTGGCTGACCTGCAATGAAAGGTGCATGCACAGACTTGCCAGGTGTCTACTGTTAAAGTGAGGGCATTGATTGGAAAAGAATGGGACCCTGAAACTTGGAATGGGGACATAAGGGAGGGCTCTGATGAAGCTGGAAACACTGAGTTTGTAAACGCTGATGAACCTTATTATTATTATTATTATTATTTCCAGAATAAACAGCTTCCCCATCCTCAGCAGTAGCAACATCCTCTCCCTGACTCATGCTGCAATCAGCCTTTCCACTTTTGCCTGAGGAGATAAACCCTGAGCTGCCTGAGGTAACAATGATGGCCTCCCATGAGGCAGTTGCCAGGCAAGATAATGTTGATTCTCCTCAGGACAAGCCACCAACACCCCTGTTTGCTTCTAGACCTATAACTAAAGTCCTGGTGGGCCTCTAAAGGTGAAGTTGAGAGGGTGACCCATAAGGAGGTGTGCTACACTTGAAAAGAACTGCTTGACTTTTCTAATTTATAAAAACAGAAATCTGGAGAACAGGCATGGAAATGAATATTAGGGGTGTGGGATAATGGTTGAAGAAACACAGATTTGGATCAGGCTCAATTTATTGATTTGGGCTTATTAAGTAGGGATTCTGCATTTAATGTTGCAGCTCGGGGAGTTAAAAAATGTTCTAATAGTTTATTTACTTGGTTAGCTGAAATATGGATTAAAAGATGCCCCCCTGTGAGTGAGTTGAAAATGCCTGTTCTCCCTTGGTTTAATGTGGAGGAGACTGGGATGGTGGAGTGAATTAGTCATTTTAGACTTACTCATCCCATCTAGGGGGGTCCAGAAGATATACCCTTGACCAATGCCTTGTGAAATAGATTTGTGAGGGCAGCACCTGAATATTTGAAAAGCCCTGTAATTGCTCTTCTCTCTATGTCAGATCTAACACTGGAAACACAGTCACTCAACTACAACATTTAAATACAGTGGGAATAATTGGATTCTTTGGGGGCAGGGGCCAAGTGGTAGCACTAAACTATCAAAGGCAAAATGGGTATAGCTACCATAATGGAAAGCAGAGGCAGAGAAGCAATCACACTAGTCTGACTCGGGTAGAGCCTTGGCATTGCCTAATTAATCATGATGTTCTTAGAAGTGAAATTGATAGGAAGCCTACTGCATTCCTACTTATAGTACACAAATAATACTTCTATGTTGAATGGACAAAAGACTAATTTGAATTTTAAAAACAAAGAATCACGGCCCCTCAATTGATTCCGGATTTGAGCCAGTTTACTGGCCCAGAACCCCTTGAATAAAGGGGAGGCCAGGTCCCCTTGAGGAAGGACTCCACTACATTGCCGACAATTGTAGTGAATCTTTCTCCCATCCTTCCCCAAGGAGACCTCCAGCGTTTTAGCAGGAGGGAAAGGGAAATGATCAGACATTTTGGGGACTACTGGACACTGAGCTGATGTTTATTCCAGGGGACCCAAAAACGTCATTGTGGTCCTCCAGTTAATGTAGGGGCTTATGGAAGTCAGATAATTATTGGAGTTTTAGCTCAGGTCCGACTTACAGTGGGTCCAGTAGGTCCCTGGATTCATCCTGTGGTCATTTCCCCGTGCCAGAATGCATATTGGCATAGACATACTTAACAGCTGGCAGAATACTCACATTGGCTCCCTGACTGGTAGGGTGAGGGCTACTATGGTGGGAAGGGCCAAATGGAAGCTATTACGGCTGCCTCTACCTAGAAAAATAGTAAATCCAAAACAGTGTCACATTCCTGGGGGGACTGTGGAGACTAATGCCACCATTGAGGACTTGAAAGATGCAGGGGTGGTGATTCCCACCACATTCCTGTTCAATTCTCCCATTGGGCCTGTGCAGAAGACAGATGGATCTTGGAGAATGATGGTGGATTATTGTAAGCTTAACCAAGTGGTGACTCCAATTGCAGCTCCTGTACCAGATGTACCAATTTGTTTGAACAAATTAACACATCTTCTGGTACCTAGTATGCAGCCACTGACTTGACAAATGCCCTTTTCTCCATTCCTGTTCCTAAGACCCACCAGAAACAATTTGCCTTCAGCTGGCAAGGCCAGCAATATACCTTTACTGTCTTACCTCAAGGGTATATCAACTCTGGCTTTGTGTCATAATCTTATTTGGAGAGAACTTGATCACTTTTTGCTTCCATGAGATATCACACCAGTGCATTACATTGATGACACTATACTGATTGGATTCAGTGAGCAAGAAGTAGCAAACACACCGGACTTATTGGTGAGACATTTGCATACCAGAGGATGAGAAATAAATCTGACTAAAACTCAGAGACCTTCTATCTCAGTAAAATTTCTACGGGTCAAGTGGCATGGGGCCTGTCGAGATATTCCTTCTAAGGTGAAGGATAAGTTGCTGCAATTGTTCCCTCCTACAACCAAGAAAGAGGCACGACACCCAATGGGCCTATTTGGATTTTGGAGGCAACACATTCCTCATTTGGGTGTGTTACTCTGGCCCATTTATCGAGTGACCCAAAAGGCTGCCAGTTTTGGGTGGGGTCCAGAACAGGAGAAGGCTCTGCAACAGGTCCAGACTGCTGTGCAAGCTGCTCTGCCACTTGGGCCATATGACCCAACAGATCCAATGGTGCTTGAGGTGTCAGCGGCAGATAGGGATGCTGTTTGGAGTCTTTGGCAGACTCCCATAGGTGAATCACAGCAGAGGCCTCTAGGATTTTGAAGCAATGCCCTGCCATCTTCTGTAGATAACTACTCTCTTTTTGAGAGACAGCTCTTGGCCTGTTATTGGGCTTTGGTGGACACTGAATGTTTGACTATGAGTTATCAAGTCACCATGTGACCTGAATTGCCTGTCATGAACTGGGTGCTTTCTGACCCATCCAGCCATAAAGTGGGTCATGCACAGCAGCATTCCATCAAATGAAAGTGGTATATACGTGATCAGGCTCAAGCAGGTCCTGAAGGCACAAGTAAGTTACATAAGAAAGTGGCTCAAATGCCCATAGTCTCCATTTCTGCCACCCTGCCTTCTCTCCTCCTGCCTGCACTGATGGCCTCATGGCAAGTTCCTTATGATCATTTGACAGAGGAAGAGAGGACTTGGGCCTGGTTCACAGATGGTACTGCGCAATATGCAAGCACCACCCCAAAGTGGACAGCTGCAGCACTATAACCCCTTTCAAGGACATCCCTGAAGGACAGCAGTGAAGGGAAAGCTTCCCAGTGGGCGGAACTTTGAGCAGTGCATCTGGTTGTGCACTTTGCATAGAAGGAGAAATGGCCAGATATGCAATTATATACTGGTTCATGGCCTGTAGCCAATGGTTTGGCTGGATGGTCAGAGACTTGGAAGAAGCATGATTGGAAAATTGGTGACAAAGAAATTTGGGGAAGAAGTATGTGGATGGACATATCTGAGTGATCAAAAACTGTAAAGATATTTGTATCCCATGTGAGTGCTCACCAACAGGTGACCTCAGCAGAGGAGGATTTAAATAATCAAGTGGATTGGATGACCCATTCTGTGGACACCACTCAGCCTCTTTGCCCAGCCACCCCTGTAATCACCCAATGGGCCCATGAACAAAGTGGCCATGGTGGCAGGGATGGAGGTTACTCATGGGCTCAGCAACATGGACTTCCACTCACCAAGGCTGACCTGGCTATGGCCACTGCTGAGTGCCCAATTTGCCAGCAGCAGAGACCAACACTGAGCCCTTGATCTGGCACCATTCCTCGGGATGATCAGCCAGCTACCTGGTGGCAGGTTCACTATATTGGACCTCTTCCATCATGGAAAGGGCAGAGGTTTGTCCTCACTGGAATAGACACTTACTCAGGATATAGGTTTGTCTATCCTGCATGCAATGCTTCTGCTAAGACTACTATCAGTGGACTTATGGAATGCCTTATCCACCATCATGGTATTCCACACAGCATGGCCCCTGACCAAAGAACTCACTTTACAGCTAAAGAAGTGCAGCAGTGGGCTCATACTCATGGAATTCACTGGTCTTACCATGTTTCCCATCATCCTGAAGCAGCTGGATTATAGAATGGCGGAATGGCCTTTTGTAGTCACAACTACAATACCAACTAAGTGACAATCCTTTGCAGGGCTAGGGCAAAGTTCTCCACAAGGCCATGTACACTCTGAAAGTTCTCCACAAGGCCATGTACACTCTGAATCAGCTTCCAATATATGGTACTATTTCTCCTGTAGCCAGGATTCCCAGGTCCAGGAATCAAGGGTTGGAAGTGAAAGTGGCACCACTCACAATCACCCCTAATGATCCACTGGCAACATTTTTGCTTCCTGTTTCCAAGACATTATGTTCTGCTGGCCTAGAGGTCTTTTTTTTTTTTTTTTTTTTTTTTTTGAGACAGAGTCTCGCTCTGTCGCCCAGGCTGGAGTGCAGTGGCGGGATCTCGGCTCACTGCAAGCTCCGCCTCCCGGGTTCACGCCATTCTCCTGCCTCAGCCTCCCAAGTAGCTGGGACTACAGGCGCCCGCCACTACGCCCAGCTAATTTTTTGTATTTTTAGTAGAGACGGGGTTTCACCGTTTTAGCCGGGATGGTCTCGATCTCCTGACCTCGTGATCCGCCCGCCTGGCCTAGAGATCTTAATTCCAGAGGGAGGAACACTGCCTCCAGAAGACACAACAACAATTCCATTAAACTGGAAGTTAAGATTGCCACCTGGACACTTTGGGCTCTTCCTTCCTTTAAATCAACAGGCAAGAAAGGAGTTACAGTGTTGGCTGGGGTGATTGACCCAGACTGTCAAGATGAAATCAGTCTATTACTCCACGACAGAGGTAAGAAAGAGTATGCATGGAATAAAGGAGATCCATTAGGCTGTCTCTTAGTATTACCATGCTTTGTGATTAAGGTCAATGGGAAACTACAATAGCCCAATCCAGGCAGGACTACAAATGACTCAGACCCTTCAGGAATGAAGGTTTGTGTTACTCCACCAAGGAAAATCTATGACCTGCTGAGGTGCTTGCTGAAGGTAAAAGGAATACAGAATGGGTAGTAGAAGAAGGTAGTCATTAATACCAGCTATGACCATGTGACCAGCTGCAGAAATGAGGATTGAAATTGTCATGAGTATTTCCTCCTCTTTTGTTAAAAACATATTTGTGCATGTATACACTTGGACTAATAAAAGATCTTCATTTAATTTCCTTTCTGCTTTACCATGTGACATAAGATTTATTGACTTCATATCAGCATTTAAATATTGTTAAATTTTTTTATTATTATTCTTTAAGTTCTGGGATACATGAGCAGAACGTAACAGTTTGTTACACAGGTATATATGTGCCATGGTGGTTTGCTGCACCCATCAACCTGTCATCAACATTAGGTATTTTTCCTAATGCTATCCCTCCCCTAGTCCCCACCCCGCGACAGGCCCCAGTGCATGATGTTCCCCTCCCTGTGCCCATATGTTCTCATTGTTCAACTCCCACTTATGATTGAGAACATGTGGTGTTTGGTTTTCTGTTCCTGTGTTAGTTTGCTGAAAATTATGGTTTCCAGCTTCATCCATGTCCCTGAAAAAGACAAAAACTCATTCTTTTTTACAGTTGCAAGTATTCCATGGTGTGTATGTGCCTCGTTTTCTTTACCCATGCTATCATTGATGGGCATTTGGGTTGATTCCAAGTCTTTGCTATTGTGAATAGTGCTGTAATAAACATACGTGTGCATGTGTTTTTAGAGAAGAATGATTTATAATCCTTTGGGTATATACCCAGTCATGGGATTTCTGGGTCAAATTGTATTTCTAGTTCTAGATCCTTGAGGAATCGCCACACTGTCTTCCACAATGGTTGAACTAATTTACACTCCCACCAACAGTGGAAAAGCATTCCTATTTTTCCACATCCTCTCCAGTGTCTGTTGTTTCCTGACTTTTTAATGATCACCATTCTAACTGGCGTGAGATGGTATCTCATTGTGGTTTTGGTTTGCATTTCTCTAATGACCAGTGATGATGAGCTTTTTTTCCTATGTTTGTTGGCTGCATACCTGTCTTCTTCTGAGAAGTGTCTGTTTATATCTTTCACCCACTTTTTGATGGGGTTGTTTGTTTTTTTTCTTGTAAATGTGTTGAAGTTTCTTGTAGATTCTGGATATTAGCCCTTTGTCCAACGGGTAGATTGCAAAAATTTTCTCCCATTCTGTAGACTTCCTGTTTACTCTGATAGTTTCTTTTTGCTGTGCAGAAGCTCTTTAGTTTAATTAGATCCCATTTGTCATTTATGGCTTTTGTTGTCCTTGCTTTTGGTGTTTTAGTAATGAAGTCTTCGCCCATACCTTTGTCCTGAATGGTAATGCCTCGGTTTTCTTCTAGGGTTTTTATGGTTTTAGGCCTTAGGTTTAAGCCTTTAATCCATCTTGAGTTAATTTTTGTATAAGCTGTAAGGAAGGGGTTCAGTTTCAGTTCTCTGCATATGGCTAGCCAGTTTTCCCAACACCACTTCTTTAAAACTTTAAATTTCATATGGAACCAAGAACGAGTCTGTATAGCCAAGACAATCTTAATCAAAAAGAACAAACCTGGAGGCATCATGCTACCTGACTTCAAACTATACTACAAGGCTACAGTAACAAAAACAGCATGGTTCTGGTACCAAAACAGATATATAGACCAATGGAACAGAACGGAGGCCTTTGAAATAACACCACACATCTACAACCATCTGATCTTTGACAAACCTGACATAAACAAGCTATGGGGAAAGGATTCCCTATTTAATAAAAGGTGTTGCTGCCTTTCTTTCAGAGATGCCCTGCCCAGAGAGGAGGAATCTAGAGAGGCAGTCTGACTACAGTGGCTTTGTGGCACTGCAGTGGGCCCCGCCCAGTCCAAACTTCCAGGAGGCTTTGTTTATACTTTGAGGGGAAAAACCGCCTACTCAAGTCTCATTTATGGTGGACACCTCTCCCCGCACCAAGCTCGAGCATCCCAGGTCAACTTCAGACTACTGTGCTGGCAGCCAGAATTTCAAGCCAGTGGATCTTAGCTTGCTGGGCTCCGTGGGGTTGGGATCCGCTAAGCAAGACCACTTGGCTCACTGCCTTCAGCTTCGGGGGTTCTGTCTCACTGGCTTTCCAGGTGCCACTGGGGTATGGAAAAAAAAATAATCCTGCAGCTACCTCAGTTTCTGCCCAAAGGGCCACCCAGTTTTGTGCTTGAAACCCAGGGCCCTTCTTGTGTAGGCACCTGAGGGAATCTTTTGGTCAGTGGGTTGTGAAGACTGTGGGAATAGCATAGTATCTGGGCTGAATAGCACCCCTCTCTCATGGCAGGGTCCCTCATGGCTTCCCTTGGCAAAGGGAGGGAGTTCCCCAACCCCTTGTGCTTCCCAGGTGAGGTGATGCCTCACCCTGCTTCTTCTTGCCCTCCATGGGCTGCACTCACTGTCTAACTGGTCCCAGTGAGATGAACTGGGTACCTCAGTTGGAAATGCAGAAATCACTTGCCTTCTGTGTTGATCTCTCTAGGAGCTGCAGGCCAGAGCTGTTCCTATTTGGCCATCTTGCCTGGGAATAAGTATTGTTAATTTTATGTAGTAGTATTTGGGTTGGGGATTGGTGCATTTCTGGTTGTACCAAGGATAGTTGTATTATGTTAGGCATAATTATGACCTATTATTGTCTTTATTTGAACATTATATATGATCTCAGGAGGTGTGTATGGGTTCAAGTTGACAAAGGGTGGATTTGTGATGGTTAATACTGAGTGACAACTTGATTGGATTGAAGGATACAAAGTACTGATCCTGGGTGTGTCTGTGAGGGTGTCGCCAAAGGAGGTTAACCTTTGAGTCAGTGGGCTGGGGAAGGCAGACCCACCCTTAGTCTGGGTGGGTGCAATCTAATCAGCTGCCAGCATGGCTAGAATGTAAGCAGGCAGAAAAATGTGAAAAGAGAGACTGGCTTAGCTCCCCAGCCTACATCTTTCTCCTGTGCTGGATGCTTCCTGCCCATGAACATCGGACTCCAAGTTCTTCAGTTTTGGAACTTGGACTGCCCTATTGGGGAACCTTGTGATTGTGTGAGTTAATACTTAATAAACTCATATATATATATATATATTATATTCCTCTAAGAACTGAGACAAGACAAGGTTGCCAACTTTTACCACTCTTATTCAACATAATACTGAAAGTATTAGCCAGAGCAATTAGAGAGGAGAAAGATATAAAAGGTATCCAAATTTGAAAAGAGGAAGTCAAATTGCTCTGGTTTGCAGATGACATGATCTTGTATACAGACAAATTTAAAAACTTCACCAAAGAACTCTTGGAACTGATAAATGAATTCAGTAAATTTGCAGAATGCAAAATTAACATACAAAAATTGGTAGTGTTTTTATACACCAATAATGAACTGAAAAAGACATTGAGAAAGCAATCCTATTTACAATACCTACAAAAAAAATGCTAGGAATAAATTTAACCAAGGAGGTAATATATATATAGGTTTAGTTTATATATATAATATATATATAGGTTTAGTATATATATTATATATAAACCTGTAATATATATATAGGTTTAGTGTATATATATAATGTATAAACCTATAATATATATATAGGTTTAACCAAGGAGGTAATATATATATAGGTTTAGTTTGCTAATGTTTTGTTGAGCATGTTTGGCATATATGTTCATTAGAGATATTGGCCTGTAGTTTTGTTTTTAGTGTATGTGTGTCTTTGTCTGGTTTCAGTGTCAGGATAATGCTGGCCTCATAGAACGAGTTTGAAAGCATTTCTTTGTTTTCAATATGTTGAAATAGTTTGAGGAGAATTGGTGTCAGTTTATATATATATATATATATATATATATATATATATATATATATATATATAAAGGGCAGTTTATTAAGTATATATATGTATATATTCCATTAGTTCTGTCCTCCTAGAGAACCCTTACTAATACAGTGATGATGAGTATTTTTTTTTATACTTGGGAGTTTGAATGTCTTCTTTTGAGGAATGTCTATTCAGAATATTTGCTCTATTATTTCTTTGTTGTTGTTGTTGTTGAGTTGTCTGAGTTCCTTGTATATTCTGGATATAAATTCTATGCTTAATGAATAGTTTACAAATATTTTTCCCTTTATTCAGGGTCTCTGAACTCTATTGATTATTTCCTTTGCTGTACAGAAGATTTTTAGTTTGATATAATCCCATTTGCCTAGTTTTGCTTTTGTTGTTTGTGCTTTTAATGTTCTATCCATAAAATCTTTCCCCAGACCAATGTCCCCAAAAAATTTCCCAATGTTTTCTTCTGGTAATTTTATGGTTTTGTGTCTTACGTTTAAGTCTTTAATATATTTTTAGTTGATTTTTGTATGTTGTGAGAGATAGGAGTCTAGTTTTATTCTGCACATGGATATCCAGTTTTCCCAGCACCATTTATTGAATAGGGTGTCCTTTCCCTATTGTTAATTTTTGTTGACTTTGTTGAAAATCAGATGGCTGTAGGTGTGCAGTTTTATTTCTGGATTCTCTATTCTGTCTCATTGATCTATGTGTTTGTTTTTATGCCAATACCTGCTTTTTTGGTTACTATAGTTTTGTATATTTTGTAGTTGGGTAGCTTGATGCCTCTAGCTTTGTTCTTTTTGCTCAGGATTACTTTGGCTCTCTGGGGTATTTTTTTGTGGCTCCATATGAACTTTAGGATTTCATAATAAAATTTCTGTGAAAAATAGTATTTTGACAGAGATTGCATTGAATTTGTAGATTGCTTTGGGTAATATGCTTATTTTGACAATATTAATACTTTCAGTACTTAAACATAGTTGTTCTTCCAATTTTGTGTGCACTTATCAATTTCTATCATCAATGTTTTGTAGTTTTTATTGTAGACATTGTTTACCTCCTTGGTTAAATTTATTCCTAGCATTTTTTTTGTAGGTATTGTAAATAGGATTGCTTTCTCAATGTCTTTTTCAGTTCATTATTGGTGTATAAAAACACTACCAATTTTTGTATGTTAATTTTGCATTCTGCAAATTTACTGAATTCATTTATCAGTTCTAAGAGTTCTTCGGTGAAGTTTTTAAATTTGTCTGTATACAAGATCATGTCATCTGCAAACCAGGGCAATTTGACTTCCTCTTTTCAAATTTGGATACCTTTTATATCTTTCTCCTCTCTAATTGCTCTGGCTAATACTTTCAGTATTATGTTGAATAAGAGTGGTAAAAGTTGGCAACCTTGTCTTGTCTCAGTTCTTAGAGGAACAGCTTTTAACTTTCTTCTGTTCAATATGATGTCAGTTGCAAATTTGTTGGAAATGGACATTACTGTGTTGAAGTACCTTCCTTACACATCTAATTTGTCAAAAGTTTTTTTTTTAATCATAACAGTATTTCTTTTTTTTTTCAAATGCTTTGTATCTTTTGAGATGATTGTGCAGTTTTTGTCCTTCATTCTCCTAATGTGATGTATTTCGTTTATTGATTTGCATTTGTTAAGTCATCCTTGAACCCCTGGAATAAATCTCTCTGGATGATAGTGTATAATCTTTTTCATGGCTATTGGTTTAGTTTGCTAATGTTTTGTTGAGCATGTTTTGCATATATGTTCATTAGAGATACTGGCCTGCAGTTTTGTTTTTAGTGTATGTGTGTCTTTGTCTGGTTTCAGTGTCAGGGCAATGCTGGCCTCATAGAATGAGTTTGAAAGCATTTCTTTGTTTTCAATATGTTGAAATAGTTTGAGGAGAATTGGTGTCAGTTCTTCTTTAAAAGTTTGGTGTGAAGTTTTCTAACTTTAAAAGTTATTAGTGAAGCTGTCTGGTCCTGGAATTTTCTTTGTTAGGAGACCTGTTACTACTGATTCAATTGCATTTCTCATTACTGAACTATTCAGATTTTCTATTTCTTCTTTGTTTAATCTTAGTGGGTCATATGTGGCCTGGAATTTATCCATTTCCTCTAGTTTTTCCTACTTGTTGATGTTTAGTTGTTCATAGTAATCTCTAATGATCCTTTGTGTTTCTGTGGTATCAATTGTAATATCTTTTTATTTCTGATTTTATTTGAGTATTTTCTCTTTTTAAAATAAACATCTAGCTAATTTTCCATTTCACTTACCTTGTTAAAAACCAACTTGTATTCTGTTGATCTTTTCTTTTCTTTAGTCTCTCTTTTGATAATTTTATGCTGATACTAATTAAGTTTCCACCTACTACTTTTGGGTTTGGTTTGTTCTTGGTTTTCTATTTCCTTAAGATGAAACGTTAGATTGTTTATTGAAATCTTCCTGCTTTTTGATGCAGGCATTTATTGCTATTAACTTCCCTCTTAGTATTGCTTTTGTTGTATCCCATAAGTTTCGATATGTTGTGTTTTTATTTTCATTTGTTTCCATTTTTAAAAATTTTTCTTAATTTCTTCATTGATCTATTGTTTGTTTAGAAGTCTGTTGTTTAGTTTTCATGTATTTGTAGTTTCCAAAACTCCTCTTGTTATTGCTTTCTAGTTTTATTCCACTGTGGTCAGAAAAGATACTTGATATGAATTTGATTTTTAAAAATTTGTTGAGACTTGTTTTGTGGTCTAACATGTGGTCTACCCTGGAGAATACTCCATGTGCTAAAAAGAGAAATGTGTATTCTGCAACTGTTGGATGAACTGGTTTGTAAATATCTTTTAGGTTCATTTGGCCCATGGAGCAGTTTAAGATCGATATTTCTTTGTTGACTTTCTCTCTAGGTGATCTGTCCATTGCTAGGAGTGCAATGTTGAAATCTCCATCTATTATTATGTTGGGGTCTATCTTTGCCTTTAGCTCTAATGGTATCTGTTTTATATATCTGTGTGCTCAAGTGTTGGGTGCATACATATTTAAAATTGTTGTTTCCTCTGATGAATTGATCCCTTTATCATTGAGTTTTTTGCAGGCAGCATATAGCTGAGTCTTATTTATTTCCCAACCATGTGTCAGTCCATATCTTTTACTTGGAGAATTTAAACCATTTAAATTCAAAGTTATTATAGATAGGTGTCAATTGCTCCTGTCAATTTTTTTGTTTTCGGGTTGTTTCATATATCTTTATTTCTTTCTTCCTCTATTATTCTATATCCTTGTATTTGGGTGTTTTTCTGTAGTGATAAGGTTTGGTTTATTTCTCTTATTTGTGTATCTGATCTACCGAGGACTTTTATTCTCTCATGTATTTTTATGATGGTAGTCATCATCCCTTTGCTTCAGATGTAGGATTTCCTTAAGCATTTTTTTTTTTTTTTTGGTAGAACTAGTCAAGTGGTGATAAATTCCTAGTTTTTAGTTATCTGGGATAACCTTTATTTCTCCATTATTTATTTTCCATTTCTTAAGGATAGCTTTCCTGAGTATATTAATGTCGGCTAAGAGTTTTTTTGTTTTTGTTTTTGTTTTTTTTTACTTTTTCTTTCATCACTTTGAATATATCATCTTATTCTTTCCTGGCCTGTAAAGTTTCTACTGAGAAATCTGCTTAGTCTGATGGGATTTCTTTGTATGTGACATGATACTTTTCTCTTGCTGTTTTCAGAATTCTTTTATTGTCTTTGACTTTTGACTGTTTGACTATATGTGCCTTAAAGAGGACCTTTCTG
Source organism: Homo sapiens (assembly GCF_000001405.40). Lineage (NCBI taxonomy): Eukaryota > Metazoa > Chordata > Mammalia > Primates > Hominidae > Homo > Homo sapiens. Next base: position 161,003,786 of record NC_000005.10, read on the forward strand.
TGTTGAATTTACTTGGAGGTCTTTGAGTTTCCTGGGTCCAGATGTCTATATCTTTCTCAAAGCCTGGGAAGTTTTTCACTATAATTTTATTAAATAGGTTTTTAAAAAATGTATTTTCTCATCTGTTCACCCTCTGAAACTTCCACAATGTAAAATGTGTTTGCTTAATGTTGTCCCATAAGTCTCATAGGCTTTCTTCATTTATTAAAATAAATTTATTTCTTTTTTGTCTGACTGGGTTATTTCAAAACACCTTTTTCAAGTTCAGAAATTCTTTCTTCTGCATGCTCTACTCTATTATTGAAGCTCTTGATTTCATTTTTTATTTTATTCATTAAATTATTTAGTTTAAATATTTCCATTTGGTTATTTTTTATAATATCCCTTTGCTGAATATATCACTCAGATGATGATTTTTTTTTCTGATTTTGTTGAATTGTTTCTTTGTATTGTATTATATCCTACAGAGTTTCCTTAAGATCATTATTTCAGATTTATTTTCTGACATTTCATAGATTTCTTTTTTTTTTTTTTTTTTTTTTTTTTTTTTTTTTTTTTTTTTGAGACGGAGTCTCGCTCTGTCGCCCAGGCTGGAGTGCAGTGGCGGGATCTCGGCTCACTGCAAGCTCCGCCTCCCGGGTTCACGCCATTCTCCTGCCTCAGCCTCCCAAGTAGCTGGGACTACAGGCGCCCGCCACTACGCCCGGCTAATTTTTTTGTATTTTTAGTAGAGACGGGGTTTCACCGTTTTAGCCGGGATGGTCTCGATCTCTTGACCTCGTGATCCGCCCTCCTCGGCCTCCCAAAGTGCTGGGATTACAGGCGTGAGCCACCGCGCCCGGCCAGATTTCTTTTTTATTGGGATCTGTTACTGGAGAATTATTCTGTTCCTTTGAAAGTGCCATGTTTTCTTTTTCTTTTTTTTCTTCTTTTGTTTCTACATTGATATCTATGTACTTAGTGGACCAACAGCTTCTAATTTTATGAAGTAGCTTTCATAGGAAAAGACTTTTTCCTGTATATGTGTCCATAGTATGTTTGGTAGGATGTTTTGACTTGGTTCTGGGTGGGTGCAGTAGTATACTCTTTATGTGATTTTTTTTTATGGCTGTATTCAATGTTCACGGTGTCTATAAGTGTCTCAGTGGCCTCTGCTGCAGGTGTTTGTGGAGGGTATGGTGTGGCTTTGCTGGGGTCAAGGACCACCAGGCTGACCAATCTTTGAACTTCTATGGTAGCTTCACAGATGTACGGTGGTTGTTCCACAGAATGAATAGGGTTACCAGCGATGGAAGGCCCTGGGTGGGCTAGTCATCAGGCCTACAAAGGTGCACAGTTGCTCTGCTACTGAACAGTCAGGGTTGCTGGTACAGGCAGGTCCCAAGCTGTCAGCTGTCAGCTCTCTGGAGTGTACTCATTGGCTAGCTTTGTCTTGGAGGTTGCCTCCCTGCTGTGCTTTGCTACCTGTTCCCCAGGGTGTCAGATGCTACATTGGCTTGGGTGCCAGTTTAATAGCTGCACTGTTGGGTCCAGCTAGGGTCATGCCTGTAGCCCTATGTGTGGGTATGGTGGGATGAGAGTGAGGCCCCAGGGATGTGGAGATGCAGGGGCTATTGAGCTTCAGGGAAGGATGCACTATGGCAATGGTTCCATCCTCAAAATGGTGCCATACTTCAGCAGCCTGGGTACTGGGTATTTAGGGGAGGACCCAGCATGAGTGCCTTCTCTTGAATAATACAGTCATGTGGATTACAGACAGTTCCCTACAATGGGCTTAGGGCCTGTGAGGACTGTGGGGCTCTCTTGCAGCTAGGATTGCAGGCATCTGTGATGGGAATGTGAACTGCTGGGTATCTCCTTTTCCCTTTTCTTGCACTGGGAGTCCCTCTTGGCTCTGAGCAGATCTCAGTCAGTGATATAATTTGGATTTTTTGTCCCCACCCAAATCTCATGTTGAATTGTAATCCTCAATGCTGAAACTGGGCCTGGTAAGAGGTGTTTGGATCATGGAGGAGGATCCCTCGTGGCTTGGTGCTGTCTTTGCAATAGTGAGTGAGGTTTCATGAGATCTGGTTATTTAAAAGTATATGGCACCTTGCCCCCTACACTCTCTCTTCTTTCTTGCTTTTTCTTTCTCCATGAGATGTTCCTGCTCCCAGTTTGCCTTCTGCCATGACTGTAAGTTTCCTGATGTCTCCTCAGAAGCAGATGCCACTATGCTTTCTGTACGGCCTGCAGAATTATGAGCTAATTAAGCCTGTTTTCTTATAAATTACCCAGCCTCAGGTATTACTTTATAGCAATGCAAGAATGGACTAATACAGTTGGGGACTTTTCTTCTTTTCCTATGCTACCATCCCAGGCTTCTTTGTCTCTGAGGGTCTTCACTAGTTTCTTGTTGAATTCTGCTGTTCTCCCCTAGACACGCTATTTGATGTCCAGTTGTCTACTTGTTTTTTGGTTCTTCCTTGTGGAGGAGGAGAATATTGAGCATGTCCAGTCAGCCATCAAGATGATGCCTCCCTCACCTACAGGTTTAAAGCGTAGTTTTGAATGTTATAAAATTATTTATTGATTTTGTTTTCCAGCATATAGAATATATATTATCCCATTTTTATTGCTTCTACTGTTAGGATATAAAGTGTTTAGGAGTTTATTTATTTTTTATTTTTTTATTTTTTGAGGCTGAGTCTTCCTCTGTCACCCAGGCTGGAGTGCGGTGGTGCAATCTCAGCTCACTGCAACTTCTGCCTCCCAGGTTCAAGCAATTTTCCTGCCTTGCCCTCCCAAGTAGCTGGACCTACAGATGTGCACCACCACACCCAGCCAAGAGACAGGGTTTCATCGTGTTGACCCAGCTGATCTCAAGCTCCTGACCTCAAGTGATCCACCTGCTTCAGCCTTCCCAAGTGCTGGGATTACAGGCATGAGCCACCACACCCAGCCTAATATTTTTGTCTTTATTATATTTGAATTTTATTGTGCTTTTTGGATCTATAGGTTAATCTTTTATACATTTTGCAAGTTTGCAGCCAGTATTTCTTTAGATATTTTTTTCTGTCCCTTTCTTTCTCTCTTCTCTTTTTCTGGAATTTTCAACATGCACAAGTTGTTACTCTTGATATTGCCCCACAGGTCTCTGAGGCACTGTTAATTTTCTTCATTTTTAATATGTTTTCCAGATTGTATTGTTTCTATTTATTTATTCGTGTTTGCTGTTTCTTTTTTCTTCCAGTTTAAACTTTTTATTGAATCCCTCTAATATATTTCTTATTTCAGTTATTTTACTTGCATCTCCAGAACTTCCATTTTGTTCTTTTTTATATTTTCTATTCCTTTACTGATATTCTCTATTTGGTTATTCATTGTTGTCATATCTCATTGTTGTCATATTTTTCTTTAATTCTTTAAACATGGTTTCCTTTACTCCTTCCAATATAGTTATTATAATAGTTACATTGAAGCCTTTGTCTGCTGAAGTCAACATCTGGATCCCCTCATAGATCATTTCTACTGATAGCTTTTTTTCTGTGTGTTGGCCATATTTTCAAATTTTGTTCTATTTTTCATGTTACTGTCAATAAATGGACATTTTAGATAACATAATACTCTGAAATCTGATTTTTCATTCCCAGGGGATGTTTTTGTTATTGCTTTAGTTTGTTTAGTGACTTGACTGGACTATTTCTGTCGAACATTTCTGCCTTGTGTCTTGTAAACACTGATGTCTTCATTCAGGTTTTTTTTTCTTATTTCTTTTTTCAAATTTTAAGTTTGTCTTTTTGTTTGTTTGCTTGTTTTACTCCTGCGTCAGCACAGCTTAATGATGAGACAAAGGTTGGTCAAAAGTTGTGTTTAAACACCTGGAAAGTTTTATTTTTTGCTTATGGCTCTGTGTGTAAATTGCAGAATGCCTTCAAAGTTGAGGCAGTTATCAAATATTCTGCAGCTTTTACTTTCTGTCTGTGCAAGATCTCTCATTCCAGCTAAGATGAGTAGATAGCTAGGACTCCTCTCTCATCTCTCCTGAACAGGCACATAGCATTTCAGACCACAAAACAAAACAAACAAAACAACAACAACAACAATAACCCCCGGGATATTAGCGAGACCCACTGTGTCTGCCTTGTTCCTTGGATTTTTCTACTACATTTCTGGCTAATCTGTTGCTTGGCTCAGTCAGTATTGCAGCCTGAGGCAGCTCTGATATTTGCCCTCCCAGATTGGCACTGAGATTGCTATTATTTTTTAAAATGCCTTTGGGCATGTGGCTTTTCTCCACTCTGCTCCAACTCAAGCCAGTTCTCTCTGGTGGCAGAGCTGTTTGTTCTCACACTGTGCCAAATCATAGTACAACTTCCATGCCATGGAGCTAGAAGAGAGGATGGGAACAGCCTAAAAAGTTGCAGACTCCCATGTCTTTATAGGAATTTAGTAGTTTTTCTTGAATGAATATTTCCAAGTTTATTGTATGCCTTTGGTCAATTTCCAGAGTCCTAGAATGGTTGTTTTTAACTATCTTATTCAGGTTTATCATTGCCTTTTGGGGGAGAAGATTTGCCAAATCTCTTCTCTGACATTTTGTGGAACACTATTTATAAATGTAATCAAGTTCCATAGCTGAATCCAAATACTATCATAAGATACTGTCCAGTACCCCACAGCAATCTATAAACAAATTTTAGTCTCTTCCTTACTCCCTCTAAAATGTCATACAAAATATATAATTTTACTAGTATCAAGATTAAAAGACATAGAACATAACTAAAAATATTTCATTCTTTGATCAGCCATAAGGAGAGAGAGGAGAGAGGAGTCTAGGTTTTATTCTATCATTAGTGTTCACATTCCTAACATGTTCACATTTATAATTAGTGCTCATATTTCTAATGTGAGGAATTTAGAACCTAGCAGGAATTCAACAGTATAGAATTGCACAGATTTAAACGTCATTTATTTGACTCTTTCACTTTACAGATAAACAAAGTGAGTCCCAGGTAGATTAGCTAGATGAGTAAATTTCAGAGCGCTACTTTGTGGAGACTCACTTATGTGTACATAGCTACTTTTTTTTTTTTTTTCCCTAGAGCAGTGGCAGAAAGAGCTGAAGCAGTTGAAAGGCTGTGTGGCAGGCTGATTTTTGCTGTTTGGTGGGATAAAAGTACTGGTAGTATTTCTTTTACTTTCTTTCTAAGGAAAAGAATATGCTTTGTTGTGACAGCAAGGGACTGTTTCCACAGAAAAAGAAAAATCAATTTCTACAGATACCAGCTCTGCATTCTCCTGCTATGCAGTTAGAAATACAAAATTGAAATATAATGATCAGGGGTTTGTATTAGAACTCAATTAGGGATGTATGCTGCAGAAAGGGTGTGATAAACTCACATTGCATTGCTTCTATACTCCTAGTTTAGAAGTCAGAAATATGTTTGAATCACTGATTTTAATTCTCAGAGCCCACCACCATCCCCTAGCATCTCTCACAGGCTTCTGGGCTGAAAAAAGATATCTGCTTCCAGAAATGGGCTACGCATAAACAAACAGACCTCTTTGAAAGAGGTGTCAATCTCCTGCGGTTTGACTAAAGTCTCTTAACTTCCCTCATCCCTGGTGGTGGTGACTTGTACTTCATGCCTGCTCATTCTGTTTGAATACTCTGTTTGGATTTTGCTGCAGTTGGGTCTTTCTTTGCACTTTCTATGCCAAATACTTAGCATTGGGGTACATATATGCAGCATCTGTGATCTTGGATGTGGCTGTGCATCAGACACTAGAAAAAGAGATTTTCAGCCAAAATAACAAGTAGTTTTCAAAGGGAAAAGAGAGAGGACTTGGGGAGTGGTATTTCTAGGTTCTTGAATGTCAAGATTTAAAACCATCTTATGTTAGAACTATTCTCAGAGAGCAACGAATGTTGTTCACTTGTTATAACACTGACTACAAGCCATGGAGCCAGAAAAGATGATTCTATGAGGAGGAAAAGAGGGAGAGGAGCAGGATAGAGAGAGGGAAGGATAGAAAGAAAAGCAGAAAAGGAAGATAAGAAATAGAACTTGGAGAAGGAGACATTAAGAATGGGAAAGGAAGAAATTTGGATGAAAGAAAAGAACAATGAAAGTAGAGGAAGAAGGAACCTGAGAATGATGACAACAAAAGCCCTATTACACACCATAGGACCTGGGCTCTTCTCTTCTACTTAAAAGGGATCTGTTAATCTTTGGTTTGTGTAATCCCACCTGTTGAATGAATAGGTTGGATTAGGTAACTGCTTAGATTCCTGCTGGTTTAACGTTCTGTGAAAATAATACTATCCCTTTATATACTGCACTTCACAATGTTTCCACCTGTGTAATCTTGGGTCCACCATTTTCCTCCTCACTCATTCTCAACAGTCATGCAGACCTTCCTGCTCTTTCTCCTACTTGTGGCATTCACTCCTCACCCACTGACACCCACTTAGACATTCTCTTTTCCTAAACGGTTCTTTCTAGTCTTCATGAGGCACACACTCTCAGTTAGATTTCTGCTCAAATATTGCCTCCTTGGAGAGTCCTTCTCTGACCTTCCTATGTCACAGGAGACTGCACCAGCACTCTTATATTCTCTCTCTATCCTTTCATTCAGTTCTACTTATTTTTTGTGTAGTATAATATAGTATAGTATAAGTGTAGGTGTTTACATGTTTATCATCTGTCTCCTCATAAAATGAGGATTTGGCCTTGTTCTCTGATGTGTCCTTAGCACCAAGGGCAGTACCTATTGCATAGTAGACACTTAGTAAATATTCAAAGAATAAACCTCACATCTGGCTGTGGGAGTAGACCTGGGAGGTTTTAAGACTCCCATTTAATAGATTGGGAAACCACATTGTAAAATAGGGCATCTGCTTAAAACATCCTGTGATTTGGTGGTGATTTTTGTCTTATTCCCCTGTCACTGTGTCTACTTGCCTTGCATTTGTACTAGACGTCAGCACTGTGCTTCCTCCATCCCAACACACTCTATAACATCCTGCTCTGATTAATAAATTGCAATCAATTGCAGTGCCTAATTATCTCCTTAGGAGGTCTGCAAAGAAGGTAATAGATGGAGCATACTTACCACTCAGCATGGGAGGGTAACTATGCCTGGGTAACCCAGAAAAAAATGCTTCAAGGAGAAAAAAATAAGAGAGCAAATGAAAAGTTGTTCTAAGTAAAAGTAATTAAAATGTGTTTGCTACTTCACAACATCAAGTTTAGTAAAAGTTGGATTGATGTCTACAGTGCTTAAAGCGTATTTACCCAAGTGTGTTCAGTAGCTCACCCAATTCAAAGATACCCAAGGTGCTTGATAAAAATGCAAGTGCCCAGGACTCCAGCTTGATGGAATCAGAGTCTCTGAGGGTGTAGTCCAGAAATCTGCATCTTTACTAACTTCATGATGTTTTCTGATGCACATTAGCATTTGGAATAAAACTGATCAAAAGCTTATTCAGTTTTATGCTGCTTTTTAAAAAGTTCTATGCTTTAAAGTAGGTATGCTTTCCTTTATTTATCAACAGACACTTCCTGAGTGTCTACTACGTGAGACACGCTATGCTGAGGACTTGGATACAGAGATGAATAAGATATGAGCTTTATGGAGTAAAGGTCCTCTGTCTTTTGAAATCACTGATTTCAGAGAGAAAAGATGGCACAGTACAGGGGAGGGATCCCATCCTGTGGCCTGGGCTCTGCATGAGAAGGCTGGGGTCAGGCAGTTTGAAGAGTTGTCATGTGGAATCGACAGAAGCCACCTTCTATGTGAAGAAGTGGACAGAATTAGGCCAATGTGTGCCTGTCTCAGGAAAGTTAATTTGGGCTCCATGTGGAGAAAAATTTTCCCGAGATCAGAGCTGCCCAGTCAGGGAGCAAGTGGCCCCATCACTGACATGATCCAAGTGGGTATTCAAAGAACCATCTTCTTGAGATTTTGAAAAGGGAGTCCCACAGTCAGTGGGAGGTGGCATTTCTTTGATTCTGGCTTCCTGGTGACTCTGAGATTCACTGATTCACCAAAAATACTGTAGTAAATGATATTCCAAAATCAGCATTTTGATTTATAGCTCTAAATTTTTTTCCACCTAGACTCTGAAAGGGGCACATGGCAATAAAGACAGACTTAGCATTCTTAGAGACTAGAAGAAAAAGAAAGGTACTAAGATGGATGGCTAAGATTTCTTGCATGCTTACTGTGTGCTAGCTCTTACGTGAAGCATCTTTCATGCATCACTTTATTTTGTTTTCAGAGCAATGCTACAAGATGAGTACCATGATTATTTTCATTTTACAGATAGACACAATGAGATTTTAACCCAGAGAATAGAGTACCATCTTGGAATAGGTTGGTTTTGCAGATTTTGAGATGTTAAGAAAATCTCATGTGATTATTTGACTCTTTCCCTGGTTAATATCTACTCACCTCTAGAATCTGTCTTCAATGTCAGTTCCTTGGGACCAACTTCTCTATTCCCCCTGGATTAAACCAGATCTCCTGATAATCTGCTCTCACAGTGTCCTGTAACTCTTCTTAGCTATTAGTTATTATTCTATTGCTATGAACTATTATAAAGGTAGAAAATAGTTTAAAATCCATTTAACAGAGATTCAATTTATTCTTTAAAATTGTAACTCATATAATCATATCAGGGCATCATGATTGCTGAAACTTAAATGACCCTGGAGGATTGCTCCGCCTGGAAGAGAAATACAGGGTTTCATTTTTAGTATAGCCTGCATTTGTCACACACAAGTTTCAAGGGTTATTGGCACCAGAGTTAGGGGCTCCAGCTTGCTATACCAAGTCTTCCTAGAGGACTCTCTACTGACTCTTCTTCCTCCTTCTCCATGCCTCATTCACCATTCCATAAGTGGTCAGCTATGCTGAACTACTCATAGTTCTCTCAGGAGCCTGCTGTTTCCTCTCTATCATTTTCCTGACCCTGTTACCTCCACCTGGCATTTCTGTATCCCGCCTCTCTGCTTGGATCCCTTTCAAGGCATCTTTATTTATTTATTTTTTTTTTTCTGAGAACTCACCCCCTGCTTCATTTAGCCCATACCGTATACCTCACATAGAATTCTGTAGTTACACCTGCCACACTTGATTTCACTTAATCTTCCTTCTACTACATCAGGGATCAGCAAACTTTCTGTAAAGCCTCAGTAAATATTTTTGGCTTTGCGAGCCACACAGTTTTTGTCAAAACTATGCAACTCTACTGTTGTAACACAAAAATAGCCATAGATAGTATGTAAAAAAATGGGCATGGCTGTGTTCCAGTACAACTTGATTTAGCAAAATAGGTACTGGGTCAAATTTGGCCCACAGTCCACAGTTTTTTTTTTTTTCCTTAACTCTGTTCTAGATTACAGACTCCTTCAAGACATCAAATTTGTTTTATTTATCTATTTCTACCAGATAGAACCTGATACCCAGCACAGGATAGGTGTTTAGAAGATGTTTTTTGGCTGAATATGTGATTCCAATCCTAAGATAAACTATGTCATGAGCTGAGACAATTCCCTTCCAACTCTAATATTCTAAAACCACTCTTTACATTTTGAGCTTCCATTTCGTCATCCAGTTACCCTGCACCACTCACAGAGTTTTGAAGGGGATCAAAGTGACACTGCCCTTGGATGTGGACTTCTATGAAGCAAAGGACACACGTGAGAGACTTTGTCTTCTATCAAGTGCTGTTGGACCTATAGCCAGTGAGGTCTTCACCAAAACTGAGTGGACCAGGAACATGTAAATGTGAGGTCTGGTTTGGTAAGTGTAACAAAACAAAACAACAACAAAAAAACTCCTTTGTATGTGACAAAGAAATATGCAAGGAACAATTAATCAAACAGAGGAGGCAAGGGAATCATCTGCACCTAGCAGCTGCACTTTCTTGCCATTACTTGACCTCTTCTGGTGCTGAAGTTGTCCCACTGCCTTAAAGCCATCTTATCTGGTTCTCAGGCTGTGGTGGCAGGCTGATTTGTACACCCATGTGCCAGTGCTGATTGATTCTCAGGGGCTGCCTAATGCTGAGGCTTCTCAGACTACGTCCAGTCTCAGTGAGGAGTTTTACATGAGCAAGTATTGCCCAGGGGAACTATGCATTTTAGGGGCAGGCATATCATAGACCCAGCTGCCTCGAGGACCTGAGCATGTCCACTGCACTGGGGAGCTAAGGAAAATGTGTAGGTCTTTCACACGTAGGGAAAGGAATACAAGAGAATCCGGAAAGTGAAGTGAGATGATGGTTCACTCTACCCTGAACCATTTCACAATTTTATTTAGATTCAGACCAGGAAAAATGACAGAATCTGTCATCTCTTCTTTCTTCCTTTCCTCTGAAGAGCCCAAATACTATCTAATATTATTACTATATTTGATTGCTCATAATGTGGGTCAATTATGCTCCAGTCGGCTATTCTGGAAATCTTTCTCCATTGAGAAGATTGCCCTTATTAGGAAATTAATTACAAGTTTTTCCCAATTGATTTATAAACTTGTGAGCAAACTCATAGGTCAGTTTTACCTTGTTTGGCTTCTGTCTGATAGGTTTTTTTGTTTTGCTTTCTTGCTCTTGTGAACACTCTGACTCCAGCCCATCTGTCTGCCTGTGACTCTGTCCAGCCTTGCTTTAACTGTGGCTCTGAACACTTGCTGTGCCAAAGAATCACAAGGTGAGCTTTTAAGATGGTTTGATGATTGGAACCCCACTAATGGAGCCTGTAGTTTTCTTGGTATAGGCAGAACCTGGACATGAGTGTTTTTTAAAAGCCCCCAGAGAAGATTCTAATTTTTTTGTTGAAGTTGAACACCGTCGTTAGAACTTAGGCCTCTGGAACAGACAGGAATAGTTTTAACTTCCCCAGTTATGGTGTGACTATGGAAAAGTGGTATAACTTATCTGTTCCTTACTTATTTCACCTTGTTTAGTGGGTCTAATAATAGTACCATCCTCACAGGGTTATCGTTATGAAGAACAAGTAAGATGACATGTAAAAAGCACTTAGAACAGAGTCTAGCTCGTGTTAAGTGTGCAATAAATATCACCTATTTGGCTACTGCATGTTTTGTTTTTATTGCAGTTGTTCTTTTTGTTGTTATGATGATGATGATGATGATGATGATGATGATGATCATTACTACCAGCCTGATATACAAAATTTACTTCATTTGCTTTCTCCTATACACTTTTGGATATTTCCAGGCACAGCAGCAAGCTAGTTTTCCATTTTTTGCTTTTTTATTTTATACCAGGCTATGTAAATACACAGGAAACAGAGTCTAGAACTAGAGTCAGGAGACCTAGGCTCTAGAACTCAGGTCTGTCATATACTAGTTATGTGATCTCCAGAAGTTATCTAGTTTTCTCAGTTGAAAATAGAAAACTATGACTCCCTCAAGGGGGAAAAGTTTATAGTTTTCATGCATGCTGTTCCATTAGCCTGGAATGTCTTTCTTCTTGATTCCACTTCTAGTATAATCCTTTAAAAACCAGCCATAATTTGGCTGGGCGCGTTGGCTCACGCCTGTAATCCCAGCACTTTGGGAGGCCGAGACCATCCTGGCTAACACGGTGAAACCCCGTCTCTACTAAAAATAAAAAAAGAAAATTAGCCGGGCGTGGTGGTGGGCACCTGCAGTCCCAGCTACTCGGGAGGCTGAGGCAGGAGAATGGTGTGAACCCGGGAGGTGGAGCTTGCAGTGAGCCGGGATCGCGCCACTGCACTCCAGCCTGGGCGACAGAGTGAGACTCCGTCTCAAAAACAAACAAACAAACAAACAAACAAAAAAACCAGCCATAATTCTATCTTCATGGTCAAGAACATCTGGATAGCCTCAGTTTACTTTTATGTTTCCATAGCATATTATTAGTACTTCTTTTGGCACCCTTATTTTTATTTTGTCTTGAATTATAACTTATTTCTCCTCTCTCTTACTATGAAATCTTTGAAGGTAAAGAGTACTTTTTTTTCTGTTTTGTTTTTCAATTTGTATCCTGATGTTTTCTGGAATAGAAGCTAGCATATTATGTTAGTAAACTATAGCTGCCTGCCAAATGACCTCAAAATTTCAGAGGCAGAAAAAATAAGTATTAATTTCTTGATCATGCTCTGCTGTTCAGCTGGGGAAGCCCTGCTTCAGGCTGCAGGTTTGTGAGTTGGCTGGGGTTGCTTTGTGTCTCTCATCCTTCTCTGGAACAGGTGGTTAGTTGAGGCACGTTTTTCTCATGACTATGGCAGAAGTATGAGAGAACAAGCTCAATTATGCATGTCCATTTAAATCTGTTGCTCATATTTTGTCTGTTAATAATATACCGTTGGGCAAAACAAGTCCCATGGTCAAAGTCAGCACTTATAAGAGGAAATGAAAAGTTACATAGCAGCAATTGTGGATACTGGAAGGGATGAAAAATTGTAATCAATAATTCACTGTAGCACATGTAATGGGATTGAGGAAAAATGCAAAAAAAAAAAGAGACAAATAAGCATTTCTGTCTAATAAAACACATTTTCGTGGTAGGGAAACATTTCTCAGAATGTTTATTATGGGACACTAATTCCAGCAGACATGGCTAGGTGTTTTACAATACAAGAAGGAATATTAAGATTTTATAGTAGAATAAACATGGGAAATGCCAAGTTACACTTAAATGGTTTCTGTTTTGTTAACTGAGGCAAGTTTAGAACTTTTAATTGGTTAACTTGTATGTATATGCTAAAAACAATACAGTAGACGGACTCACCAAACCTTCATGAGCATGAAACCCTCTTTTTAGGATCCTGAGCAACTCTCCTCTTGTTGGACTAGTGTTCTGTAGGACCCATTTCAGGACATATTGTGTGAAATGATGAAACAGTTTTGATGGTCTCTCTTAGAAGTGTTACTTCGGGGATTTGAAGAAGGATTAAGTTAGCGAGGGCAGAAGAATGAGCAATTAGGAAGCTAAATGAAGAATTTTTGTGTATGATATAAGATAAAGGCCCACATTCATTCTTTTGCATATAGATATCAAGTTTTCCTAGCACCATTTGTGGAAGAGTATTCTTGCACCCTTTGTGGAAGAGTATTCTTTCCCCATTGTGTATTCTTAAAGAACCCTTGTCAAAGATCAGTTGACTGTATAGGCATGGGTTTATTTTTCTGCTTTTTATTTCGTTGATCTATGCATCTTTTATATACCAGTACCAGACTGTTTTAATTACTATAGCTTTGTAATATACTTTGAAATAAGGATGTGTAAAACCTCCAGCTTTGTTCATTCTTTATATAGCTTTGGCTATTCGTTGTCTTTTGTAATTCCAAATGAATTTTAGAATTGTTTTCTCTATTTCTGTAAAAAATGGCCTTGAGATTTTGAAAAGGATTGCATTGAATGTATAGATTGCTTTGGGTAGTATGGACATTTTAACAATAAAGAGTCTTCTAATCTATAAATATGAGATGTTTTATCACTTATTTTTGTCTCATTTCTTTCATCAATGATTTGTAGTTCTCAATGAACAAATCTTTCACTTCCTTGGTTAAGTTTATTCCTAACTATTTTTTAATATACTACTGTAATTGCAATGTCTTCTTAATTTCCTTTTCATATTTTTTGTTAGTATATAGAAATGCAACTGATTTTTATGTCGATTTTGCATCCTGCAACTTTATTGTATTATTTTTAGTTCTAACAGGTGTGTGTGTGTGTGTGTGTGTGTGTGTGTGTGTACGCTTAGTCTTTAGGATTTTCTACATATAGAATCATATCATCAACAAATAGTTTTAGTCCTTCTTTTCTGATTCAGATGAATTTCTCTGTGTTTCTTGCCTAATTGCTCTGGGTAGGGCTTCCAGTACTATGTTGAATAGAAGTGATGAGAGTGGGCATCCTTGCCTTGTTTTTAATCTTAGAGGAAAAGCTTTCAGTTTTTCACCTTGAGTAAAATGGATTAAAAATTGTAATGTAAAATCTGAAACTTTAAAACTCCTAAAAGAAGACATATGGGAAAAGCTTCATGACATTGAGCATGCCAATGATTTCATGAATATGACACCAGCAGCATAAGCAACAAAACAAAATTATACAAGTGAGACTATCAAACTAAAAGGTTCTACATAGCAAAGAGAGCAATTAGCAGAGTGAAAAGGCAACCTACAGAATGAGAGAAAATATTTGAAAACTATCTGATGAGGAATTAATATCCAAAATATAGAAGTAACTCTCACAACAGCAAGAAAACAAAACAAAAACTAATTAAAAAGTGAGCAAAGGACTTAAATAGACATTTCTCCAAAAAAGACATATAAATGGCTACAGATACATGAAAAGATGCTCAGTGTCACTTATCACTCAGGAACTGCTAATCAAAACCACAATGAGACATCCCTTCACACCTATTTGAATGGTTATTTTCAAAGAAAAGATAGTCTTAGCAAAAGTGTATAGAAAATAGAGTAATTGTACACTGTTGGTGGGAATGTAAAATGTTGCAGTAACTACATAAAAACAGTATGAGGTGCCTCAAAAAAATAAAAAATGGAATTACCAATGATCCAGCTATCTCATTTCTGAGTATATCTCCAAAAGAATGAAAATCAGGATCTCGAAGTGATACATAGGTACTACCATGTTAATTGTAGCATTATTCACAATAGCTAATATATGGAAACAAGCTAAATGTCCACTGACAGGTGAATAGATAAAAATATTTATAATAAAATAAATAAAATGTTTATATATATATATATATATACAGTGAAATATTATTAATCCTTAAAAAAGAAGACCCTGCCAAGAGACAATATGGATAAACCTTGAGGACATTATGCTAAGGAAAAGAAGTCAGTCATAAAAGGACAAATACTGCATGATTTCACTTATATGAGGTATCTAAAATAGCCAAAACTCAGAATCAGACAGCCAAACTCAGAATCAGAATCAGAGAGTAGGATGGTGGTTGTCAAGGATTGAGGGTGGAGGAAAATGGGGAGTTTCTGTTAAAGAGGTATACAATTTCAGTTGAGCAAGATGAGTAAGTTCTAGGGATCAGCTATACAAGAGTGTGCCTATAGTTAACAACATGTACATTTAGAATTTTTTTAAGTGGGTAGATTAAAAAAATAATAAAATACAGCAGTCCCCCTTTATCTGTGGTTTTGCTTTCTGCAGTTTAAGTTAAGCAGAGTTCAGTATGAGATATTTTGAGAGAGAGAGAGAGAGAGAGACCACATTCGCATAGCTTTTATTACAGTATACTGTTACAATGGTTCTATTTTACTATTTTTGTTTTTAATATGTTACCATGCATAATTTATAAATTAAACTTTATTATATGTATACATGTATAGGAAAAAAACATAATATTTATAGGATTTGGTACTATCTGTGGTTTCAGGCATCCACTGGAGGTCTTGGAGCATGTGACGGTTAATACTGAGTGTCTACTTGACTGAATTGAAGGTTGCAATATTGATCCTGGTGTGTGTCTTTGAGGGTGTTGCCAAAGGAGATTAACATTTGAGTCAGTGGGCTGGGGAAGGCAGACCCACCCTTAATTGGGTGGGCACCATCTAATCAGCTGCCAGATAATACAAAGCAGACAGAAAATGTGAAGCGATGAGATGGGCCTAGCCTCCCAGCCTACATCTTTCTCCTGCGCTGGATGCTTCCTGACCTCAAACACTGGACTCCAAGTTCTTCAGTTTTGATACTTGGACTGGCTCTCCTTGCTCCTCAGCTTGCAGACAGACTATTGTGGGACCTTGTGATTGTATAAGTTAATACTTAATAAACTCCTCTCTCTCTCTCCATATATATAATATCTATATCTATATATCCATATATATATACACACTTACTAAACTCCTCTCTCTCTATATATACACACACATATATATACACATGCATATACATATACACACACTTGTATATATACACATATATGTGTGTATATATGTACATGTATGTGTGTGTGTGTGTGTATATATATATATATACACACACACACACACATACACATATATCCTATTAGTTCTGTCCCTCTAAGAGAACCCTGCCTAACACACAGCATATCCCTCATGAATAAAGGGGGAATACTGTAAATAAAAAACAGCTAAAAGGCAATTATAATAAATGTATTTCTAGCAATGTTAAGACAATTGTTTTAAGATAAAAACTCAATTCTGAGATAGAGCATGAAAAGAGTTGAGTAAATAGTCCACCTGATGATAGAAGGTACATACAGTGAAGCAACTTTTAAAAAGAAACATGCTCTTGGGGAGCTCAAATGACAAATTTTAGAAATTGAGAATTCTATGAATGCCTTTCATGCTAGAAGTCACTATACTGTCATATTGGAGCCCGGTTGATGGATCAGAGAATTATGACTTTGAATTAAAATTGCATGAAATTAAATATGATGAGATTGGCCTGTCTGGAGAATCTCCATCCTCTGAGGTGCAGTGCCTCAGGCTGCAAAGCTGAAGATGATTTTCAGGCTCAGAGGGAGTAGATTAGCAGCTCATGAAGCTCTGCAATCAGTGTCCATCTTCCCTCTCCGTCCTTTGTCCTCTGCTTTTCAACTTCTTCACTGAACTCTAATCTTGCAAACATGGAGTCATAACTCACTGGGCTCTGTTGACAAATAGCTGATTCATTGATTAGATGGATGGAACTGATAGAAGGCAGGCTATTGTTGTGAGCGGAATGAAGAGTATAGATAAGTACAGAGAGGGAGGGAACTAGGACAAAAGACGCAAAACCAATCTTGCAGAGTAGTAGAGCTCATTCTGTACCTACAGGGACCAGGTTGCAGGGAAATTTATTTAGATGTGTTTGCAAACCAGGAAGAAATTATCATCTGAGATGAAAGATAGGAGTGAGATCCACAAAATTTGAAGAGGCACAAAGAATATTAATCTCTTTTTGACAGTTTTGAAAAGAAATACATATTTAATGTCTTTTGTCTCCTCATCACTGTTACAAGTTTTTAGAATGAAGTGTTGATGCTCCCTTTCAAGAACTAAAATAATAAAGATACCTTGGGTTGGGTGCTGTGGCTCGCACCTGTAATCCTAGCACTTTGGGAGGCTGAGGCGGGTGGATCACTTGAGGTCAGGAGTTCGAGACCAGCCTGGCCAATAGGGTCAAACCCGTCTCTACTAAAAATACAAAAATTAGCCAGGCTTGCTGGCATGTGCCTCTAGTCCCAGCTACTTGGGAGGCTGAGGCCGGAGAATTGCTTGAACCTGGGAAGTGGAGGTTGTGGTGAGCCGAGATTGCACCATTGCATTCCAGTCTGGGCATTACAGAGAAACTCCAACTAAAAACAAAACAAAACAAAACAAAAACGATACCTTATATTAGAGGTAATCAGCTCACATGCCAGAGAGTCTAGGTAGATGATGATAATAGGTGGTGCTGAGCAGGGATAAATTGGGGAGGGAGAGGATAGTGATGAGTGGATCACAAGACATGTGCCACATTGAAAGCATTGAAAGCTGGGAGCAAGTACTCATCTTTGGGAATTTCATCCTTGCAGGATTGGGGACTTAGAGTTGCCAGATGTTCTTATTTTCAAGAAAGCCTACAACTACACATTTTGCCTGTAAATTATACCCTTTGGGCCAAAGCTATGAGGGTATGGTCCACATAGCACTCAGGAGTCTGTGAATTCTGTTCCACAGGACTACAGTGAGGTGGGACTGGGAATGCTGGAGTCAGCGTTAGAGTGGATATATGGATGTGTGTGACCTGAAGATTACTTACAAACTGACTTGCAATTTCCTTATCAATAAGTTGGGGTTTTATAATACCTACCTATAATAATATAATACCAACGTCATAGGTTTAAATGGCGTAATATGGTTGAAGTCACTGTAGCAGGGACAGTTAACTGCCCACTAACATTTTGTTGTCCTTTCTTGATATAGAGTCATTTTTGAGAGGTGACTGTTCAGCTTCAACTACATTTCCTAGCTCTCCCTTACAATAAGCTGTACCCATGTGAGTGAGTAGTTTTCATTATTGGGCTGAGAACAAAGTGATTTATATGTCACTTTTAGACCAATATTTCCCAGAAGCAGGGGTGCCTCTTCATCCTCTCTTTGTCAGTGGAATATATGTGATGATGAGGGTGACCAAACCACAAGACAGAAGGATCCTGGGTCTCAGAATCACCACATGTATGGAAGCTAGCTGCCAACCAGGAACATCCACTTGCATTGTTAGATAAGTGACAAATTAATGTCTGTTTTGTTTGAATCATCACACACTTTGAGATCAATTTGATGCTGTCCTGTCCCAACCTAATAACACAACTCTTGACACATGAAAGGTGCTATGTGAGTGTTAGTTCCTTTCTCTAGAATTATGTTCATAATTATACACTGTTATCTTTTCTTCTATATCTACTGCGTGTGTAGCACTCTCACATACTTATTATGTGTATACCTATGATATGTGCAGAACTATGGTGAGGAATGACACTTTGCCTGCACTGTGTCATTCCACACCACCACAGTTCTGCAAGGTAAATATTATCACTTTCATTTTATAATTGCACAATCAGCTACTCTGAGAAGTGAAGTTATGCATCCAAGGTGACCCGGCTGGTAAGTGGTGGAGATACAATGTGAACTATGTCCATCTAATTCCACACCTAGGCTCTTTCTAGTAAACCACACTATCTTCCTATCCTGGCCCTAGGGCTAAATGAAGTATAGTGGGAGAAAGATTTCACATGGCCCTGGATACTATGATAGATGCTTTTAGTCTTTATCTCTTTTAAATTAATAGAGCATAGAGCGCTTCAGGAAACTTTTCAATACTTTAGAATGATTTTTGTGACTTCCTACTGAAACTTAAAAACTATTTTTGCTTATCTAAATTGGATAAAGGATGTGATTTTCCAAAGAAACTTCACACTGAATTATTCTATGACAATAGTATCAGACTGGATTGCTCAGCTGCATTTATGATAAGTGAATGAAAAATAATTTTCAAAGCGCAAGAGACAGTATGGTCTAATCTCAAATTTATCTTTGTATCCCTAGGGCCTACGCAGTCCCTAGCATACAATAGACACCCAAATATGGTTTGGAAGGAAGGAGGGAAGGGTGAAAGGGAGGGCAGAAAGAAAGTAGAAAGGGAAGGTGAGAGGGATGGAGGAAGAGGGGAAAGGAAAGAGGGCATGAGAATGACAAGAAGAGGGGAGGATCAGAAGGAGAGGAGGGATCAGAAAGAGACTAGGAAAGGAGAGAAGAGGGAACAGAAGTAGAGAGAGAGGGAATAAGGGGAGAGAGAGCAAGATGCACCATACTACCAATCTGCAGTCTGTGTTCTATTTTGGATTGAAGTCCCAGTGCTTACACTAACTGGCAGTACAAACTCTTAATATAAATTTAGAATCTTTTCTGAGCCCCCTCTTTGAAGATGAGGAATCTGAGATTTAGTGGTTAGACACGTTTTGCAAAGTCTTTCAGCTAGTTAATTGTAGAAGCAATATTAGAACCTAATTCTCCTGAGTCCCAATTACATTACCTTTAAACAATTTTCATCATACCATTAATAATAAATGCAGTTGAGATGAAAGCAAAGAGGCTCTTGTGCAGAGAAGTCAGCATAAGTAAGTATATATGTGTATATGTGTCATTCATTATCCTGAGTCAGTGACTTGTAACAACCAAACTGACTAAATTTCATAGATAAGTTCAGTCAAGTCTCAACATACATTTATTTTTGGCAAACTTAACTCTAGAAGCTCAGCAGAGATTAAGAGAAGGAAAGAGAACGGGAAGAGTTTAAATAATGCAGGCAATCTCACCAGTCCCTCGACTCAAACATATGGCCTGAGGCAGCCCAACATGGAAGCCTCGATCTGCCATTCCTCCGTTGGTAGTAAGTTCTCTTGTGTTTCCCATGGAGTGAGCATCTCACTGTGCTGAGTGTTTAGTGTTTAAAGATACATATTTTTCATACAACATTGCCCCTGAATGCAAGCCAACTCACCACTTCATCTGGTGCTCAACTGAAGAGAGAGCAATCTGTTCCAAAATTGGAGCAAATGTAGTCTGTGTTGGATATTCTGAGAGTTAGTTTTATGATACCCAATGTAGTGCCTTCTGAGGGGCATTGAAAGGTGATTTTCAACTATGTATTCTGTTTGCTTTGGAAGCTGACTTGAGAAACCAGTCCCCTGTTGAGATATGACATCCTTGAATTGATTTCTGCCATGTAAATTCAATGTACTATTTGCTTGCTCCTCTGACATTAGCATGGCCAAACACCACACACTTTAATTGCAATTAGTGACTTTGTAACCTTGACTCAAACTGTGTTATTAGAATACATGCCTGGGTGATGAACAATATTTAAAATTCCTGTCATATTGGAGAACAAATAATACCAAAGTGGCAATTTTTTTGAATGAAAATAGTTAGGATTCCTCTAATAATGAGGACCAAGGATGAGTATTCCTTCAAAGACATGAGGTGTTTAGACTTCAAAGACTGGCTGGGTGTGGTGGCTTGTGCCTGTAATCCTAGCACTTTGGGAGGCCGAGGCAAGCTTATCACCGGAAGTCAAGAGTTCGAGACCAGCCAACATAGTGAAACTCTGTCTCTACTAAAAGTACAAAAAAATTAGCCAGGCATGGTGGTGGGTGCCTGTAATCCCAGCTACTCAGGAGGCTGACTCAGGAGAATTGCTTGAACCTGGGAGGTGGAGGTTGCAATGAGCTGAGATCATGCCACTACACTCCAGCCTGGGTGACAGAGTGAGACTCTGTCTCAAAAACAAAACAAAACAAAAACAAAAACAAAACAAACAAAAAAGTTTATATATACATATATATACGTATATATATACACACACATATATATACGTATATATATATATGTATATATATACACACACACATATATATACGTATATATATATACACATATATATACACACACAAACACACACACACACACACACACATATACATATTTCAAAGACTGGTGGACAAAAGGTTGAAGGTCCTGAGTTCAAATCTTAGCTCTACCATTGATAGCTGTGTAGCACCTGGCATGTCAATTACACTATGTGGGATCTGATTTTATTACTTAAAACATGTGTAGGCAGTAACAGTGATCTCAAAAGTTGCTTCCGGATTTTACATTATTTCGGTCTATTAAATATGTTTCCCTTTCTTGTATGCACAAGGACAAGAGAAAATAGCTCTCTAGAATCTGTTTGCACACCTGCCACTTGGTAGATCAGAAGGCAAGAACCGAATTGGAACTATAATTTGGCTCATTCCCAAATTAGAAGTTTGATGCTGTCTTAACATTCTCCTATAGGATTCTTCCTTCCTATTGCAGGTGCAGTTACCCATTAGATTCAGCTTTATTTTCTATACCCAGCATTCAAAGTGTAAGAAACCCCAGTGCATGTTTCACTTTCCTCCCACTGCAGCGTCGATTCAATGATTTTGTGATTTGCTGATGGCTCATGGTTCTTCTGGATTTTGGATATCAGGCTAATAATGCTGTATTATTTTGATGCCACCAAAATCCTGTTACCTGGGAAATCCTATCCACTTCGATCTGGTTCTTCTAAGAATCTGTGACCAAGAAGAATTGATATTTCTTCAAAGACTGAGAGTTAAAAACAAACAAAAACACAAAAAACTCTATGATCTTAAGCTTGCCTTTTCTTCTCAGCAACCAAGAGTATCACTGAAAAAATCCGGTTCCAGCCAAAGCAAAATATAGCCCCGTAACACACTATCAGCTTTTGAGTTAAGCAATAAAAGCGTCAGCAAGGAAAATACTAAGCTAAGACGACTCAAACACTAGTGAATGGGGAAGAAAAAAAAAGACATCAATGGTTGAAAATATTGCAAAGGAGTACAGAGCTTCCAATTAAAGAAATGTACCAGCTGGGCACGGTGGCTCATACCTGTAATCCTATCACTTTGGGAGGCCGAGGCGGGTGGATTGCCTGAGCTCAGTAGTTCGAGACCAGCCTGGGCAACAAGGTGAAACCCCATCTCTACTAAAATACAAAAAAATTAGTCGGGTGTGGCGGTGTGCTCCTGTAATCCCAGCTACTTGGAGGTTGAGGCAGGAGAATTGCACTGGGGAGGCGAAGTTTGCAGTGAGCCAAGATCACGCCACTGCATCCAGCCTGGGTGACAGAGCGAGACTCCATCTCAAAAAAAAAAAAGAAAAAAGAAAAAGAAAGAAATGTACCCCTTCCTCAGCTTTTGAGGAGTTCTTGAAAGAGGCGAGTGTTATCTAATTGAAAGAGATTGGATGTTTGGGAAGGGAAAAAGACAGAAAATATAGCTCATTCTAGTGAAAGAATAAATTCAAAGTTTCCTGAACCTTGTCTGAACCATTAATAGAGTGGCTTCTTCCTCTCAGGGCCAAACACAGATGTGACTTCTGAGGTCATAGAGCGATGTGTTCTTCAGATGTCTTCCTCACCAGCTTGTGAGCCCTTCACTTGCGAGGGCTAAAAGTAGGTATTTACTACATGTTTTATTTTATTTAACATGCTTTTAGAATGTCTCTGCTTTCAGTGTTCTTATCTTGGAGAAATCCTGCTTAGTTTTCTGGGCCATGAAGTCACAAAAGTAGGAAGGAAGAGAAGTGAAGTTCAAGGTCCACTTTCAGGAGTATATTTATGTATATGAGAGTAATTTGTAAATGGAAAATCTTACATGGACAGGAGTGGTGATTACCAGGGAGGCTGAGGAAACTTAACAGAATGATACACAGCTAGAATATAAGCAAAATCTAAGCAATTCCAAGTTAGACAGGAAGCATAATAAGAGTTCTGAGAAAGGGAAGGTGACTGTGGGCTGGAGCCTCGTGTCGTGTTCAGCTGCCAGAGTCATGTTTAGAAAAGCACACCCTACAGAACACTCTAGCTGAGTTTGTGGTGTGGGAAGTTAAAGAGCGCTCCTACATTTGTATTTTTCTTTTCCTTTCATTTTAACAGAGCCACAAGCCATGTAGCCTGAAGAAGCCATCTCTGCTCTTTGGCCATTGGCATCCGGAGGCGAAAAGGCAGGATCTGTGGAAAAGTCTGTACTCATTCGCTGTACTTAAAAGCCCCGATGCTCCATGATAACTAATTTATCAGAAGGTACCCTCACTGTTCAATTTGTAACAGTATCAAACACGAAGTACAAGTGATAATCTAGGGACAAAGGATGGATATGGTGATAAAAGAATAGTAGGTCATAAAGAAATATTCAGTTGATTGGATTAAAAAGAAAGCCAAAGAATGTTTCTGAAATACAGAGAGGATTCAGATGGCATGTATTCTTTCAGCTGGTCCACATTTAGCCTCTGAAGAGAAGGCAGTGGGAGATTTTGCTGAAGTTTACTCTGGGACAGGCATATTGCTAAGTCCTTCTTATGGCTTGTCTCACTCAACTCTCATAGCAAGGCTATATATTTCGGAGGATTATTGGACTCACCTTTGAAGATGTGAAAATTACTCACAAAGTAGTTACATAAGTCTGCCAATAAGTGCTGGAACCAACACAAAAACCTGGACAGTCTGAGTTTAAGGCCTACATTTTCGGGCGCTGTTCATGGTGATAGCTATCTCTTATTATGCAGTTATTATGCTGGATGATTTAAAACTAACATCTCTTTCCAAAAACTAAAACTAAGGGAAGTTGCATGACTTGCCTAATACCACACAGCTATTAAGTAGTTGAGAAATAAAAAAATTGTTTTCTTCAAAGCCACATTTTTTTTAAACTAGGAAATGAGGGAATATAGAACAAAAAACAAATCTTGACTCTTTTCTTGTAGAAACTTATAGTCTTGAAGAATACAAAAAATAAGAGACAGAAATAGCAAAAATGAAATTAAAATCCTGGATCAAGTTAACAGTTGACTGCTATGGGCCAGGAGGAATGAGAGAGAGTGACAAGGCTGGGTGGCCTGAAAGCTCTTAGGGGAATGGGGTTAGTTCTCAAATTTGCAGAAAGACTTGTCAGTTTCTCCTTTTAATTATCTTCCCATCTATCTGTTTCCCCTCCCTAGATCTTGAAATAAACCTCTTGTCTATTTTCAGCTGAATGGTACCATGGAGACAGGCCTGGTGTCCAGGAAGTAGAGATTCAAGCAATCTGTCCTGGAGTGCCTCATGACTCCTGTTCCAGGGCCAGGGGCAGAGCCTAGCATGTGTGTGGTAGGAGGTGGCTGTGCTGCTCTGTGGGCTGCAGAGGAAGGTCTCAGAGAGGTGTATTAGAAACTGGAAGTGAAGATTGCCAATTATTGACATTTCACCTAGGAAAGCTGTGGCAATAAACATTTGCAGAGAAATAAAGCCAGTGAAGTTGTGTATAGAAAGTGGGCCAAGGAGATGCTCATTAAAAAAAAGGCAAAAGCATGTCTATTATATACTTTCATATATTTCTGAGTGTCATAGAGAAAATGCTAATAGCTGCTTTGTATGGAGTGTATGCTACGTACCAGATGCTATGCATTCCTGATCTCTATTTACAGGGGTTCCTTTCTAACAGGGGGTCAAAATGAAGGGTTGAAAGAGGTTAAAGGAATATCACACATCTTTGAGTCCAGGTTGGTTTGGATCTAAAGCCTGTGCTTTTTAACTTAACACTCTACTGTTCTGCAAGTGATCAGAAACCCTATGCCACGGATAAGCCACAATTTCAGACCTTTCTGTCATATCTAGGAGCAGGTTTGTGTTGTGGTTTCTGTATTTGTGTGTGGGAAACTAGCAAGAAGAGGGGGTTATGTACGTTGAGACTGGGTCTCCTGGCAAGCACAGTGGTGGAAGTGTTTGCTTCTTCTGAGGCAGCCTCCATGAAACTTCTAATCCCTACTTCTGTCACTTTTGATCTGAGTGGTGGGCAACATCTTCCATAGAGTGTTCACAGAATAGCCAATGGCATGGCTGGCCATGTCTCTTAAGTGCACTTGTTCCTGGTTAAATGGCAGCCCAGTATGTTTCCCAGAAATTATGTATGCTTATAATAAATCATTTTCTGTTTGAACAAGCCTGAGTGGATTCTGTGGTCTGTAAAAGTCCCTGTAATTTATATTACATCATTTGACAAACAAGGAAACTGAGGCTTAGGGATGATGTGACTTGCCTACATATTCCTTCCCTCTGCCATATTCTTTTTCCATAAGTAGCCAGATTTTCTTGTAAAGTTCTTCTATGGGTAGGGTTTATCTGTAAGAAATGTGAGCTTAGACTGTTTACCTGGCTTTTACCCTCAGTGATGATTACATGGCATTATTTCAGGTAATATATGGAATTTTTTTTAACCTAACTTTAAAAGAACAGGATTTCCTAAAAATACCCTTCGCAAGAGGCAATCTATGGTGCAGTCAAATGAAGGCCATGTGGATATGTGTTGGTTTTACCTACTGGGCAGCCTTTCTCCCATTTCTGGTAAGCGTCTCCTGTTTTTCCTTGAGGGAACTCTTATTCTGCAGGCCACGTGATTCTGATGGGGCTGAATCATAAAGGCCCCCTGACAGGGGCCAGCATGTGACTGAGAGCGGCCAATCAGTGTGCTAGTGTGGTCTGGGGGAGGGCACATGTCAGGTCAACTAGAGTCCATTTCGGATGTTTAGTTTGACTTTTGAGAGTGGGAGAGCTGCATTATACCTTTGACTGAAGCATGGAAGCTTGAAA
Organism: Homo sapiens; assembly: GCF_000001405.40. Classification (NCBI taxonomy): domain Eukaryota; kingdom Metazoa; phylum Chordata; class Mammalia; order Primates; family Hominidae; genus Homo; species Homo sapiens. The sequence continues at coordinate 161,029,479 of NC_000005.10, forward strand.
TGTCAAGAGGTCATCTTGTCACCAAATGGGACAAACTTTCCTGAGAATAAAATTTAAAAAGAATGAAAGAGTTGATAACTGAGAGAGAGAACCAGATGAAGAAAAACAACTGGAGAAGGAGAGACAGAGAGATGGGCAGAAAGAGAGTGATAGACAGAAAAAGGCGGAAAGAGACAAAAGGAAGACAGAACCACAAGCAGAGAAAGAGGAGAAACCCTAGGCACATATGCATACAGATTACACAGAAACAGACACATAGAAAGACAGAGGCACAACACTCACTGACACATATAGACACATACACACACACACACACACACACACAAAGATATACATGGAGAGAGACTCCATTGAGTCAGAGGGACTCAATGCCACCATCTCTTAATGGTATCGTTAGAATTCCTAGAACCATCTGAGCCCAAAACTATATCTGTTCATTGGATTTCCTGGCTCTAAGAGCTAACAAACTTCTCTTTTCCTTAAGCCCATTTAGGTTGGAGTCCTGAAGTGTACAGACTATGAATCTGGTGTTTCTCACTCCAGTTGGTCACTCAGCCAACTCTGTGACCTCAATTTATCTCAGATCCCTTAGTTTTCTCGCCTTTAAAAAGGCAGCAATGACAACTGCTTTACCTGCCTCCAATGTTGTGAGAGCTGATGTGATAAGACTATAAAATGGTTTTGAAAGTAAAAAACAAAAAAGCTGCATAGATATATGGACATAATCATTAATAATCTATCCTGAAAAATTGTCATGGTAGGAATTTGGTGGTTGTGGTGGTGGTAGTAGTGGTAGTTTTTTTTAAATGCTGCAGTTTTCACAGTGGATAAGGCTGTAAAACAGCTAATCCACACAGACGATGCTTTTTGAGGTAACAGAATCAGCTATTAGAAGATGTCAAACACTTGGGGAGCTGATGCATCTAAAGGGAAGGAATTGCTTTCAACGGAGATGATTGCTAGTTTTAAGGACACTTTGAGGAAATGGCCCAGAAAATTAGCATGATCACCTGCTGCAAAGTGGTTCTTACTTCTTCATTTGCTTCCAGATGAAAGAAAATGGGGGAAGGACACGTTACCCTGATTTTTATTTTTACTGATTTTGCAGAGTTAAGTGTTTGGTTAAAAAGAAGAAAAATGTTTCTCTGACTTTATCCTTATGCCTCTCTCACAGAAGATGTTTTGCTTGTTATGTGTTGGTTTTGTCATTGGTTTCCTTTAGCCACAATACGGCTATAACCTCTCCCTGTGGTGAAGAACTAATAGATACATGGCAGTTATGATCAATAGGTTGCGTCCTAAAACCACACTGAAATATTCTGGAAGAAACCACCTCAAATGTATTAATTGAAAGAGCATATCTAACACATATTGAGTGCAGGACAATGAAATAGATGTTTCATGTCATGTTTGTCCTTTAGTACTCACATGGGGGATAGGTATCGAACCACATCTTACAGAGGGATGCAGCGAGGTACAGAACATTTAGATGAGAGGCTCCCAAATCTGGTTGCCCACCAGCATCATCTGGGGTGCTTATTTTAAAGACAGCTTCTTGGATTAAGAAGAGATTCTGAGATGAACAGAAATCCTGTTTCAGGAGCTTTGAGGGAGGGCCTATGAGGGTTCGGTCAGCTTCCCAGGTGATTTTGATGTGTGACCAGGTTTGGATAACATCTTGTTAAATGACATGGCTAAGACTTTACAGCTGGTTGATGGGACCAGTACCTAATTTAGGTCTAAGTCCAAATTTCACTTTCTTTTTGTTTAATCATTTTTATTGATAATCTTTCCAGGTAACTTAAAACAAAACAAACTGCTACAGACGTCCTTTGCATTGCTCCCCATACTGGAAACATTCCATCATGAGATATGAAATCACAATCCCCATTGAGTCTACACTTTTGGCCAAATGGGAAGGAATAATATTTTCCTTCTGATAATGATCTTGTCTACATTACACCTAACAGGGCAAATTAGATGCTCACTGTCCCATGTCAGGCTTGGCAAGTGACATTGGACTGGTTATCTGCTTGCTGGATAAATTAAGAGAATAAAACACATTCACTAGAGTGTGGAAGGTCAGTTCTCCTTAATAAAGGGTTTGTGGCTATGTGAAATTGGAAAAGAAATGATGTATTCTGAAGCTATTTTCATTCCATTAACTTAAGTCAAAAAGAATAAAGGCAAATGCAGTTTCAAAGATTAGCTTCCAAATCTGATGTGCATTGAAGGGGAATAACTGACTTTTTCTACTGTCTCCACTGTCCTTTCCTCCTCGGTTTAGAAACTTGGAATGAACATTCACAAATGCTGGGAGGATACATGTACTTTGTATGTTTCTCTACTATAGGACATACATTTCCTGAGTTCAGGGTCTGCAAATTTACTCATCCTTAGGGTAGGAATCACTTCTGCTTCCTTCTCTGAGGCCACGAAGGCCCTCCACCATCTGTCTCTGCTAGGACAATGAATATGGGACCCCGATGCCTTCTGACCTTTAATTCAGGGCTGGTGGTAAGCTTACTTTAATTCAGTGCAATCAGTTTTCTTCAGTTGGTCTGTATTATGGCTTGGGACATTCTCTTCCAGCAATTTTTGGCTTTCTCGGAGTATCAAGATAACTAAGAAAAGACAAAGTAATTTCAACTAGAGAAAGCAAAGTGATATCTCCAGCCCTTCTCAAAAGAGTATACATTGTTTCTGGTATACATAGACTACAGAGTCACTTCCAGAGTGTTTATGTTTTTGAGAATGATATATATGTGTGTTATATATACATACATAATCTTTCTAGTATTCACAGTAAATAGCACTTTGGAATTATTCCAAGTATTCTCAGATATTCTGAAACAAAGATTGGCATTTCGCTGTTAAAGAGCCCAGGTTGTCCATTTTTTTAATAGAAGAAGTAAATCGGGGTCCCCATTTTAGCCATAAAGAGTTAAAGGTGAAAGAGTAGGAGTGATGAACAGGAATGTCCTCAAAATGCACAGATTGAATTTTGAACCATCTGCATGCAAGTACCAAATTTCCAGTGGTAGATGGGTCCTGCGTGGGCTGGGGGAGTGCAGCATTATAAAGTTTGCTGTTTATTCAGATAAATTGTTTCACTCTGTTTTAATAGTATGCCTCCATTATGTTAACACATATTAATAGTCTTTGTCACAGAGACAAAACTGTGCTTTTAAGCCAGCCAGTGTACTCACCTTCTGGGGAGTACACTCTCCATAAAAATGAGCATTCCAATGGTTATTGCCATGAAAACTCTCTCTTAACTCCCTTGAATTCCCCTGCCGTCACATTTTGCATTTTGTCCCAGCCTTCATGAGAATATTCTTCCATTTCTGGCCACCTGAATTGGGCAGACTCTGTTTTGTCAGGCAGCTCCTCTCTCCTATACACCATGCACTTAAAATCTGTTTTTTTTCCATAGTAGGTTATTCTGGAAAACCACCTTGTTCACTCCAACCCCAGCCTCTGGGATGCTTCCACCTGTATCAGAAGACTTTGTTGGCATCCCTTTGTCCTTGCTCAGTTCCACATGATAAGCATCATTTAGCTCCCTTTTCTACTAGTTCACCAGATAACTAGATCTCATCCATTTAATTTGCATTGTAGCAGATGTCTGCTAGAAGTGAATTTAAAATAAAAGGTAGTAGCATTATGTCTCTGATGTCAAGATCTAAAATCATCAAACCCATGACTGTCTGTCTAGCACAGCCCCTGCTAACTCTGTTCTTATCTCCACCCTCAGAGAGAGAGAGATACTCAGAAATTAATTCAGGAAAATATTCACTCAATAATTTCCAGGCTCTAGTTCCAATTTCTTTGTATTTTACACATCTGCTGAACTGACCTAGAACAAATGTGACCCACTAACATGTTGTTTGTCTAGATTGGTGACTGGCCTAAATGTTCTCTTCAGCATCACCCTGTTTCTTCTTGGCCTTCCAACTTGAGAGGAAGAGTTCCTGTAGACTTCTGGACTCTAACTTCACAGACCAAAAGAATTAAACATTATCAAAAGAGAGAGAACCACCTTTAGTTCAATTTACAATCTCTTTAATCTTCTCCATTTCTTCCATTTTGTTCTTAAAGCTTATAGGAACATCTCCTCTTCCTTGAAGGAGAAATGAGGTGTGATGGGTGTGTGTGTGTGTGTGTGTGTGTGTGTGTGTGTGCGCGCATTGGGTGGGGGGGGGTCTCCCTTGAGGTTAGAATGTGCTGCCAACAATAGCCCCAGGGGATAACTGATGAAAAGAGATCTGGATAGTGAAGGTGTGGGGAAATCAGCCATTCTCAAGTGTGGCAGGCTAAAGGACAAATCGGTAAAGCCATGCCTTAGGATAATCTGTTCATATTTATCAATCAACTTAAAATACATATATTTTCTTCTTTAAGAAACAATAAGAAATGTAGAAAAGGATTTGTGCACAATGATCTGAATCTCAGCATCCTTTATTCCAATAAAAAAATCTCAGGTATTTCTTAGGTGTGTAATGAAATATCCAGACAAGATTCTGTTCTTCAGGAATAGAATTTTTAATGATGAGGAAATGATTATGCTAAGTGAAAAGGATAGATATAAAATTATGCAAATATAATACCACTTCTACCAAAAGTGAAATATTGAAAAAGGTAGCACAGAGATGTTAATTGGGTTTTGGGTGATTTTTTTCCTTTTTCTTTATATTTTCTGTATTTGAAACACACACACACACACACACACACATACACACACACACACACCCCTCCCATACAATAACCACTAGGACAAAAGGAAAAATAAAACATCAGGTTGATTAGACTTACCAAGGCAAACTTTCAGTTTCAAGCTCCCTGCAAACAGTGGAAGTCAACCCTGACATACTAAAACAAAAGGATTTATTGGAAAAATACTTGGGGCTTCTAGAATGGTGAGAAGCCTGAGGATAAGGCTGGAGAAAGACAAGTAGGCCACATTGAACATTTGTGGGGCCAGGATAAGAGTACAAGGGGTGGCTCATATACTATATGTTTAAATATTTATGAGTTATAAATCAAACTAATAAGCTATTAAATAAAAAATGTTCTATCCTTTACCCTTGCCAAATATGTATTCATAACAACAGAAAAGATGTGCTAAGCAACAGTTACTTCCAAATAACTGTGACTAGCATGCACATTTGCCCTGGGGCTATGCAGACACAGCAAAGGAATAAAGAGAGAGGAAAAAGAAGAATTCTCTCTGGCTCGCTGGATGCTTTCTTAGTCTCTTGATGGCTCAGGAAATCCATAAAAGAAGCTCCCCATTTTTATCTCTGTTGGAGGTATTCTGGGAGGCTCTTCATTCTTATGTTCAGCTGCTCACCCACCAATCACCCCTTTTCCTCCCATTCTGAGCACTTATTTCATAAGCCACAAACTTTCTCTTTATCCTTCATAGTCCAAATTATGCAACCTCTGTTCACAGAGTGCCCTGACCCCCACCTCAGCCCCTGCTGGCATTACGCTTTCATACTTTGCAAAGGAACCTCTACCCTCCCCTTTTCTCACCACTCGTGGCCCCAGGAAGGGCCTAGCCAGACCAAATATGGACACCCCAGACCAAGTTTTAGCCACACTCTCCTGCCTGCTTGCAATGAGCCACACTTTGGCCAACCCTAGGTCCTAGGAGTTTGCACACCTAGGGCAGGGTGGTCTACCCTCAGGATTATAAATATGGTGACCCACTGAATGTAGGCTGGGACCAGTTGGGCAGATAATTCTAGGGCCCTCAGTATCCAGAATAGGATGAGGGGCCTCAGGGTAAGCACATCTCCTTGGACCTGTTAGAACAAGAAACGAAGTCCTGGAGGACCAAGAATAGCCAGAAAAGCCTATTCAGGAAAGGTCTGCCATTGTTGCTGCTGCCTCTGCTGCTGGTAGTAGTTCAAGATTCAAGATTCAAGGTCCAGGGAGAAGCCCTCTGACTGGCCATACTTGGGTCTCCTGACTGCCCCTAGAGGACCAGATAGCAGTTAGAAGCAATATCATGCTACCATAGTTGAGAGGGAGAGGGGAAACTGGAAATTCTTATGCCAAGACAAGATGCAATGGAAGAGGAATTCTCCAAATGAATATGAGAATGTTAGGAGGGAGACGGGACACTATGGAATCACCTGGAAGGAAGCAAGGCCATTTATCTGTAAAATAACTTACCTGTGCAAGACAGAGATACAGGCACTACCTTTCTCTGAGAAGACTAATTCAGTAACAGTATAGAGGAGTAAAGTAGAGATGGGAAGATGAGTTAAGAACTCTCTCTACCTTGGTGTGAACATTAGTGGCCACCTCTGAGACAAGTAGTCATTTAAGATAATGTCCTCAGATTGCGCTGAGTGTGCTTGAACTCCAGGTAATTCCTTCCAAGCTCTGTGGGTTACAGAGTGACTGCTCCTGCCCACCCGGGTAGGGGGTATGTGATGCTGAGTGAGGCAGGTAGCTCTCTGTTTGCCCCCACCATGAAATGCATTTGAAGACACAGAGGCAGACATACAGTCTTGTGTCTGGAAGAATGGCCCCTGGGTTGAGGTAACCACATTGAGCCCACTATGTCTCAGAACACTTCTCTGTGAGAGATTAAATGGCTCCCTCATGGAATATTTATGTCACATGCACACAGAATGTGAAGGGACCTAGTAACACACATAAAAAGTAAAAGAATTTATGATCTCAAAATATAAATGTGAATAAATGCAGAAAGCAGGCTGGGGGAAGAACCCCTTGTTTCATACCTCAACTTGTGAGTTTAATGCCTAGATCATGGTTAAGTGCTTTTGAAAATTGTAAAGATGATCTCTGGGATTTGTGATTACAAATTGTCTCCCACATGACCCATTATTTCAGAAGCTCTAATTCAAGTGTACAAACGCCTGTGTTTCTAGGCTGAATGATTCATGGGATTGGCTATATATTTTCTCTTTCGAAGGTTAAAGCAATGGTGATGTCTTGTACCTTATTAATTTCCTCTGTTCTCTTATTTTCTCTTTGTCTTTCCATGCAAGGCTTCTCTCTCTCCTCTGCCCTCCAGCTGTGCTCTTGCTTTAAAGTAGCCATCTCTCAGATGTTGCCATTTCTGTCAGTGGGGCAATCATGGTTCTTTTTGTTCAGAATTAATACCTGGATGACATCATCTACCCGCCCTCTTTCCTCATATCTAGTCTTTCATAATTTCTGTCCTCCCTGTCTATGTTGCCTGCATGGCAACTCACATATGCCTACCATCCCTTCATTCATTCCCATGGTCACCATCCAGTTTCTATGCTTTCCCCCCTTACATCTATATTATGTCCAATGTCTCTTTTTAAAATTTTTTCTCCTTTCACTCACTCTTACATACTGTTATAAGATTAGTATATTGTTGCATAAAAAATGATAAAGTGGGGGCCGGGTGCAGTGGCTCATGCCTGTAATCCCAGCACTTTGGGAGGCCGAGGCGGGCGGATCACGAGGTCAAGAGGTCGAGACCATCCTGGCTAACACGGTGAAACCCGTCTCTACTAAAAAAACAAAAATTTAGCCGGGCGTGGTGGCAGGTTTCTGTAGTCCCAGCTACTTGAGAGGTTGAGGCAGGAGAATGGCGTGAACCTGGGAGGCAGAGTTTGCAGTGAGCCGAGATCGCTCCACTGCACTCCAGCCTGGGTGACAGAGAGAGACTCTGTCTCAAAAACAAAACAAAACAAAACAAAACAAAACAAAACAAATGATAAAGGGGATATCTCCACTGATTCCACAGAAATACAAACTACCACCAGAGAATACTATAAACACCTCTACACAAATAAGCTAGAAAATCTAGAAGAAATGGATAAATTCCTGGACACATACACTCTCCCAATACTAAAGCAGGAAGAAGTTGAATCCCTGACTAGACAAATAATAAGTGCTGAAATTGAGGCAGTAATTAATAACCTAACAACCAAAAAAAGCCCAGGACCAGATGGATTCATAGGCGAATTCTACCAGAAATACAAAGAGTAGTTGGTACCATTCCTTCTGAAACTATTCAAAACCATAGAAAAAGAAGGACTCCTTTCTAACTCATCTTATGAGGCCAGTATCATCCTGATAACAAAACCTGGCAGAGGCACAACAAAAAAAGAAAATTTCAGGCCAATATCCCTGATGAACATCAATGCGAAAATCCTTAATAAAACCCTGGCAAACCAAATCCAGCAGCACATCAAAAAGCTTATCCCCCACGATCAAGTCAGCTTCATCCCTGGGATGCAAGGCTGGTTCAGCATACACAAAGCAATAAACAATCCATCACATAAACACAACTAATGACAAAAGCCGCATGGTTATCTCAATAGATGCAGAAAAGCCTCCGATAAAATTCAACACCGCTTCATGCTAAAGACACTCAATAAACTAGGTATTGATGGAATACATCTCAAAATAGTAAGAGCTATTTATGACAAACTCACAGTCAATATCATACTGAATGGGCAAAAGCTGGAAGCATTCCCTTTGAAAACCACCACAAGACAAGGATGCCCTCTGTCACCACTTCTATTCAACATAGTATTGGAAGTTCTGGCCAGGGAAATCAGGCAAGAGAAAGAAATACAGGGTATTCAGATAGGAAGAGAGGAAGTAAAATGACATCTGTTTGCAGATGACATGATTGTCTATTTAGAAAACCCCATCGTCTCAGGCCCAAATCTCCTTAAGCTGATAAGCAACTTCAGCAAAGTCTCAAGATACAAAATCAACGTGCAAAAATCACAAGCATTCCTATACACCAATAACAGACAAACAGAGAGCCAAATCATGAGTGAACTCCCATTCACAATTGCTACAAAGAATAAAATACCTAGAGTATAACTTACAAGGGATGTGAAGGACCTGTTCAAGGAGAACTACAATACATTGGTCAAGAAAATAAGAGAGGACACAAACAAATGGAAAAACATTCCATGCTCATGGATAGGAAGAATCAATAACGTGAAAATGGCCCTACTGCCTAAAGTAATTTATAGATTCAATGCTATTCCCATCAAGCTACCACTGATTTTCTTCACAGAATTAGAAAAAAGTACTTTAAATGTCATAAGAAACCAAAACAGAGCCTGTATAGCCAAGACAATCCTAAGCAAAAAGAACAAAGCTGGAGGCATCATGCTACCTGACTTCAAAGCATACCAAAAGGCTACAGTAACCAAAACAGCATGTTACTGGTACCAAAATAGATATATAGACCATGGAACAGAACACAGTCCCCAGAAATAACAACACACACCTACAACCATCTGATCTTTGACAAACCTGACAAAAACAAGCAATGGGGAAACGATTCCCTATTTAATAAATGGTGTTGGGGAAACTGGCTACCCATATGCAGAAAACTGAAACTGGACCCCTTCCTTACACCTTATGCAAAAATTAACTCAAGATGGATTAAAGACCTAAATGTAAGACCTAAAACCATAAAAATGCTAGAAGAAAACCTAGGCAATACCATTCAGGAAATAGGCATGGGCAAAGACTTCATGACTAAAACACCAAAAGGAATGGCAACAAAAGCCAAAATTGACAAATGGGATCTAATTAAAGTAAAGAGCTTCTGCACAGCAAAAGAAACTATCATTAGAGTGAACAGGAAACCTACAGAATGGGAGAAAATTTTTGCAATCTATCCATCTGACAAAGAGCTAATATCTTGTAGATATTAAGAATCTACAAGAAACTTAAACAAATTTACAAGAAAAAAAACAACCCCATCAAAAAATTGGTGAAGGATATGAACAGACACTTCTCAAAAGAAGACATTTATGAAGCCAACAAACATATGAAAAAAAGCTCATCATCACTGGTCATTAAAGAAATACAAATGAAAACCACAATGAGATACCATCTCATGCCAGTTAGAATGGAGATCATAAAAAAGTCAGGAAGCAACAGATAGTGGAGAGGATGTGGAGAATTAGGAACGCTTTTACACTGTTGGGAGTGTAAATTAGTTCAACCACTGTGGAAGACAGTGTGGCGATTCCTCAAGGATCTAGAACCAGAAATACCATTTGACCCAGCAATCCCATTAGTGGGTATATACCCAAAGGATTATAAATCATTCTACTATAAAGACACATGCACACGTATTTTTATTGTAGCACTATTTACAATAGCAAAAACTTGGGACCAATGCAAATGCCCATCAATGATAGACTGGATAAAGAAAATGTGGCTCATATACACCATGGAATACTATGCAGCCACAAAAAAGAATGAGTTCATGCCCTTTGCAGGGACATGAATAAGTCTGGAAACCATCATCCTCAGCAAACTAACACAGGAACAGAAAACCAAACACCTCATGTTCTCACTCATAAGTGGGAGTTGAACAATGAGAACACATGGACACAGGGAGGGGATCATCGCACACCAGGGGCCTGTCAGTGGGTAGGGGGCAAGGGGAGGGATAGTATTAGGAGAAATATCTAATGTAGATGATGGGTTTATGGGTGGAGCAAACCATTATGGCACATGTATACCTATGTAACAAATCTGTACGTTCTGCCCATGTATCCCAGAACTTAAGGTATCATAATAATAAAATACAGAAACAAGCTATCTGTGAAAATGCTTTGTGATGTGTGGATTCATCTCACAGAATGGAACCTGTGTTTCATTTCACCAGGTTGGAAACACCACTCTTTTTTAAGAATTTATGAAGAGACATTTCCGAACCCATTGAAGCCTATAGTAAAAAAAAAAAAAAAAAAAAAAAAAAAAGATTACTATCAGCAAACTAACACAGGAACAGAAAACCAAACACCTCATGTTCTCACTTATAAGTGTGAGTTAAACAATGAGAACACATAGACACAGGGAGGGGATCATCACACACCGGGGGCCTGTCAGTGGGTAGGGGGCAAGGGGAGGGATAGCATTAGGAGAAATACCTAATATAGATGATGGGTTGATGGGTGCAGCAAACCATTATGGCACATGTATACCTATGTAACAAATCTGTACATTCTGCACATTTATCCCAGAAATTAAGGTATCATAATAATAAAATAAAGAAACAAGCTATCTGTGAAAATGCTTTGGGAAAGACTCTTTTTGAAGAATTTATGAAGAGACATTTCTGAAACCATTGAAGCCTATAGTAAAAAAAAAAAAAAAGATTCCTGTATTGTTGCTAAACACTATTTTAAAACTTATGAAATTTCCCAGTATGAAATATAAATTTCAAATTCCCTAACTTAGCATTAAAGGCTCACTCCATTGGTACCTACATTTTCTCTACCTCACCCCCCTCATCTCTGTACTGTTCCACAAAGAATTCTTGACCAGCTCAAGAGCATTCTCACCTGTGGCAATCTCTGCTTCTTGTATTCCAACTGCCTGGAATTCCTTTTCTTTGCTTCTACTCTTGCCAAACACTGTTTATCTTACAAAGCTCATCAGAAATCTTACCTTGACTTTGGAACCTTTTCTGACTGCCTAATATATAATATTGTCCTCTCCTTTAATAAACTCTCTACCATTCTCTAATGTAATGCTGACTGTGACGTTATTTTTCTGTTGGTAGAGATGTTCTGTTCCTTCAGTTAGGTTGTATATTCCTGAGTTTATAACCATTCTCTTAGGAGTTGAAGCTCTGACAATTAATGAAAATAATAATGGCAACATTCACTGGGTGCTAACTATATGCTGGAAACTGTGTTAAGAATTTTATGTGTGTGATCTCACTTGAGTCTTTGTCACGACTGAATGAAGTAGGCACTGCTATTATTTCCTCTTTACAGATAAGGAAATTGAAGCTAAGAGAAAGTAACTTACCTGGGGTCACAAAACTAGAAAGTTGTAAGACCAGCATTTGAACCTTTGTCTATCTAGCAACAGATTCTAAACTCCTAAACTTGTTCTTACAAGCTCAGTTTTTCACTCAGTGCACTTCATCCAAAGGGTTTTTGAGTGCCAACTAAATGCAAAGCATTGTACTAGTAACTGATTCATTGATTCATTGATATGATAACTAAAAATTAACAAAGGCAGCTCAAACTAGCTTACCTGAAATGGGCTACTTCCTGTGGAGGCACAGAACATTCTCAGGGAACCCAAGTACAGCCAACCATCGTGAAGGCCCATGTGATGGGTTAAGGATGGCTACACATTTCTTTCAACTCTTTTCATTGAGAGGGCAAACCTAGCTCCCCTTCCCTTGCATCTGAACTGAACTTAGTGAGTTGCTTCATTAGTCATGTGGCAGAAGAGAATGCAGTGCATTTCCAGTCCTGACCTTCCAGGACTGGCACCTTCCATTTTCCCTCTTTTAGAATTCTTTCAAGGTGAATTCTGAACAACTTTGAAAGAAGCCTGGCTACTCCAAGACTGTCATAATACAGAGGCCACACATAGATGGTCAGGCTGACATTCTCGTTTGAATCTTCCTGCCAACTCCACCAACGCACCAGACATGAGAGTGAAGCCATCTTGGGTGCTCCAGACCAGCCAGTCCACAAGCTAAGTACCACTGAGTAACCTCAGCCAATAACACATGAAGCAAGAGAACCACCCAACCAAGCTCTGCCCTAATTCCTAATCCACAAAATCATAAGATATAATAAAATGTTTGTTGTTTAAGGCACTAATTTTTAAGATAATATGCTGCACAGCAAACTGGTAATCAGAACCTCCTAGAATCAAGGACTGTTAACCAGAGACTATTCTGTTTGGCTTTGTGAGCCTATAGAGTTTTCCATTGCCTTTCTTTTTTACAGGCCTCTGTCATTTTCTTTCTCCCTGAGGGCTAACTTCCTCTATTTTTCTGTGCTTATAGCAAGAATTGGTCATAGCACAGCTCCCTGGTTTATATATCCTTTTAGATCAAGAGATGATAAAAAGTGAATAGTATCTCTTGTTTCAATGCTAAATTTCAGTGAGAGGTATTTTGTATTGGGCTCAGCTTGAGACAGTTTTCAACCTCTGCTTGATAAGCATTAGCCAAGGAGAAAGGGTCATATAATATTAATATGGCTTCCAGCAGCCACAACTGTGTATGTGTAGGAAGAGGGAATGAAGAAGGTCCCAAAAAAGTACTCAGCTACACTTCACATAAGGGCCTGCCCTCCTTGTTTCCTCAACCTCAAATGACTCTGCCTCTAGACTGTGGAGTGTATCAGCTTCCTAGAGTGTCTCACATGCTTATTAGCACAGTATTGATCCCTTGAGTGGCCTCCATTAGTCAGTGTCTTCCAGGAGTTCTTTGAAAAGCACAGGAAATTGGTAACCAAGCACGGTCAGCATCTTTCCTCTCCTTCCCTTGGTTAAACATTCTCCTCACAAGAGTTTTAGATTGGGGACCATTTTGATGTGTTATAAATACTCATTTACTTTATATATTTCTTTAAACAAACTCCTCTGTCTAAAACATGTATGGGTTTATTTAAAAAGTAATGATCACTACTACAGATGGAAGTTCAATGTTATCTGCCATAAATAAAGCGAAACTGTAAAAATAAGCACAGTGAAAACAATTCATACCATTTATTGCTGGACTTTATTGCCTGCTGAAGGCTGGGAAGCTGAGATATATTTCCTTATTAGATAAGATTAACAAATATTATAAAGGAGTTAAAGATCTACTATCACCAAACTCTGAGACTCTCTCATTCAGGTGATCAGAAGGAATTGAAGAGAATACAAGAGAGAATACGTGTGTCACTATGCTATTTCATACTACAGGTTCATTCATCGAAGATAATCATGTGTGCACCTAGCATGAAAATATCTGTGTCAGCCAGGTGCGGTGGCTCATGCCTGTAATCCCAGCACTTTGGGAGGCTGAGGCGGGCAGATCATGACATCAGGAGATCGAGACCATCCTGGCCAACATGGTGAAACCCCGTCTCTACTAAAAATACAAAAATTAGCCAGGCGTGGTGGTGGGTGCCTATAGTCCCAGCCACTCAGGAGGCTGAGGCAGGAGAATAGCTTGAACCCAGGAGGCAGAGGTTTCAGTGAGCCAAGATCGCACCACTGCACTCCAGCCTGGCGACAGAGCAAGACTCTGTCTCAAAAACAAAAAACAAAAAACAAAAACAAACAAACAAAAAAACATATGTCACTATGTTATTTCATACCACAAGTTTATTGATCAAAAATAATCATGTATGCACCTAACATGCACATCCTACATTTTAGGAAACGTTTGCTGTTCCAGAGAGAGCCTCTTCTTGAGTTAGACTGTCTGGGTTTGAATTCCTGCTCTACCCATTTACTAGCCTATGTGATCTTGGAAAATTACTTTTTCTCTCTGAAGCATGGTGTTCTAAAATAAGAACTAATAACAGAATAAACAGAATCTATCTCAGAGGGTTGTCATTAAGATTAAATGAGATAGCCCATGTAAACCACTTAGGGGAGAATCAGTTTTTAGCTCAATAGGTATTACTTTTAATACGCACTATCCATCATGGCATGCTATACCATAGCCACTGGATGTAAGGAAAAGAGAACAAGATGCTTCACTCATTCTGAAACACTTCACTGTCAATTTCAAACATTTGTACCTGTATATAAGCATATATGCACCCTTATATAAATGTCAGTGGTATTATATGCCAACAATTTTCAATTCTGGTTATTCAAAAGAATTATCCAAAGAGTTGTGAGAAGAAATGCTGATTTTCCAGTTTCTCTTAGATATCATGAGCAAAAAAATTCCTCGTATGAGACCCAAACATGCAGTCTTTCAAAATGTTTCCTGGGTGATTTTGATATCCACCTGCATTTATTGGTTTCTTAGGGATACCACAACAAATTACAACAATCGGGGGGCTTAAAACAAATTTACTCTGTCACAGCTCCAGAGGCTAGAAGTTCAAAATCAAGGTGTCAGCAGTGCGGTGCTCTCTCTGAAGGCTCTACGGGAGGATCCTTTCTTGCATCTTCCCAGCTTCTGACGGTTGTCAGCAATGCTTGGTTTCTTGGCTTGTGAATACAGAGCTCCAATCTTTTCCCTGTGCTGTTCTCCCTGTGTGTCCATGTACAAATTTCCCTCTTCCAAGGACACCAGTTTCTGGATTAGGGTCCATAATCTAGTATGACCTCATCTTGACTTTACTACCTCTATAAAGACCCTATTTCCAAATGAGGTCACATTCACCAATATTGAGAATTAGGACTTCCACATACCATTTTGGGGGACACAATTCAATCCATAACACCAGAGATGGTTAAGAACCACTACTTTAGACTTTTTTTCTGTCTAATAAGAATAGCAATGATAGTTATCATTTATTAAGCACTTACAAAAATCACCTGCTGACTTTATATGATGATAAAGGTATAATTTTCCCCCATCCTCATTTTATAAGTGAGAAAACTGAGCTATGAGTTTCACAACTTGCTAGTTAAAAATAAAGCCAAGATGGATCTCAGGACTTTAGATTTTATTATTTTTTTAGGGAGACCCACAAAGACTATGGAACTTTCAGATGTCCATGTTATACCTTGGTAAGCTATCTCTGGGCTGATAAAGACAAGACCGGAATCTTATAGTTAGAGAGAATACTCCTCCAATATTTCAGCAGATGAGGAAATGAGGTGGAACCTGACTGGAAGACTGGTTTCCCCGATTTCTGCCAGTAAGTCACTTCTTCCCTGGGGCCAGAGGCATACCTGGACAGCAGGTGTTAGTGGATCCATATCTCAGTTTCAACAAAAGCAGTTCTTTTTTTTTTTTTTTAAGTTCTGGGATACATGTGCCATGTATAGACATACGGTATACATGTGTCATGGTGATTTGCTGCACCTATCAACCCTTCATCTAGGTTTTAAGCCTCGCATGCATTAGATATTTGTTCTAATGCTCTCTCTCCCCTTGCCCCCTACCCCGACAGGCCCCAGAGAGTGATGTTCCCCTCCCTGTGTCCATATGTTCTTATTGTTCACCTCCCACTTACGAGTGAGAACATGCGATGTTGGTTTTCTTTTCCTGTGTTAGTTTGCTGAGAATGATGGTTGCCAGCTTCATCCATGTCCCTGCAAAGGACATGAATTCATTCTTTTTTATGGCTGCATAGTATTCCATGGTGTATATGTGCCACATTTTCTTTATCCAGTCTATCATTCATGGGCATTTGGGTTGGTTCCAAGTCTTTGCTACAATCACTTGTAGATGGTGTTCTGTCTGTGACTGCAGAACAGAGTAATAATAACATGTATACAAAAGTTTAATGATAAAATCCACATGACTTGGCCGTGTTCAGAACAGTTATTCTAGCCTGGCGGGGTACATCTGGAATGAGCTATTTGGCTAGGGAATATGTCAGTTGCTGTGAGCATTTCAGGCACATTGGACTTCCCAGAGAGATGGTAAGGATTTCCCACTTCTGATAATGGTGACAGAGACATTACATCTGGGGGAGGGCATACGGGAAACTCTTAGTAAATAGACTGACATAATTAGCAGTAGTTCATTAGGCCCAGCTGTTGATGCCTAGTCTCTCTCTCCCCAAGCTCCAGGATTATCCATTCTCACTCCCAGACAGTCACCCAATTTAGGTTGACTTCTTTATGCAGAAATTTCTAATCACACTTTTGAGAACTGACTGCTCAAATCTAAGCATGAAGTGCTCAGGAATAATACAACTCCATCTTCAGTGCCACACATTCTCTGTACTATTCCTCTAATTTCTTGGGAAAACACAACTTTTTTCACTGTGAATTTGCAGCCCACATGACAATCTCTGGGAAAGCATAAAGGTTTGCATTAGTTTATCTGCCAATATCTCATTAACAATGGGCTTATGGTACCTGAAATAGATCTTAAGCTGGGCAAATCAAGACAACTGAAGAACTTTCTACTCTAGTCTTCTTACTCCCTTTATCCTCAAAGGGTATTACGTTAGCAGGAATCAAAGAGGGTCTCCTGCTGTTGGCAAAACTCTGGGAGGTAGAAAGAAAAGAAATGGCAAGCCCAAGACCAATCTCCCTGCTCAGAGGAGAATAAAAAGGGTCTAATTTCCAGCAGGGATATTACAATATTCTTACCAAATGTTTGAGTTAGTGAAGAGCAAGGGCCACAACTTATTTAGCTTGTATCTTTTAACATTAGTGTATGGCAGACACTCAATATTGAAACTTTATTTGCAGAGTATCTCTCTTGGGAGATTATAATTGGGCCTGTGATTCAAGCCAATTAATTGGTCTCTGGGAAGTATTGGTTAGAGCTGTGGAACTGCCTAAAATACACATTTACTTAGCCTCACTGGATACTGAGGATTCTTTAACGCTCAGAGCCTTTCCAGTTTCTTTTATGATTCTCCTAATGAAGCATCTGTTTGTAGTAAACTCAGAAACATTTCACAATGCATTAACATATATTGGCTCATTTTTTTTAAATAGCACATTATTTATAAGTGTAGCAACACTTAATGTACATATTAATATTTTTTCTAAGTTGACAAATAAATTGAAAATAATTTCTAAACACTTCCTAATTCCTTATAAACCAAGTTCATTAAATTTTTTTGATCTTTTGCCTTTTTCTGTTTTCTTTTCAGTTGTATGCTTAACCTTTCCAGCTTGTTTTTCTCCTAGTCCAGTGGGAAAGTGAGGGGGTAGGTGGAAGAAATTATAAGCACAAAACATTCTTTTGTACACAACTAAAGTGTTTTTGTTTCCTTGCCAGGTTCTTCGGTAGAGACTATCTCTGACACTAAGAATTTATGTCAGCTTTGCTATCAACTTGACTGAGTTATGAAAGTGTTGACACTTTTTCTTTCTCTTTCGGTCTATTAAATATATTGTTTTGAGTCTCTATTCCCTAATCCATAATGGTCCACGGATGGGCAGCATCAACATCACCTGGGAGCTTGTTAGAAACTTAGAATGCCAGGCCCTACTCAAGACCTATTGGATAAGAGTCTACACTTTAACAAGATTGAAAGCGATTTGTATGAGGATTAAGGTTTGGAAAGCACTATTCTAATCCACTGGTTCTCAAATTTGACTGCAGTCTGGAATCATCTGAGATATTTTCAAAAATATCAATATTAGGTTTCACTGTCAGAACTCTGATTAAGTTGGCATGGACATTGAGTTTTTTTTTTTTTTTTTAATTCCCCAGGTGATTTGTTGTTGTTGTTGTTGTTGTTTTTATTTTTTGAGACGGAGTCTCGCTCTGTCACCCAGGCTGGAGTGCAGTGGCCAGATCTTGGTTCACTGCAAGCTCCGCCTCCCAGGTTCACGCCATTCTCCTGCCTGAGCCTCCCAAGTAGCTGGGACTATAGGCGCCTACCACCATGCCCGGCTAATATTTTTGTATTTTCAGTTGAGATGGGGTTTCACCGTGTTAGCCAGGATGGTCTCGATCTCCTGACTTCATGATCCGCGCACCTCGGCCTCCCAAAGTGCTGGGATTACAGGCATGAGCCACTGCTCTCGGCCTCCCCAGCTGATTTTTATGTGAAGCAAAGTTTGAGAACTACCACTGTCACACATATGTTACATTTACAGATATACATGGATAGATCTCTGTAAATAAACTGTAAGTGATGTGCCTATGTTCTTTTATCAGTAAAACTGTGATATCAGCAGGTAGATGATTAATATACCCATTTCACAAATGGACACAATAAAATTTAGAGAGGACAAGTTACATAGAAGAGGTAATTATGATCAAGTTTACCCTACAACATTGCTCTTATTTTTTATTTTTATTTATTTTATTTTATTATTATTATTTTTGAGATGGAGTTTTGCTCTTGTCGCCCAGGCTGGAGTGCAGTGGTGCGATCTCAGCTCATTGCAACCTCTGCCTTCCTGGTTCAAGCGATTCCCCTGCCTCAGCCTCCCGAGTAGCTGGGATTACAAGCGCCTGCCACCACGCCTGGCTAATTTTTGTATTTTTAGTAGAGATGGGGTTTCGCCATGTTGGCCAGGCTGGTCTCTAACTCCTGACCTCAGGAGATCCACTCACCTCAGCCTCCCAAAGCGCTGGGATTACAGGCATGAGCCACCGCGCCCAGCCAACGTTGTTCTTCTGCCGATGTTTTTTCTATGCTGCCACATTGCCTCTTTCATTAGTAAGGCATAAATTACTATATTCAAAACTTAGACTATATCTATTGCATGCATGCTTTTTTAAACCCTATCACCCAAAGCATGTTTTATTAAAACAACTTTTTTTTAATATAGGCTATTCTAGAAGTCTTGTTAAATTAGAATAAGAGAAATACCAATATAATCTCATTATTACTTATGCACTTTATATATTCGTTCTTTTAAAAAATAAAGATCATCTGGGGAGCTGGCAGAGTTCTTGACCTAGGTAGTGATTACATGAATGTTTGCTTGATAGTAAACCATTGAGCTGTACATTTTGTTTTGTGCATATTTATGAATGTTTTACATTTTGTAATTAAAAATCAAGCAGTGTGTGTGTGTGTATAAATATATTTAATGCTTGTATGACAAAATATAGAAAAGAAAGTTCTAACAGTAGTTGCTTTCCTCTGAGGAGAAAGACTATGAAGTGGTAGGAAAGCTAGGGCTTATTCTTTTTTCTTATGTTTTTCATAAATAAATAACAATTTTACAAATTAAAAAAAAAGGTCAAGGTGATTGAAGCACCTTGGTCAAAAGCCACTAGAAATACCAGGCAAAAATGTTATTTGTTTAGCTTTCTGCAGCAGGGGAGAACACCTTTTACAGCAACCATGGGAACATCTTATTAAAAGGGTAGAAGGTTAGTACAGGCTTCTCATAGGATTTCTATTTGAACTGGTTAATTTACAGGTGAGATTAAGGAAGCAGGGGCTCCTTCTCCATTGGAGGCTCTTCAAAAAACAGGAGTAGTTTAGTGACTGGGTATCTTAATGCATTTTATCCAGAAGGCAGGAAAATCACAGGGGCCTAGAGTTATCACTGGTAAAGAAGCACCAATCACTGATGTCAGTCAAAGGAGGCAGAATGTAGTTATTGGTGGCTGCAGATTGTGGCCTCACGTCTGCCTTGCTCCAAACATGGTCATAATACCTTATCTTCTCTGAGCCTTATTCATATTCTGTGAAATCTCACAGTCTGGATGCAAAAAGCCCCTCTTTTTTTTTTTTTTTCACATTTTCAAAGCATTCCTTTGAGTGTTTTTTTTGTTTGTTTGTTTTGTTTTTTTTTTTTTTTTTGAGACAGAGTTTCACTCTTGTTACCCAGGCTGGAGTACAATGGCACGATCTTGGCTCACCGCAACCTCTGCCTACTGGGTTCAAACGACTCTCCTGCCTCAGCTTCCCGTGTAGCTGGGATTACAGGCATGTGCCACCAAGCCTTGCTAATTTTAGTAGAGACGGTGTTTGTCCATGTTGGTCAGGCTGGTCTTGATCTCCCGACCTCAGGTGATCTGCAGCCTCGGCCTCCCAAAGTGCTGGGATTACAGGCATGAGCTACCGTGCCCAGCCTTGAATGCTTTTAAGTTCCAATAACTGTAAGGATGGTTGAGAATTTGAAAATGAAAAAAAGAAGGAATATAAATGTCTGTATCTTGGTTATTACTGGTCCCTGAAAGTGAGCAAGATAGGGATTCCCTTTGGAAGTGGACTCTAAAATATTACACTATAGAATAACAGAACATCATTTATAACCCACTTGCTTTTAAAATAGGGTGAAGTTTTATAGCTGAGAGTTTTTTTAATTTTGATTAATTTTAAATCCTAGTATAAGTAAGATGTTAAGGGTAAAATAATAGAGTACATAACTATCAAAAGACTAAAAGGTAAAAATGGAGTTGGAAAACAAATATCTCAGTCAATCAAACAAAAAGACAGTAAAGGAGATAGAATAAAAAAGAATGAAAAAATCTAAAATGTAGAAAGTACAAAGTAAGAGGGTAGAAATCAGTTCAAATATGTTAGCAATCACAATTAAAATGGATTATGCTGCCAATTTTAAGACAGAGAGTCAGATAATAATTTTTTATATTAAATTATATAATGTTTAAAGAACACACATTTAAAACATAAGACCATGGGCAGTTTGAAACAAAAATGATGGAAGCAGGCATATCAGGCTAGAACTAAACAAAAGAAAACTGAGTTATGAGACAAATTGTCTTTTAAGATAAAGAGCTTGATTAGTAATATAAAAATTATTAGATGATGATGGTAGGTTCAATTTACCAAAAAAGATATAATAGTTATAAAACTGTATATATCTCATAAAATATCTCATATGTACACATACATGTATGTATCTATATGTGTGTATGGGGTGTGCATATAATAGAAATACATATACACATTCATCGATCCACCATTGTAGTGGAAGTTTTCAATACACCTTTTTAAATTTTAAGTCATATGAAAAATTAGTATGATTCAGAAATTTGAATATACACAATGGTTTCATCTTTATACAGATCAAAAAAAGAGGCAAAAATAACTATGGTAATAGATGTCAGAATATTAGTTATTTTGGGGAGCAGCTAGTGACTGGGAAGGAACATGGGGGAGTTCTGGGGTCCTGATTCTGTGCTGTACATGGATCTGGGTAATGGTTACATGGGGTAACACTTTTGCTACCACCACCACCACTACTAGCACTAGTTTCATTTTATAAAAGTTCAGCATGCTGCAAATTTATGGTTTGTACATTTTATGTATATACTTCAATAGCAAAGCAAGCAAAACCATATAAAATATTGTAAATGAATTCATATGTGCTGAAACTCTTTTTTTTTTTTCAAATGAGCAAGGTAAAAGTAAAACCAAAATTTGAAATAGAAGTTGTCTCTGCAGATCAGCAGAGAGGTTGGAATATGAGCTGGGAAGAGTGAAGGTACATCATTAGAACTGGTGATGTTCTAGTCCGGGTCGACAACTTTTTTTTTTTCCTGTGACAAGCCAGATAGTAAATATTTTTGTTTTGCAGGCTACAAGGTCTCTGTTGTAACACCTCATCTGTGCCATTGTCACATGAAAGCAGCCACTGACAATAAATAAATGAATGGGTATGACTGAGTTTCAATGAAACTTTATTTATAAAAACAGACAACGGACTGGATGTTGCTCATGGGTCACAGTTTGCTGATTATTGTTCTAATTCTGCACAGACAGTTCACAGTTTTCTCTGCATTTTTAAACTTTATAATGTATATCAACATTACTTATATGGTTTTGCACATTTCAGTAAATATTCACTCACCAAATTCATCTGGGCTGGTATGTGGGGTTCCAATGTGGCAATACTTTTAAGATGCATTTGATATTTTATATTTCAATTGTGTATTATATAATGATATTATATAGTTCTTTGGTACTTATTGCACAGATATGTTAGTGTCACTGCTTTTTTTTTAAACAAATTATGTAACCTCCTTCATGTAAAAAAGGTGATAAAGGTTTCTTCATGTAAAAAAAGGTGATAAAGGTTTCTTCATGTAAAAAAAGGTGATAAAGGTTTCTTCATGTAAAAAAGGTGATAAAAATAATGTCAATTTTTCATAAATGTTTGTGAAGAATAAGTGAAATAATGCAGATAAAGTGCATAGCACTGTATGTAGTTCATAGTAAGCTGCTACTGTGACTACTACGATTACGGCTGTTGCTACCTCTTGTGCTGCTGCTGCTACCCCTACTGTACCGTACCATGAACCTCTTGTGCCTCAGTGTCAATTGGTGTAAAATGAGAAAGATGGAAAAGATCAACTCAAGGGCTACTTCTAGTTCTGCATCACAAATAGTAGGAAATGAGTAAGACTGATTCATGTTTGCCCAGTTGAGGTAGCTTGATTTAATGAATAAATAAGAAGAATTGTTAATCATCCCTTGTGTGTAATTGAGTACTTCTAATGTTCTTGAGCATACTTGAGGACAGTTTCCTTCCTTAAGTAGTTCAAACACATGTACAGCATCATTCATTTACAGTAGATACCAGGAAAGTGTTTGCTGAACAATGTGTAACAGCAGGTTCACCATCAAAATGCTCACAAATCCCAAATGAGTTATGACTTTACCGTAGAGAAAGATACTTAAAAGAAGTCAGGAGAGAAAAAAAAAATAGGGCATAGGGATAAATGAGGCCATTCAACCAAGAATTTATTGTGGCTAAAAAGTACAGCAGTTAAATATACTGGCCCTGAATTCTGGTAGACTGGGAGTCCATCCTGATTCTACTACTTCCTAGCTAGGTTACTGATGGGGTTGCTTCAAGCTAAAGCCTCAGTTTTCTCATCTGTCAAATGGAAGTGATGATAAAATTACATGTTAATGTCTGAATACATATCAATTACTTGGCTTCATGAATCTATGTAGTAAATGTTCAACAAAGGGCCCTTTCTATCACTAAATGCCTAAGACTGAGTGCTCCTTTGAAACATGGAAATTTAAAGTCTGGACAAGCTTTAAAATTTGCAATGCTTTGAAAGAGTCCCCTTTTCCTCACAAGAAATTGAGAATGGAAGAAGCTGCCAATCATTTGCACTTGCTTGGCACCAGAAATTGGTCTAGGGATTTTGTGTACATTATTTCATGTAATCCTCTTAAAACCCCACTTAAGTGAACATTGGTATCTCTCTTCCTTTTTAAAAGAAAATATGTTGATGTTGAGAGAGAATGGATAACTCATTCTGGGTCATACAGCTAGGAGTTTAAACAAGGTCTCTCCGACTCCAAACCCAGTACTGTCTTCAGCTCACTAATTTGTCTCTTTTTCAACAAATTCTTTGTTTAGCTACAGTGTTTCAGTGGTTCACATTACACGTACATGATTTCACCTTGTATTAGTCCATTCTTGCGTTGCTATAAAGAACTATCCGAGACTGGTAATTTATAAAGAAAAGAGGTTTAATTAGCTCACAGTTTGGCAGGCTGTACACACAAGAAGCATGGCTGTGGAGGCCTTGGGAAAACTAGAATTATGGTGGAAGGCAAAGAAGCTGGCCCATTTTACATGGCTGGTGCAGGAGAAAGAGAGCAAAGGTGGAGGTGCTACACACTTTTAAACAACCAGGTCTTGTGAGAACTCACTCACTATCATGAGAACAGCGAGGGGGAAGTCCACCTGCATGATCCAATCACCTCCCACCAGGCCCCTCCTCCAACCCTGGGGATTACAATTCGATATGAGATTTGGGTGGGAACACAAATCCAAATGGTATATCACACCTATATAATTTGGGATTGGCTTCTGATCTGCTAGACTTTTTTTATACCAGGGCTCTGTGGTCACCACATTCCTTTGTTGGCTTAGAAGTTAGCTTTGGAGAGCAAGAAATCTGCCAACTTTTACTTCCTTTGTATGTGCAGACATCTCCTGGAGGAAATAGTTGCTCATGTATCTCCTAAGCATAGGTTTCCTACAGAGGGCTACAGAAAGATTCTGCATATGTGTTCTTCAAATTCTAGCCCCCTTCTCTCAAAGATAATTATGATCATGTTTTTATATAAACCTTTATAGAAACATTTTTTGATACTTCCCAAGAGCTATAATTACCTATTCCCAACTGAATAATTCAGTCAAATAACTCTACACTTAAGGATAATTTTTGTGTGAGGAAAAACTGAGAAACATTGGGAGGTATTTTGTCAAGTGTAGGACCTCGAGATTCTGGTACAAGAGTCCTAATCTGGGAAGGGGAGAGGCAGTATGGAACTCCTTGCCCCCAGCAAATGTCCGGACTTCCCGTGACATACTTGGCCTCAGCGTGTTTATTACTCTAGCTTAACAAATTTGAGAGGAAATTACACTTCCTTAGGTTTTGAATGCTGTGATGACATCCACTTATTGCATTCCTAAGCCTAAGTTGTCACTTTGACTGTAGACTGACACATTCCAACTATCCCACTTTCAACCAAGCTATATAGACTGAATGCTTGTGTCCCTCTAAAATTCATATATTGAAACCTACTGTGATGATTTGGGGAGGCAGAATCTTTGGGAGGTCATTAGATCATGAAGGTAGAGCCATAATAATTGGAATTTGGCAGAACACTCATAAAAGGGGCTACAGTATTAGGATTCTCCAGAGAAGATAGATACATAGATAGATAATAGATAGATGATAGATAGATAGATAAACACTAGATACATAGATGCTAGAGATATATGATATATGAGAGGATATTTATTAGGGGACTTGGCTCGCAAAATTACTGAGAAGTCTCACAGCAGGCTGCAAGCTGGAGACCCCAGGATTCCAGTAGCATAGCTTTATACAAGTCAGAAGGCCTCAGAACCAGGGAACCTATGATATTCGCCTCAACTGGGGTGAATTTTCAATTTGAGACTGAAGGTCTAAGAATTTGGAGGAGTTGCTGGGGTAAATCCTGGAGTCCCAAGTCTGGAGTTCTGGCATCTAAGAATAGGAGGAGGAGAGTGTCCTAACTTCAAGAGAGAGAGAAAATAGTTTTCTCTCATTTTCTGTTATGTTCAGGCCACCAACTGAGTAGATGGTGCCTGCTCATGTTAAGGGAGGATCTTTTCCACTCAGTCCACTGACTCACACACCAATATCCACTGGAAGCATCCCCACAGACCAGAAATAATGCTTTACCAGTTCACTAGCTATTCCTTAATCCAGTTCAGCTGACACCTAAAATTAACCATCATAAGTTTACTTCATGTCAACTTGGCACCCATATGTATCTCCTTAAACCTTTCATAATCTCCAAATAAAGTCCATAACAAGAGAGTAATTTTGCCTAACATAATTCTGCATAAAACTGAAAACACACTAATCTCTTCCCCAGAAGAGGAGGTAAAGTCCTTGGGTGATGTTTACTCTTCTTCTGTGTGTTAGTCCATTTTGTGTTGCTATAAAGGAACACCTGAGGCTGGGTAACATATAAAGAAAGAAGGTTTAATTGGCTGATAGTTCTGCAGGCTGTATAGGAAGCATGGCACTGACATTGGCTCAGCTTCTGTTGAGGCCTCAGAAAGTTTTCAACCATGGCAAAAGGCAAAGGGGGAGCAGGCACGTCACGTGGGAGAGTAGGAGCAAGAGAGGAGATTCCAGCATCTTTCAAACAATCAGGTCTCATGTGAACTCACAGAGCAAGAACTCACTCATTACTACTCATTACCATGAGGATGGCACCAAGCATTTAATGAGGGATCCACCCCCATGATCCAAACACCTCCCACCCGGCCTCACCTCCAACATTGGGGATTACAGTTCAACATGAGATTTGGAGGGGATGGACATCTAAACTATATCATTCTGATATCCCATAGATTAAATACTATGGTGTAAAGTTAATAATACTTAAATACTGATATAAAGTTAATGTATCTTATTTTACATGATAAATAAGAGATGAATGAAAATGAAGATATTGCCTTAATATATGTATACATACACAAAAACATTCTTTAAAAAATGGAGGAAATACTCATGACGATTAGTGACCTGTTTCTATAACTGGTTAGATAGTCATAACTTGTATTAATAACTAGCTGCTGCTTCTACCCATTCTGTATTCCCTTTGCCTTCAGCAAGCAACTCAGCTGGTCATCAATATATCTGTTGGGGTAGCTCAAACTTTCATTCCTGAAGGGTCTGGGACATTTGTAATCCTGCTGGGATTGGGTTGTTACATTTTCAATTGACCTAATCACAGGGCATGGTGACACTAAGTGACACTCTAATGGGTCACTTGTATTCCAGAAGATATACTTTTCTTTACCTCCATTTTGGAGTAGTAGCCCAATTTCCCCTTGGTGGTCTGAATCAATCAACCTGGCCAACACTGTAACACCTGTCTTAGCCTGCTAACTCAGAGACATGAGGAGACAGAAGTGGCTGGGTAGCAGTCTTAACTTCCAGTTCAATGTAGTCATTATTGTGTTTCTTGGTGGAAGCATTCCTCTCATAACTAAGACCTCTAGGCTAGCAGAGCATTAAGTCAGAGGAACAAGAAGCAAAAATTTTGCTAGTGGGCCACCATGGGTGATGGTGACTGGTGCCACTCCTATTTCCACCCCTTGATTCCTGGACCCATGAATTCTGGCTGTAAGGGAAACAATACTATATACAGACACTAATTCAGAGCATAGATAGCCTTCTGGAGGACCTTGTCCAAGCCCTACAAAGTATTATCACCTAACTGGCTCTGTAACTGTGACTTAAAAAGGTGATTCCATTATATCAAGCCAGCTGATTCAGGATGATGGGGAATTTAGTAAGACCAGCAAATTTCGTGAGCATGAGAATGCTGCTGTAGTTCTTTGGCTGTGAAGTGAGTTCCTTGGTTAAAAGTAATGCTGTATGGAATAACATGATGGTAGATAAGGCATTCTGTAACTCCACGGATGCTGGTTTTGTCAGAGCATTTTGTGCATGCAAGGCAAATATATATTCACGTATTTGTTCCAATAAAAACAAAACACTGCCTCTTCCATGATGGAAGTGGTTTAATCTAATCAAACTGCCACTAAGTACCCTAGAGAATGGTTCCATATCAGGGGCTCAGTGTTGGTCTCTGCTGCTGGTAGACTGAGCACCCAGCAGTGGCCATAGCCAGGTCAGCCTTGGTGAGTTGAAGTCCACATTCCTGAGCCCATTGTGAACTTCCATTCCTGCCACTATGGCCACTTTGTTTATGAGTACATTGGACAATGATGAGGTAGCTGGGGAGAGAGGCTGACTGATATCCAGAGAATGGGTCATTCTTTCCACTTGATTGTTAAAGTCCTCTTCTCCTGAGGTCACCTTTTGGTAAGCATTCACATGGGACACAGATATTTTTTCCCACTCAGAGAGCTCTATCCAGATGTCTCTTCCTCATATGTCTTAGTCAGAAATTTTCCAGTCATATTCCTTTCAAGTCCCTGAGCATCTGACCAAATCATTGGGTACAGCTCATGAATTAACATATAGTTGCCCATCTGCCCATTTCTCCCTCCAAGCACAACTGGGTGCAGAGCCCAAAGTCTCTATGCATTGAGAAGATTATCCTTCACCACCATCCTTCAGGGATGTCCCAGAAAGGAGCTATAGTTCTGCAACTGTCCATTTTTGGGTGGTGCTTGAATATTATTCCTGACCATCTGTAAACCAGGCCCTAGTTTTCTCTGCCTCTGTCAACTGATGCAAGCTGGGAGAGAGAAGGTAGGTTAGCAGAAGTAGAAACCAAGAGCAATTACACCACTTATTCATGTAGCTTATTTGTGCCTTCAGGACCTGCTCTTGCCTGATCACATAAATACCACTTCCATTTGATGACATAGTGTTGCAACACATACCCAAGTGGGTAAGACAACACTAAGTTTAATGACAGGCAGCTCACAGGAGTTCAAGACCACCCTGGGCAACATGAAACTCCGTCTCTACTAAAATACAAAAAATAGCTGGGTGTGGTGGCATGCACCTGTAGTCCCAGCTGCTTGGGAGGCTAAGGCACGAGAATTGCTTGAGCCCAGGAGGTGGAGGTTGCAGTGAGCCAAGATCATGCCACTGCACTGCAGCCTGGGTGACAGAGTGAGACTCCATATCAAAAAAAAAAAATGATAGGCAGCTCAGGTCGCATAGTAACTCTATGGCCCATGGGCAAACATTCAGTTTCTACTGAGGTCCAGTAGCAGGCCAAGAGCTCTCTCAAAAGGAGAGTAGTTAACTAACTTTGCAGATGATGGCAGGCCTTGCCTCCAATTCATAAGAGCATCCCCTGCAATTCACCTATAGGAGACTGCAAAAGCCTTCAAACAGCATTCCTATCTGTCAGTCACCCTAAGTACCATTAGATCTGTTGGATTCTGTGGTCCAAGAGGCAGGGCTGCCTGGAAGAGTTACAGAGCCTTCTCCTGGTCTGGGTCCTACTCAAAACTAGCAGCCTTTCAAGTCACTCAGTAGACGGATCAGGGTAACATGCCCAAATGAGGAATGTGTTGCCTCCAAATTCCCAATAGGCCCACCAGACATTGTGCTTCTTTCTTGGTTGTAGGAGGGCCAGATGCAGCAACTTATCCTTCACTTTAGGAAGGATATCTGATTCACATGTCCCACAACACTGGACCCCTGGAAATTTCACCAGGTTATAAAGCTCCTGAATTTTAGCTGAATTTATTTCCCACCCTCTGACATGCAAACATCTTAACAATAAGTCCAGAGTAGTTTCTACTTCATGCTCACTAGTTTCAATGAGCCCCATTGTAATGGACTCCTGTAATATCTTGTGGAAGAAGAAGATGATTAAGATCCCTGAAAGCTAAATTGTGGCTTAGAGCTAAAGAGTTTGATATACTACTGAAGTAGGACAGTAAAGGTGTATTGCTGGCCTTACCCACTGAAAGCAAACTGCTTTTGGTGGAACTTAAGGACAGGTATGAAGGAAAAGGAATTTACCACAACAGCTGGTACCAGGAGATGTGTGAATTTGCTCAAGCAATAAAATCACATCTGGTACAGCAGCTGCACTTGGAGTCATCACTTGGTTAAGCTTACAATAATACACTGTCATTACTCAGGCTCCATCTGTCTTCTGCACAGGCCAAATAGGAAAGTTGAATGGGGATGTGGTGAAAATTTTTCAAGTCCTTGATGGTGGCAGTAATCTCTGAAATACCTCTGGGGATGAGGTAATTGATTTACTATGTTTCTAGGTAGAGGCAGCTCTAATGGCTTCCATTTGCCTTTTTCTACCATAATGGCTCTCACTTCATGAGTCAGGGAACCATGGTGAGGATTCTGCCAGATGCTGAGAATGTCTGTTCCAATTATGCAACTGGAACTGGAAAATGACCACAGAAAGGGTTTAGGGACCCACTGGGCTTACTGTAAGTTGGATCTGAGCTAAAACTCAATTGATTATCTGACCTACATAAGGCCCTACTCTAACTAGAGGGCTACAGTAATATTTTGGGTCTCCTGGGATCCCTGTCAGTTCACAGCCAGTGTCCAGTAGTTCCCGAAAGGTCTGATTATTTCTCTCTCCTCAGTGCATAATTACCCTGGTAAAAGGCTGTTAAGTTTCTTTGGGGAAAGATGGCAAAAAGATTAACAGTATAAATTTTTGGTAATGTACCAAGGTCCTTCCTGGAGGGGACCCAGCCTTCCCTTCATTAAAGGGAATCTGCTTCTGTAAACTGGCTTAAGTCTGGGAATTGATTGAGGGGCCATGATTCTCTGTTTTTATAATTCAAATTAGACTTTTACCGAAAATTTTCTGCTATAGAGATCAAATGAGATCTTAGTAGGTTTCCTACCTAGTTCACTTCTAGAACACCATGGTTAACTAGCCAACACCATAGAACTCCATGAAACAGTCTATTCTAATTGTTGCTTTGTCTCTATTATCCATTATGGCAACTGTGCTCACCTTGCCTTTGATGATTAAGTGCTAGCACCTGGCCCTTGCCACCTCAGAATACAGTTATTTCCATTACATGTACCTTTTTCAGTTGAGTGACTGAGGTTCCCACTGTAAAGTCCAGCTTAAACAGAAGAGTAACTACGGAGCTCTTCAGGGATGCTGGGGCTCCCCTAACAAATCTGTTTCTCAATGTGTTCATGAGAGGTGTGTCTTCTGGATTCTTCCAGTGTGGGTGAGTAGGTTTAAGTGACAAATACACTCCAGCATTCCAATCTCCCTAAGCCTTTGAATCCCTCCCTCTGTAATAAACCAAGGGAGATCTGGAATCTCTAGCTTGCTCATGGTGGCCCATCTTTTTTTTTTTTTAATTTTTTTTTTAATGCACCCAGGCTGGAGTGCATTGGCACAATTATGGCTCACTGCAGTCTCAACCTCCCAAGCTCAAGTGATTCTCTCACCTCAGCCTCTCAAGTAGCTGGAACTACAGGCACGTGCCACCATGCTCAGCTGTGTGGGCCAAATTTGGACCCATTTTTAGACAACCAAACTGTTAGCACCTTTCTTAACTCCCTGAACTGTAACATTAAGTGCAGAATCTCTGTTTAGTGGACACGTAGCAATAAATTCAGCCAGACTTAACTTTATGTTCCTTCCACCATTATTCCACACCCTTAACGTTTATTCTCATATATTTCCCAGATTTCTGCTTGCATAAGTTAGAATACTGAAGTAGTTCTTTTGGAATGTAATACATCTCCTCATGGGTCATACTCATTCCTCACCTTTAGGGGTCTGCTGGGATTTTCATCTAATTATAGGTCAAGAAGCAAAAAGGGGTGGTGGGGGTGAGCCCGGAGGAGAATAAGCAGTGTCTTGCCTGGCAACTGTCTCAAGGGAGGCGATTATTGTTTCCTCAGGCAATGCAGAGTGAATCCCTGAAACAGAGGTGGAAAGGCCTATACGTTGTGGGTGGGGATGCTTCTGCCACTGGGATGGGTGTAGGGAGGCCACTTCTGCTGGCAAACAAGACTCATCAGAATTTAGAAGCTCAATGTCCCCAGCTTCATAAGCGTTTTCCCATCACTTCTCCATCCCAATTTACAGAATCCCATTATTTCCTAGCCAATGCCCTTAGTAGACACCCTGTGAGGCTAAGAGTATAGTTTTCATGTAATTCAGCCAATCACACGATAAGTGCATGTATTTGATTTGGCAATTTCAGCCCTGTGGCTATAGAACAGAAGATTCTGGCTCCGGGTGCACTTAGAAGCTCATAGGCTATTACTGGAGCTGGAGGTAAAAATTTGCATCCCTGACCTCAACCTTTTCTTTAATCAGGATGAAGGAAAGTCTGCTGCAACCTTACATAAAAAAGAAAAATCCTTCTGTGATGATATTTGCTCAGCAACTCTCTGTCCAATCTTAGATTGGCACCATCCTGGTCATTGATCCTTGTCCAGCAACATTAGAAGCAACCAACTAATGGTCATCATAGTCTGTTTTCCAAAAATGTTCAAAAGTACCATACACAGAGCCACCAAGTTTCTTCCCTCTTATAAATGATTGACTAGGATTATCAAATGCAGATATTGTGCATATTTCTATAAGAAGTTCATGCCATGGGTTATTGATTAGGGCTCTCTCTACTGTTACAGGTGGAGTCCTTAGACTTTTTAGGTCTAATTAGATTAAACAGTTAATTCCCAAAACTCCAAAACCAATTAAGGAAACATCCTTAGAAGTCTGTTCCTCCAAAACTACTCTTAATACCAAAATTTGTATTAGGCAGGGTTCAGAGAGAACCAACAGGAAATATATTGGGAAAGTTGTCAGAATCAAAATACAGTCACATATTTTGGAAAAAACAAACAACAGAGCCAGAAAAGACTATGAAAGGAGAGTTCTCATGCGCAAGTGCCTGATAACAAAAACGATCACAAACAATTCTGCGAAGAATGCAGCCTTGCACAAAGTCTGCTGCAACCTTATATAAAAAAATACTTCTGTGAGGATACCTTCCCAGCAACTGCCTGTCCAGTCTTAGATTGGCATCATTCTGGTTATTGATCCTGGTAGCCACGGATAATTATCACAGAATAATTATGTAATACTATTCATTTTTCCTTCAAAAATATTTGTCTTCTCTTTCTTCACTGAATACACACATAGTTTACTATGGCACAAGTATTCCCATTGCAATGCCCATTCTTGAATAATTATCATTTTATTTTAGAGAATCTTCCTCCCTGTTATATAGGATGACAAGCTATATATAGATATACATAGATATGGATACTTATATATAGATATAGATATAGATGAGGAGTTATTTGTTAGGGGAATTGGCCTACACATGGGACTGAGAGGTCCCATGACAAGCCATCTCCAAGCTGAAAACCCTGGGATACTGGTAGCATGGCTTGGTCCAAGTTTTAAAGCCCCAGAACCAGGGAAGGTGATGGCATAATTCTCAGTCCTAGGCCAAATGTGGGAGACCTTGGGAGGTAGGGGCCCTGCTGGTATAAGTCCTGGAGTGCCCAGGCTACTTAGCCTGAAGTTCTGATATCCAAGGGCAGGACAAGGAGAGTCCCAGCATTAAGAAAGAGAGAGAAGAAATCCTTTGCTCTCCTTGTTCATTCCTTCTGGGCCCCCAGCTGATTGCATGGTGTTTGCCCACCCTGAGGGTGGACCTTCCCCTCTCAGTCCACAGACTCACCTGTCAACCTCCTCTGGAAACACCCTCACAGACACACTAAGAAGTCATGCTTTACCCATTCCCCAGGTATTTCTTAATTCAGTTGACACCGAAAATTAACCATCACAGTGCCCCTATAAAAGAGATGTTAGAAAACTCCCTTGCCCCTTCCGCCATGTGAGGTCACAGCAGGAAGGCACCATCTATACACCAAGAATTGGAACCTCAGCAGACACCAAATCTGCAGACACCTTTATCTTAGACTTCTTAGATTCTGGAGCTGTGAGAAATACATTTAATGTTGTATATAAACCACCTAGACTGTGGTAGTTTGTTATAGCAGCACAAATGGATGAAGACAGACCTATGTGCTTTTGTGGTTAGAATCCATAACTCATGCTTATAAAGTTGGAATAAACTAATTGGGGCCAGGTGCAGTGGCTCACAACTGTAATTCCAGCACTTTGGGAGGCTGAGGCGGGCAGATCACCTCAGGTCAGGAGTTCGAGACCAGCCTGGCCAACATGGTGAAATCCCATCTCCACCAAAAATACAAAAATTAGCTGGGTATGTTGGTGCGTGCCTGTAATCCCAATTACTTGGGAGGCTGAGGCAAGTGAATTGCTTGAACCTGGGAGGCAGAGGTTGCAGTGAGCCAAGATCAGGCCACTGCACTCCAGCCTGGGTGACAGAGAGAGACTCCATCTCAAAAAAGGAAAGAAAAGAAAACACACACACACACACACACACACACACACACACACACACACACAATAAACCCAAAAAACTAATTGGTTCACAAAGATATTAAATCTACAAAATTTCCTAGTGATGTTCATGTTTATCAACCCAATTAATATTCCCTTCCTTACTGACTTGGCAGAGTCATCTAGTTTATATGTGAATATAAGAAAATAAGTAATTAAATGTAAATGCATGTAAACAGAGGGAAGTACACTAACTGAGCAAGTATTCTGTACCAACTACTGTTCTAGGTATTTGACTTAGATTACCTGAGTTACTTCTTAACACAACCCTAACACAGTATTATTATTCCCATTTACAGGCAAAGAACATGGACTCACAGACACTGGATGGCTTGCACAATGTCTTGAAGCCCCAAAGACTAGGTTGAAATGCACATGCATTTTCACAATACCACGCTTCCTCATCTCTGTAAAGCTTACATTTTAATCCTCATACAAGCTTTTGAGTAAGTACTGTTATCTTTATCTTACAGATGAGGACTCTGAGGCTCAGAGAAATTAAGTAAACTGCCCAAAATGGCATAGTTTACATATGCAAAAAACAAAATTCTCATTCAGATACGTTTGACTCCAACAGATAAATATTAGCAATCATACCTGGTTTTCATGATCTCTATTTTTTTTAAAGAGTAAAATACTGTCCAGTTGAGCCAATTGACCATTGACTTGCAACTTCCAAATTAGTAGACTGGGATGGCACCCAATCAGAGTCAGCATTATATATGAATAGAGGAAAGAGTAGACTCAAAATTACAGTATGATTAGCCATACATGAAACCTAACTTCTTTCTCCTGTCTAACCTAGGGGTTGAGAAGTTATTGACAATACTGATTATTCAAAATGTAATTAAGGGCAATTGGGCTTGTATTGAGCAGTGAGATTATATAACTGACAAGAAAAACACAGCAGAAAGTATTTTGCTTGCTAACCCATTACTACCTTCCAAAAAGCATAGCAATGCCTGGGGTGTGGAGAACAGGGAGAAATGCTGCCTAGAACAAGGCAGCAGGGAAAGACTGGGAAACCTAATGTCAAATCCTTAGCAGGGGTGTCCAATCTTTTGGCTTCCCTGGGCCACACTGGAAGAAGAAGAATTGTCTTGGGCCATATAAAATATACTAACACTAATGATAACAACAGCTGATAAGCCAAAAAAAAAAATAACACAAAAGTCTCATAATATTTTAAGAAAGCTTATGAATTTGTGTTCAGCCACATTCAAAGCTGTCCTGGGCTACCTGCAGCCTGAGGGGCGGGGCTTAGACAAGCTTGCCTTAGGCTGAGCTGGGATGCGAACAAGGCAAATCTGATTCTGCCATACTACCTTACCTGTGGGTGAATATGGACAAGTTATTTAAATCCCTGTGGGCATTGTAAAGATCAAAGAAGTTTAGGCAGGTGATATATTGGTGTAAATCCTGGCACATAGCAATAAGAATTCCAGAATTGCTTATTGACTTATTACAGCATCTTCCAGGGCAGAGAGCTGAGGGTGGAGGTTCCCATTTTCCTTACCAATTTCAGTCCAGTCTAAGATGTATCTTGGTTCATTCAAGGTGCTGTCCCTTTCTCTTTATTTCTCTTTGAAAAGGAAAGGATAGGGAGCAGCTGAAGAAAGACATGCAGGGATTTCTTGACATGCTGCCTGTAGCTTTATGGTGCAGCATGTTCTGCGGACCAGGTGTTTCAGTCACCAAATCTTTTGCAGATATTTAACAAATCAAAGCCGACAGCAGGAGGCTGTCAGCCTGACATATGATAAACACCCTCTGCAATTTAGCACTTGAGCACAGGGAGTGAGCTGCAGGATGAGTTAATTGCCAGGCTATCAACTGAGCTGAGCTGATGTTTCTTGAGCACTCTCTAAACCAGCTGAGAATTATCTAGCAAACTCTGGGACTCTAGGGTGAAGGGAGGTTTTCAGGTAGAAAGAGAAAAATGAGTGATGGTTACCAGTGAGGGGATTGACTATCAGTAACACAAACTATATTAACCAACTCTCAAAAATATAATTACCTAGAAGCAGATGAAACCCAAAAAGATCAGAATTAGAAGGAGCCCAAGAAATAATGTGATAAAAGCCTTCTATTTTACAGGAGGAGAAACTGAGGTCAGGAGTGAGGTAGGGGTTGAGATGTGAGGAATGCATGAAAGGCTACAGAATTTATCAGTGACAAAGACAGGAGTGAAATCTCAATCCTTTAAATCTGAGTTAAGTTTTCTAACAATCACATAACCTTGTTCTTGATTTTACTATTAAAATTTTTCCTCTGGAACTTATAGACTGCATGGTGTAGACTTTGGCATATTTTGGTTTTGCCAGTTACTAGTTCTGTCATCCTAGGATGTCATTTAATTTTTCTGTACCTCAGGTTCCTTACTTTATAAGTAGTTATAATATTAGTATCTATTCCAGACAATTATCATGACAATTAAATGAGATAATGCATGTTAAATGTTTGACATATTGTGAAGGTTTCAATAAAATTCATCAAATATTGCTATTATTATTATTATTATTATTCTAGATTATTGGCTTTGAATTACTTGATGATGAGTTTGGCTGAGACTTTGGTAGTAACTGAGGATATGGCAGAAACATCAACTCTCTGACAATTGCCATAAGAAGTCTCTCTTGTATTTCTCAAACACACTGTAAGCAAATAAAGCTATACAGAGAAAAAGAGCCCTGGACCAGTATTAGAGAATTTGGTTCTGACCTTAGCTGTGAATTAATTATTAGATTAACCACAGACAGTACATTTGACTTTTTTGAGCTTCCTTTTCCTTACCTGTAAAAGGAATAATAATGTAGATTTTATTGTGCTATTGAGAGCATCAAACCAGATAACACATGTAAAATATTTCATAAAATCTATGTAAACAAAACATAATCCTATATATATATTATATATATACACACACCACACACACACATATACATATATATATACAGGTGTTATGTATATTATTAATAGGGTTTTTAGAGCAGTTTTAGGTTCACACCAAAACTGAATGATACAAAGATTTCCCATTTACCCTCTGCCCGCACATGTGCATAGCCTCCTTCATTATCAGCATCCCTCACCAGAGTGGCACATTTGTTGCAATCAATGAACCTACAATGACACATCATAGTCACCAAGAGTCCATAGTTTACACTGGAATTCACTCTTAGTGTTGTACATTCTATGAATTTGGATAAATGTGTAATAACATTTATCTAACATTACAAAATTATAGAGAATAGTTTTATTGCTATAAAAATCTTATGTGCTCAATTATTTATCCCTCCTTGTCCCAAACCCCTGGCAACCACTGATTATTTTACTATCTCCGTAGATTTGCCTTTTCTAGAATGTCATATAACTGGAATCATATAGCATGTAGCCTTTCAGATTGGCTTCTTTCAATTAGTAATATGCCTTTAAGGTACCTCCACATCTAAACTGAACATGCTCATTATATGATCCAGCAATAGGTTTCCTTGGTATTTACCCAAAGGAGTGGAAACATACAGAAAATGTACACAGAAAAAATTGTACATGGATTTTTATAGCAGCTACATTCATAACTGCTGAAACTTGAAAACAACTAAGGTGTCCATCAGTAGGTAACTGCAGTATATTCAGACAATAGAATACTTTTCAGCACTAAAAAGAAATGCACTATAAGGCATGGAAAGGTGGAAACTTTGGTACTTTTTAAAGCCACTACTTTTGATATCTACTTTCTGTCATTTCACTATTTGTTCCATCATGAAGTCCTATTGATTATACTTTTAAAAATGTATTTCAAATCCAACCAGACATTCACCTCCACTGCCACCATCTTAATGTAAGCCATTGCCATTTTTCACCTAGACACATTCAGTAGCCTCCTAATACATCTCCCTGTGTTAACTCTTCCTTTCTTTCAACTCATTTTTTACAAAGCAAATTGGCACTTCCTTGCTCAGAACAATCCAATATAAAATATAAAACCACAGCGCTATCATTAGGCTTTATATGACTTGGCCCCGAATCTCTTGTTAACCTCATCTACCAGCATGCTCCCTCTCACGCGAGCTTGTATGTATTCAAATCCTTGATAAAAACCATCTATTTTCTACTTCAGCTTATTGCATACAATATTTTTTCTGCCTGAAATAATCTTACCTCCACTCTTTGCTTAAATAATTTTCTCCTTATTTTTCAGGTCTCATTAAATTGTCACTTGAGAGAGCAGTTGCCTCACCCTGCAATCTAAATCAGTGGCCTCTTGCCCTCTATTAACTCATGCTTTTCTTTCATGGCATTTAACACTTTTAATTGTGTGCTGATTTTTTTTTCAAAAAGATATTTTACTCTCCCACTCAGTTGTAAACTCTGTAATGGCAAGATACATATAATGTGTTGAACAGGATTGTATTCCTTGAACCTAGCATAGGGCCTGGTATTTAATAAGCACCCAATAAGTGTCGGTTGAATAAATGGGTAAATAAATTTGTGATTTTTCAAGATGGAAGACCTGATGAGGAGTTGAAGAGGGAGGTTATGGAGAAATTTCCCATTTCAAATTCATTATGAAAATTCTGTTTTCAAGTAGCATAAAATAAGTAATAAGAAGCCATGGCTTCTATGTAATAACCAGATATAACTAAATTAATAATTGGAAATTTATTTTAAAATGTATTGGAAACATATGGAAGCAAAAGAGATAGATGAATTAAATTCCTGAGAGAAAAGAGCTCTTTCCAGGTAACATGAGGTATATGTCCTTTTTATTTTTTTCTGAAGGCACTTGCTAAGTCTGAAAGTAGGCTGTTAGTCTGGTTTGCTATTGCCAGGGTGGGGGCATTTCTAGGAGAAAAGGAAACCTGTAAAACATGTTATGATCACGGTTCCTGCTATGGCAATCTGAAACCTAGACGATTTCCTATTGAATGATTGTTTTTTTCCACCAGAATTTTTTTTTTTATTATTATACTTTAAGTTTTAGGGTACATGTGCACAACTTGCAGGTTTGTTTGTTACATATGTATACATGTGCCATGTTGGTGTGCTGCACCCATTAACTCGTCATTTATATTAGGTATATCTCCTAATGCTATCCCTCCCCCTGCCCCCCACCCCAGGACAGGCCCTGGTGTGTGATGTTCCCCTTCCTGTGTCCAAGTGTTCTCATTGTTCAATTCCCACCTATGAGTGAGAACATGCAGTGTTTGATTTTTTGTCCTTGCGATAGTTTGCTGAGAATGATGGTTTCCAGCTGCATCCATGTCCCTACAAAGGACGTGAAGTCATCCTTTTTATGGCTGCATAGTATTCCATGGTGTATATGTGCCACATTTTCTTAATCCAGTCTATCATTGATGGACATTTTGGTCGGTTCCAAGTCTTTGGTATTGTGAATAGTGCTGCAATAAACATACGTGTGCATGTGTCTTTATAGCAGCATGATTTACAATCCTTTGGGTTATAATCCAATAATGGGATCACTGGGTCAAATGGTATTTCTAGTTCTAGATCCTTGAGAAATTGCCACACTGTCTTCCACAATGGTTGAACTACTTTACAGTCCCACCAACAGTGTAAAAGTGTTCCTATTTCTCCACATCCTCTCCAGCACCTGTTGTTTCCTGACTTTTTAATGATCACCATTCTAACTGGTGTGAGATGGTATGTCATTGTGGTTTTGATTTGTATTTCTCTGATGGCCAGTGATGATGAGCATTTTTTCATGTGTCTGTTGGCTGCATAAAATGTCTTCTTTTGAGAAGTGTCTGTTCATATCCTTTGCCCACTTTTTGATGGGGTTGTTTGTTTTTTCTTGTAAGTTTGAGTTCATTGTAGATTCTGGATATTAGCCCTTTGTAAGATGAGAAGATTGCAAAAATTTTCTCCCATTCTGTAAGTTGCCTGTTTACTCTGATGGTAGTTTCTTTTGCTGTGCAGAAGCTCTTTAGTTTAATTAGATCCCATTTGTCAATTTTGGCTTTTGTTACCATTGCTTTTGGTGTTTTAGTCATGAAGTCCTTGCCCATGCCTATGTCTGGAATGGTATTTTGAAGCAGACTGAAGTGATATGGGAGGCTGTGGTACTGGGCAGGAAACAAGTAATAGAATTTTGTACTTGATAGAAAAATCCCACTCATGGGAGGTATTTAGAATGAGCACACAAGAGGGCTGGAGATGTTGAAAGTGGAGATAGATTGAATTCAACCAAAGCTACAACCAGTTCAGACCCTGCTCAATGCTCACTTGGATTGAAGTGATCAGCCTTTCAGCCTGTTTCTGACAGAGGAAAGGGAAACTTTCCTTGGGAGAAAATGACATCAACCTTAGTCTGTACAACTTTTTAATACACAGTAAGTGGTATTCAGAAAAATACTAGAAACAGGGAACAGATAAGGAAATGTAACAGATAAGAGAAAAAGTTATCAATATAAGCAGAGACACAGATCAAGCAAGATGACAGGGAAGGCAGAAAAATAACTTAAGTACTATAAATGAGTCAAAGAACATAGATGGACAATAGAGATGAAGGAGAAATTTTTTCCTCAGAGATTTCTAATCTATAAAGAAATGAACATTCTAAGATGAAAAGACACATTTGAAACTAAGAACTCATTGAATGAGTTAAACAGTAGACATTAGGAGCAGGAGACGGAATTAGTAAACTCAAAATAGGCCAACTGAAAACATATCACTGAAGCTTTGAGAAAAAAAAAGTGTGAAAGAAGCAAGCACAGAGTATAAGAGACATGTGGGACACAGGTCCAAGCATTCATGTCAGAGTTCCAGAAACACAAGTAAAGAAACAAAGGTATAGGAAAAATCATGACGAAAAATCCACACTGGTTAAAAACATCAGCCTACACATTCAAGTAGCAAATCCCATGCAAGATAAAAATAAACTGCACCTTGGTACAAAGTCAAATGCTGAAAACCAAGAACAAAGGAAAATGAGCAGCCAGAAACAGAAATAAAACAAAACTAAACAATATTGAGAGATTTCTATGAGAACTATGGAAGTCAAGAAAAAATAGATTAATTTTACAACGCAGAAAGAACAAAAAGCTTTACTATAAAAATATCTTTCAAAAATAGGGCATTACATAATGATAAAAGATTTAATGCAATAAGAAGACAACTATACTAAATATATGCACCCAACATTTAAGCACAAAATTCATAAAACAAGTACTTCTAGAGTCTAAACCTGTGAAAAGACTTAGCCACACCATGATACCAGGGGACTTTAGCACCTCGCTGACAACATTAGTCAGATTATTGAGGCAAAAAAATGAACAAAGAAATTCTAGACTTAAATTCAACCTTTAGCCAATTGGACCCAAGACATCTACAGAATACTCCATCTAACAATCACAGAATATATATTCTTCTCATCTGTACATGGAACATACTCTAAGATTGATCACATACTTGGTCATGAAGCAAGTCTCAATAAATTGAAAAGTATATAAATGATATCAAGCATACACTTAGACCACAGTGAAATCAATACCAAGATCTCTCAAAAACCACAAAATTATATGGAAATTAAACAAATTGCTCCTGAATGACTTTTGGATAAACAACCAAATTAAGGCATAAGTTTAAAAAAGTTGAAATAAATGAAAATAGACACATAATATATGAAAATCTCTGGGATGGAGCAAAATCAGCATTAAGAAGAAACTTTATAGCACTAAATGCCTATATCAGGAACTTAGAAAGATCTCAAATTAGCAATCTAACATCATACATAAAGAACCAGAAAAACAGGAATGAATTAAACCCAACCTAGCAGAAGAAAAGAAGTAACTGAAATCAGAGCAGAAGTGACAAAATTGAGACCACAAAATCCATACAAAAGATGAACCAAATTAAAAATTTATTATTTGAAAGGATAAACAAGATCGATTCAAACACTATCAAACATGGAGACTCCCTTTTTCATGGGCTACAGGAGCGGAAGTGGGTGACCCATGAGTATGGGGTCATCTTCCTGGAACTGGAGATAACCTTTTGTAACATCTCTACTCCAGTGTTTCCACTTACATGAAGTCAGGAAAATATTAGTTCTAATGCTATTACTCATGCAAATTATTTGACTTTTCACATAAAAGTCAAGTTTCAGCTGGCAGCCAAGATGGCCGAATAGGAACAGCTCCGGTCTGCAGTGCCAAGCATGAGCGATGCAGAAGATGGGTGACTTCTGCATTTCCATCTGAGGTACCGGGTTCATCTCACTGGGGAGTCCCAGACAGTGGGTGCAGGACAGTGGGTGCAGTGCACTGTGCGTGAGCCAAAGCAGGGCGAGGCATTGCCTCACTCGGGAAGCGCAAGGGATCAGGGTGTTCCCTTTCCTAGTCAAAGAAAGGGGTGACAGATGGCACCTGGAAAATCGGGTCACTCCCACTCAAATACTGTGCTTTTCCGACGGGCTTAAAAAACGGCACACCACGAGATTATATCCCGCACCTGGCTTGGAGGGTCCTACGCCCACGGAGTCTCGCTGATTGCTAGCACAGCAGTCTGAGATCAAACTGCAAGGTGGCAGCGAGGCCAGAGGGGCACCGGCCATTGCCCAGGCTTGCTTAGGTAAACAAAGCAGCCGGGAAGCTCGAACTGGGTGGAGCTCACCACAGTTCAAGGAGGCCTGCCTGCCTCTGTAGGCTCCACCTCTAGGGGCAGGGCACAGACAAACAAAATGACAGCAGTAACCTCTGCAGACTTAAATGTCCCTGTCTGACAGCTTTGAAGAGAGCAGTGGTTCTCCCAGCATGCAGCTGGAGATCTGAGAACGGGCAGACTGCCTCCTCAAGTGGGTCCCTGACCCATGACCCCCGAGCAGGCTAACTGGGAGGCACCCCCCAGGAGGGGTACACTGACACCTCACACGGCAGGGTATTCCA
Organism: Homo sapiens; assembly: GCF_000001405.40. Taxonomy (NCBI): domain Eukaryota; kingdom Metazoa; phylum Chordata; class Mammalia; order Primates; family Hominidae; genus Homo; species Homo sapiens. The sequence continues at coordinate 161,072,131 of NC_000005.10, forward strand.
ACAGACCTGCAGCTGAGGGTCCTGTCTGTTAGAAGGAAAACTAACAAACAGAAAGGACATCCACACCAAAAACCCATCTGTACATCACCATCGTCAAAGACCAAAAGTAGATAAAACCACAAAGATGGGGAAAAAACAGAACAGAAAAACTGGAAACTCTAAAACGCAGAGTGCCTCTCCTCCTCCAAAGGAACACAGTTCCTCACCAGCAACGGAACAAAGCTGGATGGAGAATGACTTTGACGAGCTGAGAGAAGGCTTCAGATGATCAAATTACTCTGAGCTACAGGAGGACATTCAAACCAAAGGCAAAGAAGTTGAAAACTTTGAAAAAAATGTAGAAGAATGTATAACTAGAATAACCAATACAGAAAAGTGCTTAAAGGAGCTGATGGAGCTGAAAACCAAGGCTCGAGAACTACGTGAAGAATGCAGAAGCCTCAGGAGCCGATGCGATCAACTGGAAGAAAGGGTATCAGCAATGGAAGATGAAATGAATGAAATGAAGCGAGAAGGGAAGTTTAGAGAAAAAAGAACAAAAAGAAATGAGCAAAGCCTCCAAGAAATATGGGACTATGTGAAAAGACCAAATCTACGTCTGATTGGTGTACCTGAAAGTGATGGGGAGAATGGAACCAAGTTGGAAAACACTCTGCAGGATATTATCCAGGAGAACTTCCCCAATCTAGCAAGGCAGGCCAACGTTCAGATTCAGGAAATACAGAGAATGCCACAAAGATACTCCTCCAGAAGAGCAACTCCAAGACACATAATTGTCAGATTCACCAAAGTTGAAATGAAGGAAAAAATGTTAAGGGCAGCCAGAGAGAAAGATCGGGTTACCCTCAAAGGGAAGCCCATCAGACTAACAGCGGATCTCTTGGCAGAAACCCTACAAGCCAGAAGAGAGTGGGGGCCAATATTCAACATTCTTAAAGAAAAGAATTTTCAACCCAGAATTTCATATCCAGCCAAACTAAGCTTCATAAGTGAAGGAGAAATAAAATACTTTACAGACAAGCAAATGCTGAGAGATTTTGTCACCACCAGGCCTGCCCTAAAAGAGCTCCTGAAGGAAGCGCTAAACATGGAAAGGAACAACCGGTACCAGCCACTGCAAAATCATGCCAAAATGTAATGACCATCGAGACTAGGAAGAAACTGCATCAACTAACGAGCAAAATCACCAGCTAACATCATAATGACAGGATCAAATTCACACATAACAATATTAACTTTAAAGGTAAATGGACTAAATGCTCCAATTAAAAGACACAGACTGGCAAATTGGATAAAGAGTCAAGACCCATCAGTGTGCTGTATTCAGGAAACCCATCTCACGTGCAGAGACACACATAGGCTCAAAATAAAAGGATGGAGGAAGATCTACCAAGCAAATGGAAAACAAAAAAAGGCAGGGGTTGCAATCCTAGTCTTGGATAAAACAGACTTTAAACCAACAAAGATCAAAAGAGACAAAGAAGGCCATTACCTAATGGTAAAGGGATCAATTCAACAAGAAGAGCTAACTATCCTAAATATATATGCACCCAATACAGGAGCACCCAGATTCATAAAGCAAGTCCTGAGTGACCTACAAAGAGACTTAGACTCCCACACATTAATAATGGGAGACTTTAACACCCCACTGTCAACATTAGACAGATCAATGAGACAGAAAGTCAACAAGGATATCCAGGAATTGAACTCAGCTCTGTACCAAGCAGACCTAATAGACATCTCCAGAACTCTCCACCCCAAATCAACAGAATATACATTTTTTTCAGCACCACACCACACCTATTCCAAAATTGACCACATACTTGGAAGTAAAGCTCTCCTCAGCAAATGTAAAAGAACAGAGATTATAACAAACTATCTCTCAGACCACAGTGCAATCAAACTAGAACTCAGGATTAAGAATCTCACTCAAAACCGCTCAACTACATGGAAACTGAACAACGTGCTCCTGAATGACTACTGGGTACATCACGAAATGAAGGCAGAAATAAAGATGTTCTTTGAAAACAACGAGAACAAAGACACAACATACCAGGATCTCTGGGACACATTCAAAGCAGTGTGTAGAGGGAAATTTATAGCACTAAATGCCCACAAGAGAAAGCAGGAAACATCCAAAATTGACACCCTAACATCACAATTAAAAGAACTAGAAAAGCAAGAGCAAACACATTCAAAAGCTAGCAGAAGGCAAGAAATAACTAAATCAGAGCAGAACAGAAGGAAATAGAGACACAAAAAACCCTTCAAAAAATTAATGAATCCAGGAGCTGGTTTTTGGAAAGGATCAACAAAATTGATAGACCACTCGCAAGACCAATAAAGAAGAAAAGAGAGAAGAATCAAATAGACGCAATAAAAAATGATAAGGGGGATATCACCACCGATCCCACAGAAATGCAAACTACCACCAGAAAATACTACAAACACCTCTATGCAAATACAACTAGAAAATCTAGAAGAAATGGAAAAATTCCTCAACACATACACTCTCCCAAGACTAAACCAGGAAGAAGTTGAATCTCTGAATAGACCAATAACAGGATCTGAAATTGTGGCAATAATCAACAGCTTACCAACCAAAAAGAGTCCAGGACCAGATGGATTCACAGCCGAATTCTACCAGAGGTACAAGGAGGAACTGGTACCATTCCTTCTGAAACTATTCCAATCAATAGAAAAAGAGGGAATCCTCCCTAACTCATTTTATGAGGCCAGCATCATCCTGATACCAAAGCCGGGCAGAGACACAACAAAAAAAGAGAATTTTAGACCAATATCCTTGATGAACATTGATGCAAAAATCCTCAATAAAATACTGGCAAGCCGAATCCAGCAGCACATCAAAAAGCTTATCCACCATGATCAAGTGGGCTTCATCCCTGGGATGCAAGGCTGGTTCAATGTACTCAAATCAATAAATGTAATCCAGCATATAAACAGAACCAAAGACAAAAACCACATGATTATCTCAATAGATGCAGAAAAGGCCTTGACAAAATTCAACAACACTTCATGCTAAAAACTCTCAATAAATTAGATATTGATGGGACGTATCTCAAAATAATAAGAGCTATCTATGACAAACCCACAGCCAATATCATACTGAATGGGCAAAAACTGGAAGCATTCCCTTTGAAAACTGGCACAAGACAGGGATGCCCTCTCTCACAACTCCTATTCAACATAGTGTTGGAAGTTCTGGCCAGGGCAATTAGGCAGGAGAAGGAAATAAAGGGTATTCAATTAGGAAAAGAGGAAGTCAAATTGTCCCTGTTTGCAGATGACATGATTGTATATCTAGAAAACCCCATTGTCTCAGCCCAAAATCTCCTTAAGCTGATAAGCAACTTCAGCAAAGTCTCAGGATACAAAATCAATGTACAAAAATCACAAGCATTCTTATACACCAATAACAGACAAACAGAGAGCCAAATCATGAGTGAACTCCCATTCACAATTGCTTCAAAGAGAATAAAATACCTAGGAATCCAACTTACAAGGGACGTGAAGGACCTCTTCAAGAAGAACTACAAACCACTGCTCAATGAAATAAAAGAGGATACAAAGAAATGGAAGAACATTTCATGCTCATGGGTAGGAAGAATCAATATCGTGAAAATGGCCATACTGCCCAAGGTAATTTATAGATTCAATGCCATCCCCATCAAGCTACCAATGATTTTCTTCACAGAATTGGCAAAAACTACTTTAAAGTTCGTATGGAACCAAAACAGAGCCCGCATTGCCAAGTCAATCCTAAGCCAAAAGAACAAAGCTGGAGGCATCATGCTACCTGACTTCAAACTATACTACAAGGCTACAGTAACCAAAACAGCATGGTACTGGTACCAAAACAGAGATATAGATCAATGGAACAGAACGGAGCCCTCAGAAATAATGCCGCATATCTGCAACTATCTGATCTTTGACAAACCTGAGAAAAACAAGCAATGGGGAAAGGATTCCCTATTTAATAAATGGTGCTGGGAAAACTGGCTAGCCATATGTAGAAAGCTGAAACTGGATCCCTTCCTTACTCCTTATACAAAAATTAATTCAAGATGGATTAAAGACTTAAACATTAGACCTAAAACCATAAAAACCCTAGAAGAAAACCTAGGTATTACCATTCAGGACATAGGCATGGGCAAGGACTTCATGTCTAAAACACCAAAAGCAATGGCAACAAAAAAAGCCAAAATTGACAAATGGGATCTAATTAAACTAAAGAGCTTCTGCACAGCAAAAGAAACTACCATCAGAGTGAACAGGCAACCTACAAAATGGGAGAAAATTTTCGCAACCTACTCATCTGACAAAGGGCTAATATCCAGAATCTACAATGAACTCAAACAAATGTATGAGAAAAAAACAAATAACCCCATCAAAAAGTGGGCAAAAGACATGAACAGACACTTCTCAAAAGAAGACATTTATGCAGCCAAAAAACACATGAAAAAATGCTCACCATCACTGGCCATCAGAGAAATGCAAATCAAAACTACAATGAGATACCATCTCACACCAGTTAGAATGGCAATCATTAAAAAGTCAGGAAACAACAGGTGCTGGAGAGGATGTGGAGAAATAGGAACACTTTTACACTGTTGGTGGGACTGTAAACTAGTCCAACCATTGCGGAAGACAGTGTGGCAATTCCTCAAGGATCTAGAACTAGAAATACCATTTGACCCAGCGATCCCATTACTGGGTTATAACCCAAAGGATTATAAGTCATGCTGCTATAAAGACACATGCACACATATGTTTACTGTGGAGCTATTCACAATGGCAAAGACTTGGAACCATCCCAAATGCCATCAATGATAGACTGGATTAAGAAAATGTGGCACATATACAGCATGGAATATTATGCAGCCATAAAAAAGGATGAGTTCATGTCCTTTGCAGGGACATGGATGCAGCTGGAAACCATCATTCTCAGCAAACTATCACAAGGACAGAAAACCAAACACCACATATTCTCACTCGTAGGTGGGAACTGAACAGTGAGAACACTTGGACACAGGACGGGTAACATCACACCCTGGGGCGTGTCGTGGGGTGGGGGGCAGGGGGAGGGATAGCATTAGGAGAAATACCTAATGTAAATGACGAGTTAATGGGTGCAGCAAACCAACATGGCACATGTATACCTATGTAACAAACCTGCACGTTGTGCACATGTACCCTAGAACTTAAAGTACAAAAAAAAATGTAGACATACAAAAAAAAAAATAAAAAATTACTTTGTAACTTAGACCATTATAGTTAACAACTGTTAAAAATAAAAGTAAAATTGAAAGATTATGTTTTCAGATGGTATTACTAATTTATTAGAGCTTCTATAACAAAGCATCACAGTCTGGGTGCCTTAAACATCAGAATTTGTTTCCTCACAGTTCTGGAGGCTGTAAGTCCAGGTTCAAGGTATGTGTAGGCTGGTTTCTCCAGAGAACTCCTTGGCTTGCAAATAGCTCCTTTCTCACTGTGTCTTCACATTCATTTCCTGTCTTTGCCTGCATCTCTGGGCTTTCTCTCCCCCCGCCTCTTTTTTTGGTTTAATAAGGACAGTGGTTCAATCAGGTTAGGGGCCTGCCCCTCTTGCCTCATTTAATATTAATCATCTCTCTCAGGTTCTGTCTCCAAATGCAGTCACATTCTGAGGTATTGGGGATTAAAAGTTCAACATACACATTTTGAAAAGACGTAATTCAGTCTATACAGAAGGAAATGTTTTGGCCTGGTCCCTCCATATTATTTGGGATGGGAGACAAAGAGAAGAGGGAGAGCTGAAGAATGAAAGAAAAATTCTTGGAAAAAGGAGAGGCTCAGGGAAACAAAAATCCCTAATAAATTAGCTATTGTTAATAGTTAAAAACTACAAAGGGTAGCAACAATAATATTACTACCCACTAACATTTATTGGTTACTTATTATTAGGGTTTTCTTGATGATTAAGTGAGATAATCATGTAAGACTTCAGCAAAATTCAGAGCACACAGCAAACGTTCAATAAATGTTATGTATTTTTATGATTTCTCAGTTTGTGTTGTTCCTTCTTCTGGAAATGGCAAGCAGTGGCTCAGAAGCTTAATTTTCTACAAATATGTAACTGTTAAAAATATATGGTGCTGTATTATCAAGTTTGTTTCAAAAAGTACAATGCCAAATGGAGGTTAGAAGAGGTGTGCTGAATGTGTAATGGAAAGTACTGGTTGTCATGGTAAAGAAAGCCTTGAAGTAAACAGAGCACGTTTTATTTAATTTTAACTCTTATCCAAATGTCTATGAGACTCTTCTCTCATTTGGAAAAGGATATAAGGTACAAAAAATTGATTTCTTATCAACAGGACATTTGACAAATATGCTATATATGTGTAAGCAAGAAGGGAAAAATTGTTTTAAGTTCCATTTTAGTTGAGGGTAAAAGGAGACAAGATGAAACTGTGTCATAGACAAGCTTTTTGATATTACCCTCCAAGTTCTCTACCACTCTTTCTGTTCCAAGGGAACACCTGCAGTAAATAATAGTAACAGTCCTTCTTTTGAGTACCTGCAATAAGCCACACACTGGCTTTTTCTTCCTCCCAACAACCCAGTAAAATAGGAAACTGTGTCTCAGAGGGGTTAAATGTCACAATAAGTTCAAATAGCTGTAAATGGGTGAACTTAGATTAAAATCCAAGTTTGCTGAGTTGAAATCTCATCCTCTTTCTGCTAAAGGCATGTTTATTTATTCAGTGGTTATTGGGAGAAGTGAAGACACAGACCTAATCCAGTGATGCATCATTGCTGAGCACAGTCTGAGGCTTACTGCCTATCTTCCTCAGGAGCTCTCAGAACTGGGACTCTGTCCCACGTGGTTACTGGGTAGGCCAGCTGGGTAACCCACCTATGACCTTCCCGTCAGTCACCGTTCCGTGCTTTCCTGTGTGCCATTCTTACTAATCTTAGGGACTTTAGTAACAACCTCCCAACTCACTCCCCTGTCTCCAGTCAGTTCTTAATCAGAGTTATCCTCTATATACACTGCTGTATGCTCAGATTTTCTGAAGCACTGACTATTTACTAAATGTGGTTATTATAGAATTTGGAGGAAAAGGAAAGCAAAGTGGCAACTCAGGTTCTAAAATAAGAATAAAAAAATATTGGGTTCTAGTGCTTGCTCTCCCATTAACTTCCTGACCTTGAGTAAGTCTCTAATCTAGTTTTTTTAAACCATAGCTCATATGTGTAGCCGTTCTGATTATACTAACATTTTCTGTTAGTGCAGTCAAGTTTCAGAAATAGAGTTTGTTATGAAGACATCCCAAATCTAGCTAAAAAGCCTCTAGATAATGCTTTCCAAATGCCTTATATTTCTCAAATTATGAACCTTTGTATTAAGATTTATCTTGAAAATCTGTCACTGTTTTAAATCATTTTCTTGATGTGAATTTCTAATTCAGAGAGGCAGTGGGACTTGTCTAAGATTTCGCAGGGGCTGAAGATCTGAGCCATAAAGGGACCATGTGGTAGATGCATTTCATCTTAGGAGGTGGTGATATAGTTTGGATATTTGTCCCTTCCAAATTTTGTGTTGAAAATTGTTCCTCAGTGTTGGAGATGTGGACTGGTGTTTGGGTCATGGGGGTGGATCCCTTATGAATGTCTTGGTGCCGTCCCTGCAGTAATGAGTGAGTTCTTGCTCTATTCATTACCTTATGATCTGACTGTTTAAAAGCAGCCTGGCCTCTCTCTTGCTCACCCTGCTCCCCATTCCCCTTCTGTCATGATTGGAAGCCTCCTGGGACTCCACCTGAAGTAGATGCTGGTGCCATGATTCTTGTACCGTCTGCCCAGCCATGAGCTAAATAAACCTCTTTACTTTTTAAATTACGTATGATAATTCAGATATTCCTTTATATATTCAGATATTCCTTTATAGGAAGGGTCCCCAACCTCAGGGCCACAGACTTCGACTGTTTCATGACCTGTTAGGAATCAGGTCGCACAGCAGGAGGTGAGCAGAGGGCAAGTGAGCATTACTGCATTACTGCCTGAGCTCCACCTCTTGTAAGATCAGTGGCGGCATTAGATTATCATAGGAGCAGGAATCCTTTTTTGACCTGCACATGCAAGGGATCTAGGTTGCATGCTTCTTATGATAATCTAATGCCTGATCTGTTTTTTTTTTTTTTTTTTTTTTTTTTTTTTTTTTTTTTGAGACGGAGTCTCTGTCGCCCAGGCTGGAGGGCAGTGGCACGATCTCAGCTCACTGCAAGCTCCGCCTCCCAGGTTCACACCATTCTCCTGCCTCAGCCTCCCAAGTAGCTGGGACTCCAGGTGTCCACCACCACGCCTGGCTAATTTTTTGTATTTTTAGTAGAGATGGGGTTTCACCATGTTAGCCAGGCTGTCTCCATCTCTTGACCTCGTGATCTGCCCACCTCAGCCTCCCAAAGTGCTGGGTTTACAGGCGTGAGCCACTGCGCCCGGCCGACACAGGTATTTTCATGCTAGGTGCACACATGATTATTTTCCATCAATGAACTTGTAGTATGAAATAGCATAGTGATATGCATATTCTCTCTTGTATTCTCTTCAATTCCTTCTGATCACCTGAATGAGAGAGTATCAGAATTTGGTGATAGTAGGTCTTTAACTCCTTTATAATATTTGTTAATCTTATCTAATAAGGAAACGGATCTCAGCTTCCCAGCCTTCAGCCTTGATCTCTTGACCTTGTGATCACCCGCCTAGACCTCCAAAAGTGCTGGGATTACAGGCGTGAGCCGCTGTGCCCGACCCTAATGCCTGATCTGAAGTGGAACAGTTTCATCCCAAAACCATCACCACCCACCCCGCCCCAACCCCCCCAGGTCCATGGCAATATTGTCTTCCATGAAACCAGTCCCTAGTGCCAAAAAGCTTGGGGACCACTGCTTTATAGCAATGCAAAATGGACTAATATGGTGGCTTTGTTTATAGGCCTCAATTGTGGCACATGAGGTAAGGAAAAGATGTCTGAAACTGCTGGGAAAATAGCTCTATATTTCTTTTGCCAAATATATATAAACTCAATTCAAAGACAGAATTCCTAATTGGAGTTTCAGCAATTTCTAAGGGTGTTTAAATAAAATAATTAGTGAAATAGTCAAAATCATAACATCTTATTTGATTGAACTTTGTGTACCTTCAGAGTTGGTATTCTATCTAGTATGGAACAGCTAAACAATGTAATCAGAAAGGCTGTACTACGAAAATCAAAGTGAAGATTACAGATTCATTTTTCTCTTCTCTGATAGAAAACTAATATACAAATCAAGGCTGAAACAAACAGAAAATGGGAGGAAAGTGGACAAGAAAGAGAAACACAAAATATTAGAACTAGATGAGCATGTGGTACTCCCATTTGTTTTTCACATGGGGAAGCTGAGGCATGTAAAATGGCTGGTCTAAAATTATTCTTATATCAAATACCTGAATTCTATAGTCTAGTGGAGCTTATGGACAAGACAAAAGCTTGGCTTGATACCCAAGTCTCCAACATTTTGCCTGTCATTATTTTTGTGTCGTGGTTGAGAAAAATGGCTCTGAAGTCAGACAAAACAAGTGTTCACTATGCACTAGTGATGACTTTGGATGAGTTAATTAATTTGTCTAAGGCTCATTTATTCATCTGTAAAAAAAAAGGGGGGAAAATAATATCTACCTCGTAAAGACATTGTGAGGATACAGTCATGTAATGCTTGTAAACTGCTCAGCTCAGAGCCAGGCATAGAGTACTCAATGAATATTAACTGTCACAAACATCATCAGTATTATATTATCATTTTCACCACAATGCCACGCTTTCTTACCATTTCCTTTTGTGAGGTCATGGGCATAACTGCTCTCAGCACTGAGTACAATCTAGAAAGACATTGCCAGGGTTTTCTCAACTTCTGTGATGATAACAATCACTTTCTGTCCTTGTTCATCAGGGCCTCCAAATCCCCTCCCTCATCTAGAAATTCTGATTTAGTAGGTCCTGGGTTGGGATCAGGATACTGTTTTTAATAAGTGACCTAAATGATTGCTTAGACAGGGACTCACATCTCACAAGGCTATCTCATCACCCTTTAACAATTCCATGATCAAACTTGGGGGACAAAAAGCAAGAGCAAAAACAATGAGAATTCTTCTTCCCTTTCTCTCTCTTTTCTACTCTAAAATAGTGAGGACTGGAGAATTATACACTGGAGAATCATGATGTTCCAGGCACTCTTCATGACACAACTTGCAGAGTCCCTCCAACATTTCTATGATGTGGATGCTGTCACTTTATATATGAAGAAAAAACAATTTATGCTAAGTCATATGGGGTGATATCTAGCCCATAGCAAGTGCTCAGTTAATATTTATTGCATGAATGAATAAACCTTTTTTTTTGCTTTGTTTTACAAATTAAAGCAATTACACATTGCAGCTTATTCAAGACAAAATTATGAAATGATTGACATTTATTGCTGATACTCTCATGCTTTCTTTCTGCTCTTCCTTCTGTTATAGTTGTCCAGTGTCCTAGGACTTGTCATATCCAGACCCTGACTTTTCAGAGAAAGGGACCCATGTTGTTAGGGTCTTAACTATGGTAGTTTGAGAAATTCCTTCCATGCATAAAATTGGTTTCAAATTAGATGGTTATGAGTCAAAATAATTTGATTTAAAAAAACTCATGGTGGTGGGGAGGGGTTCAATAGGTGAAGTACAGGAGATATTTTTAGGGTGGTGACACTATTCTGTATAATACCATAATAGTGGATGCATGACACTCTGAATTTGTTTAAGTACATAGAACTTTACAGCACAACAAATTTAGAAAATAATTTAGGAGGTTGCAAAATTTTGGGGTGGAATGTGGAATATGACAAAATAGTTTAACTGTGTTACAAATGTGTGAACTACTTAATTGGGCAGGGGAAAAACGTGTTGACCTAAATAATGTTGGAAATAAATAGAGTCTGTAAGACTAAAGATAAAAGAAACTGTCCATAAGCACCATGCCCTGGTTGATACAGTTGTTTCCCATGAAGGTGTGGTTGAACAATTCTGATACCACTATGCTTGTACACTGGCATTAAACAATTAAGTAAATGGATGGTGGACAGTGGGATTCAGGTTTCTCACTGTTGGAGAGGGAAGTTAAGGATAAACAACATCAGAGGGCTAGAATGATCCATGGGATAAAAAATTAAAGTTGGAGATATCAGCATTAACTCATCTTTAGCTTATATAGATATGGCTGGTTTCGCATAGAAATATTCATAGATATGCACATAGAAATATTCATAGACATGCATATAAACATGGGTTAGTACATGTGTTTCCTTGTTCTGTCAGCTGAAAGGGCCTATAAGAAAGGACATCCCAGTGGAAGTCAGCACATGTTATGCATAGATATTGGCTTGTAACAACATTCCCCATTAAAAGAAACCAGAGCTCCTGGGAGAAGTGGCTGATATTACAATAGCAGAAGAAATATACAAGTTGGGCCTGAGTACTTTGTAGTGCCAGAAGGTTAAGAAGGACTAAAAGACCCCACAATTATGAAGGTATGTCAATGTCACAGGGACACAGAAACCAACTTAAAGAGTTGCCAATGCACAGAAACCAACTTAAAGAGTTGCCAATGACCAAAGCTGGAACAATATGAGGAATAAAATAAATTAGTATTAGATTATATCTCAAATTATAAAATGAATATTCATGAGTCCATACTCCTATAAACAAGTGCTTGAATAAATAATGGGAGAGAAGAGAAAAATCTCCTAGGCAGAATAGTTCCAAATAATTTATTTAGATACTTGAATCTTAAGGAGATCTAACATAACTCTCCACTTCTTGAGTGTGGGCTGTGCAGTCTCTTCTTTTCAAAGAATACAATCTGAAAAGTGGGAAAAAGATAAACTTCACTGTGGAGAAACTTGACAACACTACCTCAGCCAGGTAATCAAGGTCAACATCAACAGTGATAAATCATATTGACAGTGTTATGTCCCTAATATGATAAGAATGGGACTTTCCTTTCGTGGTCATCCTCCCCAAACTCAAAATCCCAGTCTAAGCATTAAAAAACTTGAGGAATGTTCTATAAAACACCTAACCAATATTCCTCAAAACTGCCATGGTCATCAAAAATAAGGAAACTGTCACAGCCAAGAAAAGCCTAATAACCATGAAATGTGATATTTTTGATGAGAAAATAGATCAGAAAAAGAACATTAAGTGAAAAATAATAAAAATATTTAAGCTTTAGTTAATCATAGGGTATCATTATTGGCAACCAGTGTGTCATATTAACTTGTAACCGATATTAATAATTGAGGAAACCAGGTGTGGGATATATGGATGCTTTTGTATGATCTTCCCAATTTTTCTGTAAATCTAAAACTATTGTAAGATATAGAAATTATTTATTTTAAATGGTGGAAAACATGTTCCTAACTCAAGTGAAATCTGGTATTAAAATGCTCTTGTTTACAAACATCTGTTAACATATTTGAGTTTCAATGTTCAGATGCGTATTTAGTGCCAAGAAAATGCTTCCAGGATAATATTTAAACCCAAATATGCTCATTACTCCTGAAAAAATGTCTCCTTTACTAAAACAGCTTTGAGATTCATGGTTTAAAAGGCTTCTGTTGTTGGAACTAGAACCCTTCACCTATGTGACTTGTACGATGGCAGCAGAAGCAGCTGTTAGGATTACAGTCTACTTAGATTTCTTAATAATTTATTTTAAGGCTTATAATAATTTGTTTTAAAGTTTTCCACAGAGGAGAGGGAGAAAAGTATGCTTGGGAATAGTGAGCTATTTGTATTTTTTTGCTTTAGTCCTTTTTGTGCTGTTATAACAGAATACCACAGACTGGGTAATTTATAAACTTTTATTTTTCACAGTTCTGGAGGCTGAGAAGTCCATGATCAAGGGGTTGGCAGGTTCAGTCTCTGGTTCCAAGATGGTGTCTTGTTGCTGCATCCTCCAGAGAGGAGTAACATTTTGTCCTCACGTGGCAGAATAGTGGAAGAGAGAGAACCCACCCCTGAAATCCTGTTTTATAGCTGTATTAATCCACTTACGAGTTCAGCACTTTCACGACCTAAACACTCGCCAAAGACGTCATCTTCCAACACTGCTGCAGTGGGGATCATGTTTCTAACACATGATTTTGGAGAACATATTCAAACCATTGCAGTGTTATCAGCTTTTTCCTACTTCTTCACTGTAATACTAGAGTTCACATTTACTGAAAAGGGAACATACAAACTGAATTGAGTGTGTTTAGAGATCTGATATAGATTTTTTAAATATGAATTTTGTTGAAAAACAGTCCTCAATAATCCTTTGTCATGTGGATTTTTTTCTATGTAAAAATACTTATTCTGTTTCTAAGCCTTAATCTTGAAATGATACTTTCTAATAATACCAATATTTAAAAAAACTTAACAGATAACATAATACTTTATCATATTTTTGAAACAAGACTTGGAGCTTCCATATAATAAGTAAACATTTAATACAGAATTATTTGGGAACTCATCATTGTAATTAGTGTACATTACCAAATATTGATTGAGCCAGTTAGTAATTATAATCTATCAGCAAATTAGGGTATTAATATGTGCATTTAAATAGGTAAGTGATATGCTTTAAAATAACTACTTATTTAGCTTGTGAGAATGATTTGAATAATTTAAAATAGGTGTTTTTTCCCACAAATTTTTGCAGGAATTTCAAGCACTCTTTTAGAGTGTTCAATTTTAATTTAAATGTGGAGTGGTGTGAGCAAAAGTCTTGCAAAAATCACAATATTAATTTCCAATTTTCCTCAGTTTGGAATGCCCTTTCTCAATTTTGCATGTAAAATCTTTAAAGTTGTGCCTATAAATGCCTTTCCTTGATAGCCTTATAATTGTCCAGATGCATGTAATTTTCCCCTCTTCAGAAGCCCTGCTAACTTATCAGATAAATCGATTACAAACAGGAAAAAAATTCTTACATCTAGCTTGTCTCAAGGGAAGAGACTCCAGAGAAAGTCAATACAAAGATTTCTCTCTTAATAAAGGCATAAGGAAAACAATGCAAAGAAATGAATGTCCAATCAAAGATTGTCAGGAGAGACTCACAGGCTGACTTCAGGGCATTGTATCTTTAAACATCTGGTTTATGACTACCAGACAATACGGATTGAGAGGATGAGGTAGATTTCATTTTTTAGGAGGTTGTTAATGTGATTAAAAGCTATCAGATAATTGTTCAAACATTTTATCAGGAATTCCAGTTACAGTATTCTCCCTTTATCCATGGTTTTGCTTTCCATGGTTTCAGTTGCCCTTGGTAAACTGTGGACTAAAAATATTAAACAGAAAATTCTAGAAATAAACCATTCATAAATTTTAAGTTGCATGCCATTCTGAGTATCATGATTAAGTCTTGCACCATCCTGCTCCATCCTGGCCACGACATGAATCATCCCTTTTTTCAGCAAATCCATGTTTTATATGCTATTCTCCCATTAGTCACTTCATCACCATCTCAGAGTTTTCAGATCAAATAAACATACCATACATTGGGTTTAGTATTATCTGAGGTTTCAGACTGCCACTGGGGGTATTGAAACTTATCCCCAGAGGATAAGGGGGAACTACTATACTTTCTAGGAGGGGTTATAAACAATATCATGCAAAAGAGTTCTGTTCTGGGTGACATTTAGAAAATTGTCTTTTCCCTGCACTGAAGGGCTTATCTGAAACAAAGCACTTGGTGGTAGACTGCATAACACAAGAAGCAGAGGAATATTACACGTTTTATTGGGAGAATTTTTGGAGGGAACATTTTCTTTTTTCTCTCGTATAGCGTTTTGCAACACATACATGCACCAGTAAACTAAGAAAATGTCTCTTCTACTGATCAATTTCATGTTTTCACACTTAGGTTCTATGCAAGCCCAAGGAACAGAATGCTTTTACGTGTCTGAGTAACAAGAGGATTTTATACTTGTGTGACTTCACACACATTGTGGTGTTTGTCCTGCATTGAATCAAAGTGAAGGAGGTCATAATTCTGATCATAAAACAGCACATTAATATCATTAATCAGCTGCAATAGATGAGCAAAAACTGCTGATTATTTATTTATTTAATTTATTCATGTGTGTTTGTTTAGATACATAATATTTGTGCATATTTATGGGGTGTATGTGATATTTTTATACATGCATACATTATGTAACGATTAAATCAGGGTATTTAAAATGGATATTCATTCACCTCAAACATTTCTCATTTATTTTTGCTGGAAACATTTCAAACCTTCTCTTTTAGCTATTTGAAATACACAGTATATTATTGTTAACTATCACCACCTTACTGTGCTACAACACTAGAACTTGTTCCTTCTAGCCACCTGTATATTAGTACCCATTAACCCACCTCTTATTACTCCTCACCCTACCCATTCCAGCCTCTATCATTCTACTCTCTAGCTCCATGAGATAAAAATTGTTAGCTCTCACATATGAGTGAGAACATGCAATATTTGTCTTTCTGTGAAGAGCTTATTTCATTTAACGTAATGACTTCGACTTCCATCTATATTGCTGCAAATGAAAAGACTTCATTCTTTTTTATGACTGGATAGTAATTCATTGTAAATTAACATTTTCTTTGTCCATTTATCTACTGATGGACATTTAGATTAATTGCATATCTTGGCTATTGTGAATAGTGTTACAATAAACATGGGGGTGTTAGTACAACTTTGATATACTGATTTTCTTTCCTTGGGATACATACCCAGTACTGGGATTGCTAGATTGTATGGTAGTTTTAACTTTAGCTTTTTTTTTCTGAGAAACCTCCATAATCATTTCTATAACGACTGTACTAATTTACATTTCCACCAACAGTGTATAAGAGTCCCCTTTCCTCTGCATCCTCATCAGCATTTGTTATTTTTTAAGACTGTTGTTTCTGGAAAGTTTACTTGCTACCTTGGAAATTGGAGGTGCCTGTTTCCCCCTCAGTACTGATTACCTGTACAAAAAAGCACAGGCTTCCACAAATCAATTTAGCTTCCGATATATTCATTCAAATGTTTTATTCACAAACAAGAGACTATCCTCAATTCAGTTCCCATGTAACAAAAGAAGCCCCAAATTTATGGGTATTGAGGTTTCTAGTTTCTTCTTTTATCTCAAATTGCAATAATTTCACTTGCAACAAGAAACACAAATTGTTAAATAAAATAGGACATTTTAAGTGTATGCTTAAAACCAGTGAAACTAAGGCAATGAGAGAAATTCTGAATAATTTTGAATCACTAATGCTTTTGCCAAAAAAGATATTGATGCTGATACTACATTAAACTTAATAGTGGAACAGTGGAAAACATGATAGCAATTCCAATGACAATTAGAACTCCTTGTACTCAATTTTTAGTAACTGACAGAGTGAGCAGACAAAAAATCTAGGAGGGTATTTCAGCATATGCACAATATACAATATATTTTCTCAGCTGCTTGGGAAAATGGAAGGCTACCTAATATTTTCCTTAACCATTGTTTAAAACAAGAAAATAAACACCAGCATAATTTTGTCATTTTATAAAGGTTTCTTAAGTATTCTTAGAGCAATAGTGTGAATGTTTGTGTAACCCTCAACTTCATATGTTGAAATCCTAAACTCTTGAGATGATGGTATCAAGAAGTGGGGCCTTTGGGAGGAGATTAGGGAAATAGCCTATGCCTTTATGAATGGGATTAGTGTTTGTATCAAAGAGGTCTGAAAAAGATCCCCTATCCTCTTTGCCTTGTAAGGTTACAATGAGAAGGTGCCATCTATGAAGGTAATGGGCGTTTACCAGTCACTGATTTTGTTGGCACCTTGACCTTGGACTTCCCAGCCTCCAGAAATACGAGAAATAAAGTACTGTTGTTTATAAGTCACCCAGTCTATGCTATGTTTTAATAGCAGCTTGAAAGAACTAAGATACACAGAGTGATGAACTCCGGACTTGTGTTAATTTGCAAAATAATTTGTGATAAAATAATTAGTTCAGCCACTGTGGAAAGCAGTTTGCAGATTTCTCAAAGAGGTTGAAACTACCACTCAACCCAGCAATCCCATTACTAGGTATATATCCAAAGGAAAATAAATTGTTCTGCCAAAAAGACACATGTGCTCATATGTTCATCACAACACTCTTCACAATAGCAAAAACAGAATCAACCTAGGAGCCCATCAATGGTGGACTGGATAAAGACAATGCAGTACATATACACCATGGAATACTATGCAGCCATAAAAAGGAAAAGGAACAAAAGCAGGTACTTTGCAGCCATATGAATGTAGCTGGAGGCCATTATCCTAAGCATATTAGTGCAGGAACAGAAAACCAATACTGCATGTTCTCACTTATAAGTAGGAGCTAAACACTGTGTACACATGGACATAAAGATGGGAACAATAAACACTGAGGCCTACTAGAAAGGGGAGAGAAGGGGGAAAGGAAGGCCTGAAAAACTATCTATTGGGTACTATGTTCACTACCTGGGTGACAAGATCATTTGTACCTCAAACTTTGGCATTACGCAATATGCCCATGTAGCAAACCTGCACATATTCCCCCGAACCTAAAAAAAAGTTGAATTTATATAAAAAATTAACCTTAGCTTACTGTAATTGCTTTACTTTATAAACTTTAATTTTTTAATCTTTTGACTTTTTTATAGTAACATTTAGCTTAAAATCAAACACAATGTGCAGCTCTACAAAAATTTTATTCTTTATACCCTTATTCTATAGCTTGTTTTAAGACCCTTATTTATTTATTATTTTAATTTTTAAACTTTTTGATTAAAAAGTAAGATACACACACATACATTAGCCTAGGCCTACATGGGATCAGAATCATCAATATTACTGTGTTCCACTGCAACGACTTTCCCGCTCCTCATTATTGTCTCACTGGAAGGTCTTCAGGGGCAATAACATGCATGACACTATCATTTCCTATAATAACAATGCCTCTTCTTTTTTTAAACTATTTTGTGAAGAATCTACTATATTTAACAAAAATCTCAAATATCCCACAATTTTATTAACTATAGTCCTCATGTTGCACATTTGACCTCTAAACTTATTCAAACATTAATGTTATTGTTACCATCAGTCTCTGGATGTAAAACATTATTAGTTAGAAGAGTAAAGTCATGCTGAAAACTGTAGACTTGCTTTTCACAATCACATTTACCTCATTCGTTTGCCCTGATACCCAAATACAAATGATAGTTGTTATACACATTGAAACTACTGATTAGCTGTAATTATTTTTAAGATGGACAAATGAACCACACATTAAACTCTTGAACTTGCCAGCAAGGGGAATTAAATTACTCTTTAAAACTTTAACCAGAATATCAATTATAAACAATGCCTTCTTTTAGAATACCTCCAGAAAGACCTGCCTGAGGCTGTTTTACAGTTAACTTCTTTATAAGTAGGAATACATTCTAAAAGTTTAGTATAGTAAATATAATCATTTATTATCGTTATCAAGTATCATGCACTATGCATAATTGTATGTGCTCCACTTTTATATGACTGGTAGCACAGTAGTTTTGTTTCCAACAGAATCACTGCATTGCTCTTCGACATTACCACTGTAATAGGAATTTTTCAGCTGTATTCTGATCTTATTTATCTATTCAGCTCTATTATGATCTCCATTATCTATGTGGTCCATCATTGACCCAAATGTCCCTGTGTGTTGCAAGATTGTGTAAGTATTTTAGTGCACATATGATTGAGAAAGCTACATGGACATGTGTAGATAGGGCACAGGTATTAACAAGCTACACAATGGGAACGGGAAACTTGATCATGGCTTCTAGGCTTCCTTGATTAACCACTGGACATGGTCATTTGAATTTTTCTTTTGACTTTTTGGTGAGTACAATGGGGCAATTTAAAAATAGTTTTAGGCTGGACATGGTGGCTTACACCTGTAATCCCAGCATTTTGGGAGGCCGAAGAGGGAGGACTGCTTGATGCCAGGAGTTTGAGAGCAGCCTAGACAACATAGCGAGAGCACATTTGTACCAAAAAAAAAAAAAAAATTAGCCAGGCCTGGTGGCACATGCCTATTGTTCAAATTACTCAGGAAGCTGAGGAAGGAGGATCGTCCAAGCCCAGGAGTTTGAGGCTACAGTGATCTAGGTTCACACCATTGCACTCCAGCCCGGGTGACAGAGTGAGACCCTGTCTCTAACAAAAAACAAAAACAACAACAAAAAAATAGTTTTAAAATGTATTTGAATACACGTCTTTTAGAAAAATGTATAAGGAAATAGGAACATATTATCAAATACCTCACTTTCCACCCTATCATTTCTGCCTTAGCCAGCAGAAGTGGCTGATTAGTGTAAACAAATTTAGAGACTGAATTTGCTTTCTTCATAAAATGGATCACAATACCAGGAGAATGAAACCGTGTTGGGTAAAATACAGTTTAACAATCAAGAAAGCCTTACAGAGTGGTTTTTGTAGTAGATAATTTCTCAAGGTTACACACTTTTAATCAACAATTGAAAGGCAAAAACTGTAAGTATTTTTACTGAGCATAAAATGATCGCTGCAATGCAAAACAAGTATGAGCAATGGAAGAAACAAACCGACGATGGAGACTGCGAGTCATTTGAGGCTATGGATTCATTAAGATGTGATGAAAATCAATTAACAAAGACATAAAACTCATCAGTGACCTTTAATCCTGCCTCCCCGCCCACCCCACACAGCCTATCGTGGTATTCTGCTGCGAAAGTAAAACATACATGAACCACTATGGTCTATGATATGGCCATAACATTTGGCCTATGAAAAAAGAAGGTGCTTGTGGAAACTTTCATTGAATTTTACTGATTCTTCCACAGCATTCTGCTCTCACTTGCATAACAGTGACAGAGTAAAAGCACTGTTTTGACATTATATCCACAGACCTATTTTTGCATTTGCCACAATGTTTGCTAAGTCTAGCCTTGACACCATCTAGTCTCAAACATTTCAGAGAAAATAGCTTATGATTACCGACCAACTTTAACAACTTTCTTTGAGAATGTTAGAGGAATCCTAGTTAGGAAATAGTCTAACACTTCCCCTTCTCTCCCATTTTACAGATGTAAAGTAAACTTCACTTCCCAGAGAAGTGAAGAGGTGAGTCCAAGGCAGTACACTCTTAAGATTTGTGGATCAATCCATCCCTGTTTTGTTTACCAACCACCATTAAACACACAAAAGTTTTATCAAGGCACAAATAGGATATCAAAACAATTCAAGACTTCAGCATCTTCTGAGAGCCGAGCACTTGAGTACCCACGTGGTGATGGGGAAAAGTAAGGAGAAAACACCATATGGGCACCATCCTGATTATGAAACTGGCCCAATTGTCTCACAGAACTAATGTTTTTGGTTTCTTTTGAATAGAAATTGATCCTCCCAGTCCTAAAATTTGAGAAAGTTACATTTGTCTTATCTGAGTCTCTTTCTCAGGAAACCAACCATCAGTCCTCCCAGATAGTATCAAGGAGCTGAAACTCACCAAATCACCACGTCTGGACAATGAGACATCAGACCCCTCACCCATCATGACTGCCTAACTGACCACCTGCTTCCTGTTGACCAACTCCTCTTCTTTACCCCTCCCTAATTCCTGTTTTACTACACACAGTTACATTTCTTCCCTGTTACATAAACACTGAATTTTAGTCCATCAGGGAGATGGATTTCACACCTATCTCCTCTGCTATGGCACCCGCATAAGGCCTTTTTCCCTGGCAATCCTCGTTGTTTCAGTGATCAGCTGTCTATACAGTGAGCAGCAGGACTTAGATCCAATGCCTGGCATTTTGGTAACAAATTCTTTACCTCTTACACCTACATTTCCAGCCTTGATGTCTGCACAAGGGAAATTTGTTTATATTGGATGCTCTGATGTGGTGCTCCCAGTCTGAATCTACCAAATTATTACTCATTTCTGTGGTCACCATGATGGCAGCAGCTGCTCCAGATGGCCTGTCAAGCCATCATGCTGGCTGCAGCAGGGAGGCGCAGCCAGGGCTGCAAGCTCCTTGGAGCCAGTGGGAGCAGGAGACAAGTGGGATCCCCACCACTTCCTGGCTGTGGACCCAGGCCTCCCACTCCAAAGAGCAGGCAGAAGCCCCGCCCTCCTAGGCAAGGCTGCAGGAACCCAAGTTGCAGATAGCAGCCTCCTCCCTGCTCTGGAGGGCAGGGAGCAGGCAGGACCCCTGCCCTCCAGGGTGCAGCTGCAGCTGCCCAAACTGTGGCTTAAGACTCAGGCATCCCTGCACCCTTGGGGATCCAGGAAGGCCTCCCTGTCATCAGGCTGGTAAGTATCTCTTCCCACTGCCTGGCTTCTCCCTGCTGTCGGTGCCTGCTCATCTTGGAGCAAAGTCCAGAGGAGTCCTGAGCCCCAGTGACATGAATGGCAGCAGGAGGCAGACAGATTTCTGGTCAGGAGGGAGAGGTCCCTGGTGAAGCCCCACCTTCAGGCTGGGGGCCAGGCTGCCAGTCCCACTGACAGGAGTGGGAACTTGTGCCTTTTCTGGCCACCCATCACCACCCTGTGACTGACCAGCAGGCACTTCCTCCCCTCTGAGGCCCATAAAAGCCCTGGGCTCAGCCAGAGCTGAGGAGAAGATGGGATGGCCAGCAGCAGAGAGGAGCTATTCACTCTAGGGCCTCCTCTCTGCTGAAAGCTTCAGAGACCTGCAGAAATGTTGGGACTACCAGCTGCAGAGAGGAACCCACTGCAAGGCCTCCTCTCTGCTAGGAGCTGGGGAGATGATGGGACAACCTGACTGCAGAGAGAAGCAACCCTCTCCAGGGCCTCCTCTCTGCTGAGAGTTAAACACTCGATGGGATGACCTGCCTACAGAGAGGACCTGCCTACTGCATGTCTCCTCTGAGCTATACTAACACTCAATAAAGCTCCTGTTTGTCTTGCTCAGCCTCCACTTGTCTGCATACCTCATTCTTCCTGGACACAGGACAAGAACTTGAACAAAGGCACCACTGGCCACAGAGGTTTCTGGCCAAAATGTGACACCCTAAAGATCTCATAACAACCATAACTTTGGGTAGTGTAGATAAGTCTTGACACACACAAAAAGTGAATATTTTAAATCACCATTGTTCTTACCTGCTCCCCTTCTGGGCCAGCTATAGGAAATACTCTTTTGAAGGACATTTGGGAATTTACTGGGTATATTTAGTTCCTGAAAGAATCTCAGTAACTAGGGGGTAAATCACTTAACTTAGTTAAGTTTCAGGAAGCATCAAGCCACAACTGTATGCTGTCTACAGCTACTGGAAGTGACTCCCTCATTCACAATACTCAGGGCATAGCTCCAAGTATTTGCCATCTTACTCACAAGTCAGGGATGACACAGGAACCAAACTTTAGCATGAAAATCATAGTAAGTCACTTTTCAGATTAAGATAGCTTTTCAGGTTTTGGGAATTCACCTACATGGAAACCACTGAAGCCACTGTGGATATTTTGACAATAAACTGTGCTAAAGTGAGTCAAATAAAAAACAAATCTGACATAGATACACATTAACTCTCTAGTTTGGTAAGTTGCATGAGCAGATTTTTAAAAACAATATATAATGAATATTTTGAATTTAAAATAAATTAGATTAAAACAATTACTGATTAGATAGCTCACCTTCCTCAAGAGCTATTCTATCAATGATTTTAATAGCACTTTATCTACACTTGATGAGTTCTTAATTATAATAATTTGGTTTCAAAAGTCAGGGATTTCTTTTAAACAAGTGACAATAACAATGAATATTCTTATGAAGATATTTCATAGTTAAATTTAGCCACTTCACAATGAATACATTTCAAAACATCATGCTATAAACCATAACTATATATAATTTTTATTTGGCCATTTAAAATAAATAAAGAAAGATATTCTATTTTGCCTTATTTGTGGATCATAATAGATTATATCTAATAATCTATTCGGGTTTTAAAGAAGAGACATTTTGTAATCTCCATATATATATGTGTGTGTGTGTATATATATGTGTGTGTATATATATATATTTATGTGTGTATATATATATTAAAATTCTATTTAAAAGGTTAATTTTTTTATAACAGGCTGTCAGAGCAATGAATACATGTGATTGATGTTTTTCTACCCTTAGTTTCTGATTCATGATAATGAGATTGTGTGAAGATCTTCATGCTCATGCTGGGTATTCTCTACATCATGAAACTGTTGCAGGAAGTGCAGAGCTAGTAAGGTTCCAAACAGTAATTGTGACTTTGTTAAAGTGAAAACTTTTTTTTTTTTTTTTTTTTTTTTTGAGACAAAGTCTGGGTCTATCACCCAGGCTGCAGTGCAATGGCACAATCTTGGTTCACTGCAACCTCTGCCTCTGAAGTGGGGTTTCCTGATGATGCCCAGCTGCTCTTGAACTTGTGAGCTCAAGCGGTCTGCCCACCTCGGCCTCCCAAAGTGCTGGAATTACAGGCATGAGCCACTGCACTCTGCCTTGGAGCGAAAATATTGAATGTGATATTGCTTTCAATGTTGACCACTGATTACCAAGATGCGTCTTAAGTTTTGAAGCAGTTTCTCTTTTCATTCAGAGATTACATGCAGGGTTTTGATTAGTAGTCACCACAATGATATTTTCTCACATTTTATGTACCTCATACAACCCTTAATGAGGGAGAAGAAAAGGAAAAATCAATTAGGTAGACAGTTAAACCTGGTCCTCAGAGAAGCATCCTGCCTGAAAAATCATGGTTACAGGCAAAAATAGAGCAGCCTGGGGAAAACTCACACTGCATCTGCACAGATAAGCAGGCAGGGTCCAGCACAGAAGCCTTTTGTTCTTTGTGTGATTAATGGGCTCCCAGGAAAGTTTCCTCCATTTTTCAGACACGTACATGGTGGAATCCATGGGAACTTGCACAGGGAAGGGAAATGGGGCTTGCCTAAAACAAACCCACAGTTATACAAACAAGAGCAGCTGTGTTTTGTGCTTACCTGGTGACATCCCGCCTGCATATACAGGAGGCCTTATACAAAGAGCTTTTCAGATAAGAAAGTTTAATCAGACAGCTACAGAGATGAGAGGAATTTCTCATGAAAGCTTTTGGATTCAACTGTAAAAGTGGCAACCCACTCAGACTCCCCTCTCTGCTGTGGAGAACTTTCTTCTTTTGCTTATTAAACTTTCGCTCCAACTTCACCCTTTGTGTCCATGCTCCTTAATTCTCTTGGTCATAAGACAACAAGCTCGGATAATGCCTTAGATGATACCAGTGACCACTGACCTGTTTCACTTATGTTGTACATTAAGTTATGCTGCTTTGTTCTGATTTGCCAAAACAAAAGCAAAAACAGACTGCAGTTCGTTCTCCCCCTCCATTCACTAAGCATATGAACTAGAGTGAGCAGGAGAAGAGAAAAATAAATCTGCTCTTCTTTCTTTCAGGTTCTGTGTGCCTCTCTATGTATAAACCCTCAGCTCACTGAGTGTGAGTCAGTCTGCTGGTCGAAGGTGCACTTTTTTTTTTTTTGCACAATCTGGATGTTATGCCAGTTTTCAAGTGACAAGACTGGAGAAAAAATAGACTGTATTGAACTTACTGAGAGCTGCTCACATTAGCTGTCTCGTGGCATGAGTGGAGTAGAGTTGCCGGATAAAATGCAGGGTGCCCAGTGCTGCAGTCAGAA
The DNA here is from genome assembly GCF_000001405.40 of Homo sapiens. Taxonomy (NCBI): domain Eukaryota; kingdom Metazoa; phylum Chordata; class Mammalia; order Primates; family Hominidae; genus Homo; species Homo sapiens. Next base: position 161,096,966 of record NC_000005.10, read on the forward strand.
TGTGTGAGTCCCTCATAATTTATATGTTGAAAAACTAATTACCAATGTGATGGTATTAGGTGAAGCTTTTGGAAGAGCATTAGATCATGAGACCTCAAGCCTCATGAATAGGACGAACGTCATTATAAAAGAGGACCCAGGGAGCTGCTTTCCACTTTTCCACCATATGAAGCTATAGCCAGAAGACAGCCCTCACCAAACACCGAATCTACTGGCGCCTTAATCTTGGACTTTCTAGCCTCCAGTGCTTTGAGAAATAAGTTTCTGTTGTTTATATGCTGCCTACTGTATGGTGTTTTATTATAGTAGCCCAAATAAATGATGACATCCTGTTAACTTTGAGTTGCAGATAAACAACAAATACTTTTTCAGTATGTTTAGATTTGTGAAATTTGACAACCCTACCTTAAATCCTATAGTTTAAGGGATATTTAAATAATTTTCCATGGGTATTTTTGATATTAACTGATTTCCATTTCATGTTCTGATTTTTTAATGTAACCCTCATGTGAGATAAAACCATTTATACTTTTATAAAATTCATCCATAGCCATCATCTCATTAGATCTCCACAACAATCTTCATAGGGACTCAAATTTTATCTTATGCATCTCTATTTTCCAGATAGGGATGTTGATATTCATAAAGGATAATCATGTTAACTCAAGACCATTTGGAGAGTTAAGAGGCGGGGTTGGGACTTAAATCTAAGTTGTCTATCTTTTAGTCCAATGTTCTCCCTTCCACAAACTCACTCCTGCATGGGAATGAATAATAATTGGTTAATCAGATGAATATATTCTTTATATATATATTTATATGTGTGATATATACTATACATTATAATACTATAAAATAAAATTATATAATAATATTACCTCTTTGATAATGTTGTGCCTTAACATAGTTAAAATGTTTGCTTTTCTTCAAGAGCCTAAACACAGGTGATGTAGGATGTGGTAGCCTTCTACTGAGAGATTCAACAGTCCCATCTGAACACCTTAAAATTTCAGCATGTAGATTATCACCCACTGAAAGCATGCAGTGGCATAATAAAATTGGTGTATTTAGCTCCCATTTATAAGTGAGAACATGTGGTATTTGGTTTTCTGTTTCTGTGTTAGTTTGCTAAAGATAATGGCCTCCAGCTGCATCCATGTCCCTGCAAAGAGCATGATCTCATTCTTTTTTATGGATGCATAGTACTCCTGGACATTTGCGACAACACACACTGGTGCCTTTCAGAGGGTGGAGGGTGGGAGGAGGAGAAAGATCAGGAAAAATAACTAATGGGTACTAGGCTTAATACCTGGGTGGTGAAATAATCTTTATAACAAACCCCCATGACACAAGTTTACCTATGTAACAAACCTACACTTGTACCCCTTAACTTAAAATAAAAGTTAAAAAAAATTGGTGCGTGAATTATGGAAAATATGTTTGACAATAGACCTTTACATAATTAAACTCTTCGGAAAAGCCCTGCCCCCATGCCCACACTCATGCAAGCATGTACTATCCGTGCCTTTTGTTGAAACATATATCTAAATTTCCCTTGACGAAATCACTTTCAGATGGTTCATCTCACTGAGTTTTATGGTTTCGATAGTGTCAACCTGTTTTCTCTTCATATTTTGTTTGGATTTCTGGGAATAGGAGAAATTTGCACAATGCCAATATAATATAATAGTTATTTATTTACAAAAATGTTCTAGATGATTAGTAACACATGCCAGGGCATGTCGTCATGACTGAAGCAGTTTTCAAGTCAGCCATTTCTCTGATGTAATTGTCTCTCTTAATCATTAGAGGCCTTCCTGACCGAAGGGGGGATTTAATGGTAATATCAGGAGGAATAAATTATGAGTGAATAATTTTTTTGATTCTGAAAATGCCCTGAGCATAATGTTCATGACATTGTCAGTTACTGGCTTCTAAAAATGCCATATTTTCAAAGAATGGAACAAACAAGTGCCAACCTAAATGTGGCTCACCAGGGCACACTGAGGTAGAAAAACCTGTAAGACATTAATATATGTGAGGATGTGTGGCTGAAATGTCCCTATCCCCATGCATTTATGAGGGAATGACCTCATTTTCTGTTACTTTATCTGCCTATAAGTCAGCTCATTAAAGCCATTTTCAGTGAAATCCTCAGCATTTTATTCAGTAGACAAGTTCCTCTTCTTCATCAGGGATAGATGGCAGTGAGCAGGCACAGGATGATTTTACTGAGGAAGTCCAAGGAATATGGAAACCGAAAAAAAAAACATTAAGAAAGAGGGGAGAAGCTAGAGGGGAAAGCAGTCAAAGTGAAGGAGAGAGCACTGGTGAAGAAAATATAGCAACTGAGACTTTAAGTCCTTTTTAATAGTGGAAAATTACGACCTATGCTCAAAGGAAAAAGATGCTTTATAAGTTCCTTGGACATCAAATATCATTTTGATACTTGATACTTAAATGAGAGAGAAATGTGCTGCTTAAAGTTCCTTTGAAATCCACATTGGATATAAAACTGAGGTCTAAAAATATTCTTAGCATAAATAAATTTATAGGCTACCAGTTCTGGAAGAAACTGCAAATAGATCAAAACACAACCCTACAGCACCCCAGTTTTCACCCTCTTTGCTACTGGCATAGAAAAGATATTTTGATTTTTTTAACTTAAATAAAGAAGCAGTAGCTAAAAAGAGGCATCGAGCACAGATTCAAATGAACAGAACTGATGAAGTGGAGATGAATATGCCTGAATTAATCATAATGCTTTAATCAGGGTTTTCTAATGCTAGTTAATTGCATCCACAAAATGTAGCACCAAATGAGTTTGGTGAGTTGTAAAAGGGAGACTTAGGGATCCCAAATAGAATCCTGTTTTGAACAAGGGTGATGTGAAAAAATTGACCAATTACCACTCAATCTGTTGTGTGCCCAACTGACTGAATACGCTTGGCTATCAGTCAACTCAATTAAATTATAGGCATAAATTAAACTTATATCATAAAGCTACCATATTCAATTTCATTTGTTTCCCTAAGTAATTCCATTCCCAAGTGACATTAGACAGTTCCCACGTCTAAAAATAAATTCTCTTTCCTTTCTAATGTAGTTTCTATTAATTTGCTTCCACTGCCTAATAATTACAATAGTTAAGCCCCTGTGGTATTGAAGTGTCCATGTGTTCAATGTGATTTTGGTCCCCAGCACTGTCACAGCAGGGAACTCCATGATCTCTTCCCTTCAGACATCACTCTGGCCTTACTGACAAGACCTAAAATTTCTATTACTAATTTCCCTCTTTGGCATAGTAAATAAAAGATTTATATTTTACCCTGCCCATGTACTCTGGAGAACTATATCCTAATCATGGCATTTGTTATTGTTGACAAGCCATTTTAATAATTGAAAGCAAACCACTTATTTTTCTCAGCAACATATCCAGGTGACTTCACAGCAAAGACCTTCTGGTGAAACTATGTGTCATTATCATTTGTAAGCTGCTAAGTTCTCTGTGACCCCCGCCTCCCCAGATGGACTTGTTTCAACATCTGAGTCCACGAGAGTGAGCACGCTCTGAGAAAATCCAATTCTCATTTGGACATAAAATTTTTATAAACAAAAATATATTCTTTCTGAATTTCCTTATAAGATCCAAGCCTTCAAACCTTTGAGGCTGTTACTAACAGGTTTATAACTCAAGTTTCTAATATATTACTTTGTCTTTTTTGAGGAGAGATACTTTTTCTTATATAGTTCTTCTCTGGTTTGATAAATTGAATAATGTCAGGCCATGAGGGTGAACACACAGGTAAGAAAGTTAATATGTGGTTGAGGTGGGGTGGGAAAATGATTGGTGGGTAGAAGGAGTGAAAATCATCCAGTGAAGATAAATTACACAAGGCAAGCCAATCCTTATGTCTACATTCCTGGACTATTGAGGCCTATATTTAAAAACATACCCACCTGACTTACCTAAAACTGACATCTCTCTTTCTCTCTCCAAGAGATGAGATGGATATATGGATTTTCTCTGAGAGAGAGAGAGAGAGAGAGAGAGAGAGAGAGAGAGAGAGATTGTTTTATTTATACATAAAACAGTATAAATAAAACAATATGTTATTTGTATATTTTATGCGTCCAAAGTCAAGACACTGGCAGACACCTGCTTGTTGATCACTTGTATTCAACAAGTTACTCAGTAAATTTGGCTGTGCTACATCGATGCATTAATTTTGGTTTGCAAAAGCCTATTCTCTGTGTTATAGTAAAGGCCTTGTTTCCTCCCAATCAATAATACTTTATGCTAAAAAACAGGGCAGATTCTAGGCAAATCTTGAAATGGGAAGATTGTTTTCTTAATTATCCATCTGCTTTTCCTTTCTGAGCCCTCCAAAACACTTTTTTTGGTTACCTCTCATTTACGCAATTCAGATTCTTTTACTATGATGCCCAACAGTTTAGGACAGATATATGAGAGGGAATTTTCTATTAAGTGGTGGGGAGTGGTAACAGACTAACTTTCCAATACCTTAGTTTCCATATATATAAACTTACAACTAAAATATCTCTTCACAGAAATGTTATAGGATCAAAAATAAATAAGGTCATATAATATACAAAACAGAATAGACCAAACCAAACTTTCTCTTTTTGGTTTCACTCATTTATAAAAATAAGTGATATTACAGCATGAGGGAGATTCTTTTCAAACATAGCTGCACCAATTCCTTCCATACTTTGCAATGTGGCTTTGAAGCTATTCCCATCAAGAGGTAGAGCCTAGTTTCCCCAATTTTTTTTTTTTTTTTTTAGACAGAGTCTCACTTTGTGGCCCAGGCAGGACAGCAACGGCATGATCTCAGCTCCCTGCAACCTCCACCTCCTGGGTTCAAGTGATTCTCCTGCCTCAGCCTCCTGAGTAGCTGAGATTACAGGCCCCCACCACCGCGCCTGGCTAATTTTTGTATTTTTAGTACATGTTGGTCAGGCTGGTCTTGAACTCCTAACCTAAGGTGATCCACCACCTCGGCCTCCCCAAGTGCTAGGATTACAGGCGTGAGCCACTGCGCCTGACCTAGTTTTCCCAGTTCTTAAACATAGCTGGCCTTGTGACTTGCTGGCAAATTAGGCCAGTAAATCCCTCAACATTCCTGTTGAATTTTGACATCATTCAGAATTTCCCTCAAGATAATACATAAAGTGAAAATTATATTTATTAAAACCAGAAAATTTCCCTGGAGATTCAGTTATACCAGAGATTAAATTAAAGTTTGTTCTAAATATATATGTGTGTGTGTGTGTGTGTGTGTGTATATATACTTTTTTTTTTTTGAGACAGAGTCTCATTCTCACCCAGGCTGGAGTGCGGTGGAGCCATCTCGGCTCACTGCAACCTCTGCCTCTGTTCAAGCGATTCTCCTGCCTTAGCCTCCCAAGTAGCTGGGATTACAGTCGCCCGCCGCCATGCCCAGATAATTTTTGTATTTTTAGCAGAGATGAGGTTTCACCATGTCAGCCAGGCTAGTTTCAAACTCCTGACATCAAGTGATCTGCTTGCTTCAGCCTCCCAAAGTGCTGGGATTACAGGCATGAGCCACTGCGCCCGGCTCCTGCCTAATTTTAGAGACAAGAAATATAAATACTCATTTTCCCAGCTTTGTTTGCAATTGTGGTGGTAATATGACACCATTATAATAAGTAAAATGCTTTGGAGATCTAATAAACAATAGGTAATAAACATACTGTGGGGATGTATGAGAAACTAAGAAGTTAGATAAGAAGAAAGAGTTGTAGTAGCTGTCTCCCTTCTCTGCTTTATTGTATTTTGAATTTAGACATGATGCCACAAGCAATGGCAGTCATCTTGTCATCATGGGGGAAAGGCCAAGACACTCACAGATATGCAGCTATGATATTTTTATGCCATTGAACAAGTACCTCCAAACCCGCTGTTTTGTGAGAAAAATTAACTTCAATTTATTTGGATTATTTTTCATTAGGACTTTTTGTTACTTGCCAAATTCATAACAAACATAATGGGATTCTAAATTGATGAAATGTTTTGGGAGGGGAATTGAACAAAATTATCAAATTATGAATGCACTAAGTTGTATCACTGCAACTTCATTTTGGATTATGTAAATTTATCCTAAAGAAATATTCACTCACATACACAAAGACACGTATACAAGAACATTGATTTCAGTACTCTGTAATGATAAACAATTTGAAATAAAATGAATGTTGACCATGAAGAAAAGTGGTTAAATAAATCATCATCACTATGCAGCCATAAAAAAAGAGAGACCCTAAAGGCACAAACCCAAAAAGACCATCAAAATACATTGTATGTAAAAAAAATACATGAAAAAACAATATCTATAATATGGCCACATTTATGTGAAAATGTTTGTGTGTGTACATAAGTTTGTATATGAAACGTTGAGAATTTTTTTTTCAGGGAAAAGGGCTAAGTTTTCAATTTTTCTAATCCTCAGGACTGTTTGAATTTTGGTCAAATATGTTCACATATAAACAGGCTGCATAAATAAATTTATTCATAAAAAAATAAACACTTGATAGCAGCTTAAATGCTTAACTTTCCCATGAGAATTTGAGTTTCAGATAGTAATTAAAGGAGTGGAATGGAATTCCATGTAAACAGGAGAAAAATATATATGGAACCTCTTTGGCCTCTAAAATCATACAGTATAGGTAGTGACTTCTTTAGCTCTCTCTTAAGCAAACCATTTCCCTTTGGTATTAAAAGGAAGAAAGATGAATCTTCAGGGAAAAGGGAAACATTATTAGCATAATAGTTAAAAGTCTTATATGCCATTAATTCTGATTAGTTGCCTAAAGATAAGTTAGAGATACGTAAGTTGAGGTTTTCCCTAAATCCCTAAATTATTCTCTTATTCTACTGCTTCTTTGTTTTTTTTCTTTGAGACGGAGTCTTGCTCTGTCACCAGGCTGGGGTGCAGTGGTGCAGTCTTGGCTCGCTGCAACCTCCACTTCCTGGGTTCAAGCTATTCTCCTGCCTCAGCCTCCCAAGCAGCTGGGACTACAGATGCATGCCACTACACTCAGCTAATTTTTGTATTTTCAGTAGAGACGGGGTTTCACCATGTTGGCCAGGATGTTCTCGATCTTTTGACCTTGTGATCCACCCACCTTGGCCTCCCAAAGTGCTGGGATTACAGAAGTGAGCCACCGCGCCCAGCCTCTACTGCTTCTTTATTAATTTTTAATTTTTGTGGGTACATAGTAGGTGTATATATTTGTGGGATACATGAGATGTTTTGATGCAGGCATGCAATGTGTAATAATCACATCATGGAAAATGGGGTACCCATCCTCTCAAGCATTTATTCTTTGTGTTACACACAATCCATTTATACCCTTTTACTTATTTTTAAATGTAAAATTAAATTATTATTGACTATAGTCACCCTGTTGTGCTATCAAATACTGTCTTATTCATTCTTTCTAACTGGTGCTTCTTGACTCTTTAGTTTTTGAATTAGAATAAAATCATTTCACTGACTCAACAATTTGAGAATGACAAAAATTACTTGGAACCAAACAATTTTTATCCTTCTAATGATTACTAATTCCTAATTGATTAAATGTTATGTAGTTTTTTGATTTGATTATTATCACCACCTATCACAAACCAAAAATGGAAAACTCTTAGAGCAATCAATCTTTTAAATATTTTAGCTCACATTTTGATGGTGTCTTGATAATATTGATGAATTCAAGTTTATAAATTGTATCTACTGCTTTTCTACCTATTCCAAAAGCATGGGTATTATTTTCTACTCTCTTTTTTCTTTCTCCCTCTCTTTCCTTCTTCCTTTTGTTCATAGACAGATACATTCAAAAGATCTATAGATAAATGGAGCAAGGATAGACTATTACTGGAATGAGCTATTCCGAAAAAGTGAGAATCAATGAGTAGTGTATCTTTACAATTGCATCACTTTTGTCATAATAGCTAACATTTATTGACCACTCATTATGTCACCGGCATGACAGTAATCACCGTGCACATGCATTTTCTCACTTAATCCTTCTATAATATATGAGATCAATACTATTACTTTTTCCAGTTTACTGATGAAGTAGTTGCTACTTAAATAAATTTAGTAATTTTCCCAAGATAGCTTGTATGAGATTCTATTTCAGGTCTGTTTGGCTCCAGAATTCAAACTGTTCATTATTCTCTATAGCCTCCAAAATGCATCAGCCATGAGCTGGCATATGACATATATAAGGTGAGCTGTATATATGTCCCCTGTTGACTGGGGCATTGTTTGTCTTGATAAACATTTAGCTATATAGGTAGGGCCAGGGGTGTGTGTTTGTGTGTGTGTGTGTGTGTGTGTGTGTATTTTGTGTGTATATGTTTGTTGAATGAATAAATATATACATGAATGAATAACTAATGAATATGAACATAAAATTGAATCAACTCATTTTTCTTCAGAAAAGCAGATTACTCTTCAGGATGCTATTTATTAAGTCGTTTCCTTCCTTTAGATATTTGGCTGGAAAAAAATCTCTAAGATGCCTTTAGTTCAATAATTTTCCATTCTAGGAAATACTTTTTATTAGTTGCAGAGAAATAGCCAAAAAATTGAGCCTTACTGAATTTTCCATCCAAGGATGAAGAAAGTCCAAGTGGAACAGGAATTGAAAATAACCTCAAAACAATGTGTTCTTCTTTGCTTCCTCCGCTTACTGAGTCATCGAGAAAGACGCTGAGAGAGCTGACTTTGAAGAGCTCCCAAGATAGTTTTCCAGATGACCTCTTGGTCACAAGCGCCTGTTATTTTGAAAGGCTTAAGTACCATAGAGAGAGCAAAGGGAGTGGGTGAAATTTCCTTCCTTGATTGGTGCATTATTCTGAGAAGTGCTGATGCAGATTGTCCTGACCCAGAGGAGGGGAGTTAGAACCCCTAGCTTTGCCTAATTTACAAATTTTGGAACTAATTAACCTTTTAAAAGTAAATCAAACTTCTCAAACTAAAGAAAGTGAGAATAATTTCCATATGCATGACACAAAATCAAGCAAAAGAAAACCTAGAATATACATTTGTCAGTACATAAAAGAGACTGTAGGTAGGGCCTTCCTTTAATTCAGCTCACCCTCTGCTACTACCAGAATAACCTTTTTAGTGCACAGTGCGTATATGTGTGTGGGCAATGGGGGTGAAATTAAACCCATGCTTCAGCCCATTGTGTAACTATTGATGCCTAGTATACCAAATTAGTAGAGCTCTCTGCTTAGCTCTAGCACTATCTCCCCCAGCAACCATCCTAACATGAATTATTTGCTCCAGATAAAATGATTTAGCTATTTTTAAATGAGCTTCCACGTATGGCAATATTAACATTTAGCATTAATCATGCATGTACTATATGTTAAATAGTCTTCTAAATGCTTTACATAGATGATCTCATGACTCCATGAGGTAAATACCATTTTATAGGTAGAGATATTGGGACCATATGGAACCTCTCCAAGGTCAGAGAGCTGTAAGTGGTAAACTGGAACTTGAACTTAAGCATTTTAACTCCCCAATGCTTTAACTATCAATTCTCTGTCTATAGAAATCAAATGGTCTAAACCTTTTATTGTATTCTTTGGCCAAGATACAGGATCACATTCACAACTGAAAGTAAAGATTTAGATTGGGCATTGTCCTTTGTGCCTGTAATCCCAGCACCTTGGGAGGCTGGGGTGGGAGAATCACTTGTGCCCAGGAGTTCAAGATTACAGTGAGCTATGACTGTGCCTCTGCACTCCACTCCAGCCTGGGCAACAGAGCAAGACTCTGTCCCTTAAAAAATAATAGTAAAGATTTAGGATGGTTTTCAAATAAAACTGAGTAGCATAACCTTCTTCTACCTTAAGAATTTGGAAGACCTATATACATATATCATGTGAATTCAGTTCATTTAGTCATTCAACAAATGTGTATTGAGTACCTGCTATACGTAGACACTATTTTAGGCATGACACATACAGGAGGAAACAAACAAATTCTCCTCCTCGTAAAACTTATATTCTAGTTTCTCATATTTAATCAAAAGAAACAAAGTCAGCCTAGGTAATGTAAAAAAAGCTTTCACCACTGGCAAGGGACAATCAGATATTATTTGCTTTCTTTTGGGGGACTGATGTCTCAGACAAAGGGACACATACCTTCTGGGGGTGAAAATCAGGATTATTAACTAAAAGATACAAGCTTTCATATTACTGAAGCCAGCCAGGAAATGTAACAGAAAATGGACCAGAGGGGATGGTGGTGTATTAAAGAGCATCAACCTAGTCTAAAACAGCAGCATTTTCCCAGCTCTCATGGCTATGCAATATTAGAATGTAGACTAGTAGTGTCAAACTAACAATCTTCCAAGAGAAGGAAGAAATCTCATTTTTATGTGTGTGAAATATTCAATTTTTTAAATAATGTAAGGTTAGTTCAAAGTAAAAACAAAAAATAAAACTCAAAACTCTGTCAATTAAAAAAAACACATACACATCTATTTTAAAGCTGACTAATATTCCATTGTGTGTGTCCCATTTTAAAAACTTATTCATCTGTTGTTGGTTATTTAGGTTGTTTTCACACTTGACTATCATGAATAGTGCTGACATAAACTTTGAAGTGCTAACATCTCTTTGAGATCCTGATGTCAGTTCTTTGGAATAAATACCCAGGAGCTGGACTGCTGGATCATAAGATAGTTCTAAAAGAAGGAAATCCAGGAATATGTGACAATATGAATGAACCTTGAGGACATCATGCTAAATGAAACAAGGCAGTCAACAGAAGAATACATACTGCCTGATTGCACTTATGGGAGGTATCTAAAATAGTTAAACTCATTGAATCAGAGAGTAGAATTTCGTTTGCCAGCATCTGGGAGGAGGGAAATGGGGAGTTGCTAATCATGAGTCTAAGGTTTCTGTTAACAAAATAAATAATTCCTGGAGATCTGCTATAAAAAATTGCCTCTATAGTTAACAATACTGGATTGTACACTTAAAAATTTGCTAAGAGGGTAGATCTCATATTAAGTGCTCTTAGCAAAATAACAATAATAAAACACATCTATGAGTCAGAGCCTATCTACATGCCACTAGTTGCGTCTTATTGTGTGCTTGTGTGTGTCTGTGTAAAGACATTAGAAACATACCAGCACTGAGTCCTGTGATTGAACAGGAGGAACGTATCACCCAAGGCCTCTATTCCAAACCTACTAGGATACAGAATGAAGTAGGCCAGGAACCTTATGAAAGGCCCTATTAAAAAAAAAAAATAGGGATGAAATCACAGACTGAGGAATATACAAGGAGAGCTTGACAAAAGAATCAGGAGAAATGTCAGAGTCAGCATGTACTTTGCTGCAACAACATCACATAGGGTTCATTTTAACCAATGCCACTTCCCTGCAGGCTTTTGTGCTCTGAGATGGAGAACAGGTAGGTCATTTCTTATTTGTCCTAGAGCTTTGGCAGGGAAAAACTTTTCCTTTGAAACTTCAAAGGCGGGGACAAAGAAAGTCTAAGCTTCCCAGAGGAGTTTTCTTTTTTTAAGTAAATGAACTTCAACTCCACCTGTCAATTGGTTCTCTTGCAGGATCGGGGCATTCCAATTATCTAGATATGCTTTGACTTACTTTCCTACTTACACCAGCCATTGATGAATCTAAATCCAAATGAAGAAGATTCAAATTCTAGAATCATTTAGCAGGACATTTTACCTAGAAATAGAAGGAAAAATATCATCCCTACGACTTTGTATGACTTTGTAAGTACAGAAAAAAAAACTGAGTAAGTAAATTATTTTATGACATTTTTGAGTATTTAGTAGAAGGTGGATTTCTCAATAAGATGAGAAAGAATAGGAAGTGCTTAGCTAAATGTCTGACACATGGTAAGCATTGAGTAATGGTCAGCAATTAATAAAAATTGTGGTTACCAGGGACTGGAAAGGGAGGGGAAAGAAGTTGCTGTTTAACGGGTATAGAGATACAGATTTGCAAGATGAAAGTGTTTTGGACATCTATTTACAACAGCATGAATGTACTTGTATTATACTGAACTGTACACTAAAAAATGGTTAAGATGGTAGATTTTGTGTTTTGTTTTTACCACAATAAAAAAGAAAAAGAAAAAAACGCTAATATTCTCAAGCACCAAGTTTATTGACTAGTATCCCACTACTTATAACTGTGGTTGTAAGTAGTAACCACAATTATCCAGAATCTTGACAGATTTCCTGGCAGTTTTCAAACTTCAATGCTTTTCAGCTCTAAAATGTATACTGTAGTTGCATTATTTTTAAAATTAATACAAATATTTGTACATATTTATGGGGTACATGTGATATTTTGTTACGTGCATCGAGTGTGTAATGATCAAATCAGGGTATCTGAGGTGTCCGTCGCCTTGAGTATTTGTCATTTTTATATATTCAGAACATTTCAAGTCCTCTCTTCTAACTATTCTGAAATACACAATACATAAAAAAAATTCTGCCGTAAACTTTGAAGTGCCAACATCAAAGTAGGAGTATGGATTTTTGGCAAAAATCACCCTACTCTGCTACAAAACATTAGAACTTATTCCTTCTATCTCACTGTATGTTTGTATTCATTAACCAACCACTATCTACTCCCCACCTGCACACTCTTCCCTGCCTCTGATGTCTGTCATTCTATTCTAGTGAACTTTTTTAGCTCCCACATATGAGTGAGAACATGTGATATTTGTCTTTCGGTGCCTGGCTTATTTCACTTAACATAATATAGGATTATTCGTTTTGAGAGCAAAAATCTGCTGATTGTATTCAAAGATACCAAAGGTAACCGTTACATTTATATCGTATTTAAAGTTTAATGAGTGTTCTCACGTATATCATCTCATCTGAACCTTTACAGTGGTCTGGCTGGTATACCGTACCTCATTTTGAAAATCAATAAACTTTCTTTGAGGGGTTAAAGGACTTGCCTTGTGAACTCATGACTTCTGACTCTAGTTTCAGAACTATTCTCATTGCCTCAGGCTGCTGTGAGATGTAATGTATTTTTCACCTTGCAACACTGCCTTTCGCCTGTCATTAGATGTGAAGATGTAGTGTGCTATGCCATGGAAATCATTTTACAATGTATTACTGTGTTTTTAAATACTATTTACAGACATGAATCATCTTTCTACCACTTAGAAGCTAAGTAATGAAAGCCTGAGAGCCCACAAGGAGTTGTTGAAGACTCCAGCGTATTTATTTATTATAATTTAGTTCAGATGTACACTATTCTCTAGTCACCTAATCAATAATAAGTGATTAAAATGACCAATTAAATGATAAACATGTTGGGGTTTTCAATCTTTTTATTGACTGGACTAGATTGAGTGTACAGCTTAGACATGGTATAGGAATTATTCAAATGCTCTCAAAAATTCTATTGGAAAATGTATTCAATCATAGATTCTTAATTAGGCCAAGAGGAAATTCTAAGAATTTTAAAAAGCATATCACAAAATGTTTAAGTGCATGAACTGTGGGGCCAGTGAGACCTGAGTCTGGGTCTCAACTATGTTCTGCCATTTACTAGCTATATATCTTTAGTCAAGTTGCTTAACCTCTCCTAACCCTCAGGCTACTCATCCATATAATACAGTTAACAATTTTACCTACCTGGAATGTTTATTGTGGGGATTAATGAGTCAATTGAAGTAAAGCAATTACCAAATATAGCTAGCATATTATAAAATTTCCAGAAATAAATATCAACTCCTATTATGGTTATTTAGTATCTCTAACTTAAATTCCCCTGATTTCTTTAACTGTCAAATGTGGTTAAAGACCACAAGTGGTTAAAAACCATCAAATGTGGTTTAAGAAACTTGTTCAGCTCATTATGTTGATATCAGAGTTAATTGGATAAGGAAGAAAAAGCATTTCCCACCCAGGAATTTACACATCCAGAGCACTCAGTAAACATCAGATACTATACTGGACACCTCCTGTGCCCGGCCTCAGGTCCTCTCAACCTGCCTTCTACTCCAGCCACTGCTAGTAACTAGCTTCATGTTGTAGTGGCCTGATAGCACCTCACTCACCTCGCCACCGCTGTATTGGGTCTCTCAGTTTCTGAGTCTGGACCTTTATGTGGCTGAGTTGAGGGATATGTAGGGAAATCCAGTTGGCACTGGTGCATGTACAAACCTAGAAGTGTTAACCTAGTTAACAGCCCAAGGGAGGCTTACCCAATGAAAGATCAAAGCTGGTGGATAAATGCTTCCTTCTTCCAGCCCTCAGTGGCCATTCTAGTTGCACTTTACACAGCTCTTCAGGGAGTCTTTACAGGATTGAGCCTTAGTTGCTCACAGCAGTGATCAGCTCAATAACACATCCTTTTCCTCATACCCTATTTCTAATTCCCCACTGCTGTTTCCTGATATCTCTTCCCAAATAAACTACCTTCAAATAAGTGCTTGTCTCCAGCTCTGCTTTCAGAGAACTCTGAATGTCATAATGTATGGCTATACATCTAAACAAAATGTTATTTTGTCTCTTAGGTTGTATCTCCCACAAATCACATTGTGGAATTTTTACTGTATCGAAAGATTGTTGAAATTGATCTTGAAGGTAATTTGCAACAATCTATTGAATGTTTCTAGACCCCTTTATAATGATCTTAAGTGATACTCTAACCCAGAAGTTGACATACTTTTTCTGTCCAGATTGTAACTGTATTAGGCTTTGCAAGTCAGGTGGCCTCTATTGCAATTACTCAACTCTACCTTTGTAGCATGAAAGTAATCAAGGATAACAATGTAAATGAATGGAATGGATGTGGCTGTGTTCTAGTCAGTCTTTATTTACAAATACGTATGGCTGGTTTAGGCTAGTGGTATAGATGTGATATATAACTTCAGATATTTTTCAGGTGGATCTATTTTAAAAGTTATTAATTTGAACTTTTTCCTCTAAAGGTGCTTTTCTCAAAACTTTTACAATAACCAAATATTTTTCCAAGTATTTCTACGCCTTCTTACCCCTACTCATACAGATGAACTACACTGACTCTAGGAAGGGATTGAGATAAATGTCTGAGAACCTATCGGTTAATAATAGCATTTATTGAGTGCCTACTACATCTCAGGTTTGTACCAAGTGCTCTTCCTGCATTAGCTCACTTAATTCTGAGGCAAACTGAGGTTAGAGAGACTAGGCAACTTGCCTGTATCTTCACAGCATGTGTGTGGCAGAAGTAAAATTCAAACCCAAATTCATCTCCAAAGATAAGCTTTTAGGACCACAAAATACTCTGTAGTATATTTGTAAAGCTAACAATTTTCTTTTACAGCATAGAAAATTATATTTCAATATATGGAGGCTAAACCAGGAGTGAAGAAAATACGACTGTGGTTGTCTTAGTAGATTGTGTCTTCTTTTCCCTGTCATAATATTGAATGTGGTTTGGAATAAATGACCAAATCCACAACTCTGAAAATATCTAAAATGTGTTGGTGCTGTCATGTCAAACACAGTCTTAGTTATGCCATAGTAATTTTTAAAATTGAATTTTCATAGTTAGCTCACTGAGATGGGTCCAAGAATGAAGCAGAGCATGAAACTTCATATATGGATATTTAAGTCATTTATATCCATGCTGAGAATATATTTACTGTGGTTGACTGACATCTGTCACTGAAACAGCAGCTAATTAGAAGGAAAAAAATTTAAGAAAAAAACAAGCCTGAGTTCTGCTCTATAATTTAAGAAGACTCAGCTTCATCTACAAGTTGTGATACACAAGTTCATGAGAATGGTAAGAAAGATGTATTTTCCAACTAAACAAGAAGCTGTTTTGAACACCGTAAATGACAGCATGTTTTAAGCAGTCTCTGACTTAAAAAAAGATGGTAGTAGAGAGGAAGGACCACAGATCTAAGCTGACAAACCACTATTATTGATGTCTGACAGATGGTGCCTTTCATTTCTGTGGAATTGATGCACCACCAGACCAAAGGGATGCGCAACCAGAATGGGAGCCGATGATGAATTCTAGCTGGATGCTAAGCTCAGCCATGGCACAGAGTCTGAGGCAAATGAAGCACAAAGCAGAGTGCTCTTTTGAGATTTACCCTTTGACCTTTGAAGGAGAAGAAGAGAAACTAACAAATGACATTTTTTAAATTTTTTATTTTTTGAGATGGAGTCTCTCTCTGTCGCCCAGGCTGGAGTACAATGGCATGATCTCGGCTCACTGCAACCTCACCTCCCTGGGTTCAAGCAATTCTCCTGCCTCAGCCTCCGGAGTAGCTGGGATTACAGGTGCCGGCCATCACACCCAGCTAATTTTTGTATTTTTAGTAGAGACAGGGTTTCGCCATGTTTGCCAGGCTGGTCTCCAACTCCTGACCTTAAGTAATCCACCGCCTCAGCCTCCCAAAGTGCAGGAATTACAGGCATGAGCCACTGCCCCCCAGCCCAAATGACATTTAAGGTTAGATTGGAGCTGAGAGTTTGAACAAACTTCAAATCTCAGAATAACAGCAAAATTTCAGTCACATTATGTGGATTCAGTCACATTGTGATCAAAACAGAAGAAAAAGGGTTAACTATCTACTTGAAGAAAAAAGATCTTCATGTAGAGGGAAACAGAGACCAAGAGGAGATAAATTGGTTTAAGGATATGTCAATACCTTTTCTTTGAATGACAAGAAGCTTTTGATACTACTCTTTCCTCTTGGAAATTATCCAAAAAAATAATGTTTACTATTTTCTAGACTGAAGTTTAAGACTTGGTTGGGTTTTAAGGTCTCTAAAGCTAATATACATTTCTTGTTCATTCATTTATTCACCAAATGGAAATCTTTAGTTTGCTGCTCTTCTTCTGGGCAAAACTCAAAGTTTTTTCTTTAATACACATATTCTCTTTGGCACACATAATTAGGTGGCATGGATGGGCTTCACTACCACCCCTGATGCTAACAGTGCCCTTTAAGAAGCAGCTATTCAGCCTCCTGGAAATAGGATTTTCCTCTTTCTTCCATGGTAGCAAGTAGAAGATTTTCTTTCTTCCCTTGATGGTGTGATATGAAGATATGGAGCCTGGAACAACTAAACCCATTATGCTGCCAAGAGAAGACACCTGGGCCTTGGTGGGTTTGAACCACTGAATTAAGTCTTCACCAAAATCAGAACATCTTCTGGACTTTTAAGTTCCATGAGTTAATAAACCCTCTTTATTGGTTAAGCCTTTTTGGTTCAGGTTTTTTGAGTCATTTGTTTTCAAGAATCTTTGCAGAGTCAAAATAACATTGTGCCAGTTTCTAGAACTAAGACAGTTAAGACTATCCTATGCTTTTAAGAGGCTTCCTTTGTGATGCAAATATGACCTCTGAGCAAGTAAGAGACTGAAGTACTAGAAAAAAAACGTCTGAATTCAATTTTTAAAAAGGACAATTATAAGAAAGAAAAGGAAGAAACATTTTGTCAGGGGGCCCGGATATAGGAACAGATAACAAAAGATTGTTCCACCTGCCTGCCTAGGAGAAACAACAAACCAAAAAGTCATCTGAAAATCTGCAACTTTTGATCTAAATGCAAATCAAACCAGTTTCTGTGAAAAGCACTTAAACATCCAGAAGGCTTGTTGTGCAGAACTGAGAATTTGGGGATTGCCCACAGCCTTGAAAAGTACAGAACATGTTCTTTCCTCCAACAAATAATTGGGAACAAGAAGTCTGTCTGGAATTAATTCAATTGGTGTCAAGGGTGAGTTACAAAACCATCAACATCTAAGAAATCAACTGTGTTATCTTTATCCTGTGTTTTTATCCATATGAATAATTTAAACTATTATAAATAGCAGATTGATTGTATTTTCAGATCATAGCTATATTTAATTACATCTTCTGTCACATAAAAAATGGCTAAGATTTTTAACCTTTCTTTTTCAAGAGTAAAGGCAGCTCCCTGGCATGACCAGGAATGGGCCTTTTGTTGAACACAAAATTGAGATTTATGGTGCTGGGTTATATAAAGAAAAAGGAAAATAAATGTATTTGTCTTGTGACTATAAAGAATGATTTCTTGTAGATTTAGCTTTGGACTTCTACATACAAAAGAGGGATGTGTGATGTGGCACAGTAAGACTAAATCCTAATGTGTACAAGTCACCTGGATATTGTGTTGAAATGCAGATGCAGACTTAGGAGATCTGAGGGAGGGCCTTAGATCTGCATTTCCGGTAAGATCCCCATTGATGCTAATGCATTTGGGCCTACTGGCCACACTTTAAGAAGCAAGAGTATAGAAGAAAGAACTAAGGTATATAGTATTCAAGAAGTCTGGCTTTAGTTCCAGTTTCATCACTAATTAGCCATGAGACCTCACCAATATCACTTAAATATATTCCTCATGTATAAGATGATGGGGCTGGACTTAGTCATCTCAAAATTCCTGACACAAGAACTGGGAGTGATGACGTGTGCCTGTAATTCCATCTACTCAGGAGGCTGAGGCAGGAGGATTACTTTCTTTCTTTCTTTTTGAGACTGAGTCTCACTCTTTCGCCCAGGCTGAAGTGCAGTGGTGTGATCTCGGCTCACTGCAAACTCCACCTCCCCAGTTCAAACAATTCTCCTGCCCCAGCATCCTGAATAGCTGGGACTACAGGTGCCCACCACCACACCTGGCTAATTTTTGTGTTTTTAGTAGAGACAGGGTTTCACTATGTTGGGCAGGCTGGTCTCAAACTCCTGGCCTCACGTGATCCACCCACCTCAGCCTCCCAAAGTGCTAGGATTATAGGCGTAAGCCACCATGCCCAGCAGCCAGGAGGATTTCTTGAGGCCAAGAATTCAAGGCTGCAGTGCACTACGATCACGTCTGTTAATAGTGAATAGCCACTGCACTCCAGCCTTGGCAAGATAACAAGACCCCATTTTCCAAAAAGAAAGAAATGAAAGAAAGAGAGAAAGAGGAAGGAAGGAAGGAGGGAAGGAGGGAAGGAGGGAAAGAAGGAAGGAAAGAAAGAAGGAAGGAAGGAAGGAAATAAGGGAAAGAGGGAGGAAGGAAGGGAGGGAGGGAAAAGAAGGAAGGGAAATGGAAGGAAGGAAGGAGGGAAGGAGGGAGAGAGGGAAGGAAGGAGGAAGGAAGGAACGAACGAAGGAAGGAAGAAAGGAAGGAAGGAAAGAAAGAAAGAAAGAGAAAGAAAGAAAAGAAAGAAGGAAAGAAAGAAAAAGAAAGGCCAAAAGAGAAAGAAAGAAAGAAAGAAAAGAAAGAAGGAAAGAAAGAAAAAAAAAAGACAAGACAGACTGAAAGAGAAAGAAATAAAGAAAGAAAGAAAGACAGGCTGAAAAATCGAATCCAGCAGGATTAAAGTGGTTGATGATATACTATGCATGGTGTTTTTAAATCCCCTCTACACTTTTTCTTATTCTTTGTCTGTATGGAAGGTATCTTCTCCCAAGTCAGCAACATGAATACTGTCCTTGGCTCTTCCTTCTCCATCACCTCCTTTTATTTAATCAATCATCAAGTCCCCTCCAGTTCTTTCCTAAATAGTTCCACTCTCTTTTGTTTATTCGTTTGCTTTTTTCCATCCCCACTGGTACTTCCAAAATTCAAGTAACCACCATCTTCCTCTTATGGTAGATAACAGCCTCCTAAAAGATCTCTATCCCTTCTCTTCCCCCTTCCAACTCATTATTCATTCATTTATTCAGCAAATGGATATCTTTAACAGCCTGCCTAACAATTAAAAAAAAATCTGGGCAGTGTTTTTTTGTTTGTTTGTTTGAGAACGAGTTTCACTGTTGTCACCCAGGCTGCAGTGCAGTGGCGTGATCTCCGCTCATTGCAATCTCTGCCTCCTGGCTTCAAGCAATTCTCCTGCCTCAGCTTCCTGAATAGCTGGGATTACAGGCACCAGCCATCATACCCAGCTAATTTTTGTATTTTTAGTAGAGACGGGGTTTCGTCATGTTGGCCAGGCTGGCCTCAAACTCCCAGGTTATCCTCCCACCTTAACCTCCCAATGTGCTGGGATTACAGGCATGAGCCACCACTCCCTGACTGGGCACAGCATTTTTAATACACGCTAGCACACCTCTGCTCCTGTCCTCTTAGCCATGTGGTTTGGGTGGACTCCACTTACCATCCCATTCCAATATTTAATTTATATTGAATCACTTTCTACTCCTGCATAAAATCCTTCAGTGATTTCTCACTTCTTTATGAATACAGAATGCAGTCTCTGTCATGTCTCTACCATGATGTAAGGATTACAGCCTCTTTCATGACATAGGCTGTGCTGGATTTCATCTTCACCCATGCTTTCTCTTATATGTTAGTCATGCTGGACTCCAAGTTCTTTGAAAGCAACATGCTTTTTTTTTGCTGTTTTTCACATCATGTTTTTTTGCACCTGTTGTTTCCATAGCCTGACATTCACTTCCCCATTCCCTGATTCACTGAGTCCATTCTGATAAATTATTTTTCAGGGCTTAGCTGAAACACCATTTATTGAGTTTCAAGGATAGGTTAGGTTAGGACTCTGTTAACTGTGCTGTAAGTACTGTGCACTTGACTTTCATAATGCTCAGTGACACACTTTTAAATATTAGTTCAATGCCTATTGTCCCCAGTGAGTACATGCTTGATGGGGACAGGTAACCATTGAGTTTGAGAATATTCTCAACAATTATTTACCGAATTCAAACAGAAGGATTCTGTATACAAATTTGGCTGTCCTAACCACTTATATCAGGTTTTACGGATAGTACTTCTGGTAATTTGAGTACTTTGGTCTTTCTGCCTCCAATTTCTCTGTATGTAACTATTTTCTTTATACTACTAGCAGTTATTTCAAACCAGAGTCCCAATCATCCTATGCCATTATTCAAAATTATTTTTATGCCACCTCATTGTCTACAGAATAACCCCCAAACTCATAGGCTGCATTCAGATTTTTTTTATAATCGTGCCAAGGAACCTTGAGGACATTAGGCACTCTGTAGGCAAATATCCTGATATCCAGCCATAGGGTGATTAGCTGTCTTGCACACCACTCCTACATTTTCAGGTTTCATAACTTTAATATTTTTTTCCTAGAATATTTCTATATGCACAGCTTAACATAAATGTCATTTTATTAGTCTTTTTTTATATACCCTAGATTAAAAGTTATCTTTCTCCTCTATATTCTCTTGCTACTTCATCCATCCCCTCATGCTAGAGTTTTAAGAGAGCCTAATCACCCTTATCCTCTTGTCCCAGTTCTGGAAATTGGAATAGACACAATAAGCCAAAAGGACTAATTAATAAACAAGGCTGAAAGTCTCATAAATGTCACATCTTCCTGGATTGTTAAACATGGCTTACACCTTAGGGCTTCCCTATTCCTCCATCCCTTCCTAAATCTACAGCCTAAGTGGGAGAAGTTGTCTACTGAGAAGATGCTTATGTAGCCAACTAATTGCAAAACTGTAGCTTCCTTCACACTCATTTAAAAAAATGACTTAGGACAGCTCTGTTCAAAAGAAATAGAATACGAGCTGCTGCTCTAATTTTAAATTTTCTAGTGGCCACATAAAAAAATTTCAAAGGACAAAATTAATTTTAATAATATGTTTTATTTAACACAATATACCCAAAACATTATAATTTCAGCATGCATTCAATACAAAAATTATTATTGATATATTTTTTATTCTTTCTTTTGTCATACTAAATCTGGTATATATTTTACCCTTACAAGACACCTCAAATGCTCAATAGCCCACATGTACCTACTGGCTACTCTATTAGCATAGCTTAGAGAGATATAGAGACTACCATTGACTTTTTAAAAACAGTTTATTTTGAACTAATTATAGGTTCACAAGATGACGAGAAAAGAGGAGTAAGGCCCTGGATACCCTTCATTCTGTTTCCAGTAATACTGATATCTTACATAACTGTAGTACAATAAGAAAACCAGAAAATTTATTCTGGTCTGTCATTGCCTTTTAAACACAGCCTTTTCTACCCTATATACCTAGATTTCTCTGAGCTCACAAGTTGAATAAGGTCTTTCTTCTCCTATGGAAATAAATGAATAATAAGAGAGATAGGCTAAAGCTATTTCATTCCAGTTTGCTTTCTCCTAGAGTGTATAGCAGATGTCACCTTCCACTTATAAAATAAAGATCTTTTCCATCTACCCACTGCAGTGTATTATACTCTTCCTTATTTTAGATAGTTTTGCTTTTGCTAATGTGGTAACAAGATCCTGGGATATAGAAAAAGTCACTCTTTTCTATAGCTCTCACACATACATTGGTTTGCACAGAGAAGATGCTCAGTGAGTATTTATTGAGCTAGATTCTTGACATAATCCAACTGTTATGTGAAAGGCATTTGTTATTCACATTTTCAAGCTACTCAACTGTTGCATGCCTGAAAGGAAAATGACATAACCTTTGAATAAGTTTGATGGATTGCTTTTCTCAGGCAAGAAAGATTGTACTTTGATTTACAGGGCACACGTAAATTAGCCAGTACGGAATATTTTATCAATCTAAAGATACAAGTTCTTTGCTTAACTTT
Source organism: Homo sapiens (assembly GCF_000001405.40). Lineage (NCBI taxonomy): Eukaryota > Metazoa > Chordata > Mammalia > Primates > Hominidae > Homo > Homo sapiens. The sequence continues at coordinate 161,119,585 of NC_000005.10, forward strand.
GTTTTAATTAGAATTAAGTCTTTGAATACTTGTTATCCATTCCATGGATAGTTTTATTGACTTTAACATCTCTACACTTCAAAAAGAGAAAAGCAGAGATGCAAAGACCTCCTAGGCAAACTAGCCTATATGATTATTCCGCTAATAATTGGTGCATAGATACAAACCATTGCTTTATCATCCCAATTCCTGCAGCCTAGATATGTTTAAACAGCTCCAAAAGCTACACATAGATTAAAACCCAAGTACCTCAGCTCTGTGATTAGCTGTATGTCTAGATTCTGGGCAAGGCCTTGACTACAGGAGACACAAAAAATGCATGTTGAATAAATGAATGAATAATGTTGTCATTCATGCTATCACTGAGTATGCGTAGGATCTAAGGATAGATTGTCTGAGCTGGAGGATATTGGTTGTCTATAGAGAGCTTCCAGAGTAGACATTCATCAAGAAATGTCACCAGTTGAGCAATATTACCCTGCAACAGCCCTCCAGAGGCTGTGCAAAAAACCCTGAGATATCTAGAGCTAATCCCTATCACTTTCATTCTTTTTACCCAGGAATATCTTTAAGTCAGAGCTTGGAGTTCTGATTATTGCTGTGTTTCAGGAGTGCTCAAAGTCTACACAATAAATATCAACATGTCTTTATATCCTTTCTTACCATTTATCTAAATATAACTCCCACCTGCCAGCTAGCACCTCCTTTATCCTTTGACAGAAACCAGGGAATCACCGATTGTTCTCTTTCACTTATTTCCCCACATCCAATTTAATGTCCAATCATTTTCATTCTGACTCTAAAACATCCCTGCAATCTGTCTACTTCTCTTTCATGGGGCCACCACTCATCTCCAACTTGAAAGATTACAGGGGTGCCCACAGTGCCTCATATTTCCAATCTTTAAGCTGTCCATTTGAAGGGTGCAAATGTGATCATGTCACTTCCCTGTTTCAAACCCTTCAGTGTCTTCTCACCAGTAACTGAGCTACATCTTCAGTCTGTCTTCAAAAGCCTGGAATTGTCTGGATGCAGTCTGCCTCTCTAGGTTCATCTCTCCCACTGTCTGTTCCCGTACTATACTCACACTGAACTTCCTTCAGATCTCCAAAAGGAACATGATTGTCCTTCTCATGTCCTTTACACATGTTGTTCTCTCTTATTGAAATACTGTTTTTTATTCTGGTTTCAGGTAGCTAATAATTATTTATCAAAGCAATAAACTATATGTTTTTATCATTTTCAATGCCCATGTTTTTCTTTCTCTCAGAGACCACATTTTGCTTCATCCTAAAACTCTTCTATCTTTATATAGTGTTAATGATAATCACTTATATGTGTCAGATGATAGGAAACATGGCACTGGAGGAAGCTGAAGTTATGGCATGGGGAGACACATTTATCTGATGTAACAAAATTATACTCAATAGGAAGTTAAATTCTGAGTTTTAATGCCAGGGTCTGCCCTTACATAGTTATATAAACTTCAGCCAGTTACTTCCTCCCTATGGGTCTTAATTTACCTTTGTGTAAACTGCAAAGTAGAGAAACTTTAAATGACCACCCAGAGCTGATGTTCTGTCTCTAAGGGCTTCCCAAGAGGAAACCATAATAGCTGATCCTTCTGCCCAGAAAAATGCATGCGTGTGTGTGCATGACACTGACAATTTTGCTTAGAATTTTAAGTTAGGAAGCATTGCTTCAAATGAAATTTACAGGTATTTCTAAGAACACTTCTGGGAAAATTTTTGAAAGAGCTGAAGTCTGATTTTTATTTCATTTCGCCCTTTAATTTGCTTTCTTTTTATGGGTGCTTGGATCACTCTCCATTTTGATATAAAATCTCTCCAATATTTCTCAGTTGCCAAAATATATTACTTTTCCAGGAGACAGAAACATTCCAAAAGAAATTTAAAAGCCTAGTGATTATGTAATAATATTAATGATGGTTAATACATGGTGAACGCTCAGTAAATGCCAAGCATTGTTGTAAGTACCATCCTTGAATTATTTAATTATTACATTTCTACTGCCTCATAGTATTTTTAAGATGGATCCTAGTATTGTTCTAATTCTTAAGATGTAAAAATAAAAGTACAGATAACTAATTTCCCCAATAATATTACAAGTTTGGTAAGTAGCAGAGTCACAAATCCAAGTATTCTGGTTCTGAGTTTTGTTAGTAAAAGGCTTCATTAGCAATCAAAGAAAATTAGTTAACACAGTGATATGCTCTGTTGCCTGTAATATTAGTTATGTTTTAAAGCTAGTATTATTGCTACTGGTAAGGTAAATGAATACTCTCACCCACTTCTGGCTTGAGTATTAGCTGGAGAAGCCATCCTAAAGAAATTTGACAATATCTACTAATAACATTAGAAACATTTATATTTCAATTTAACAATTTTATTTTGGTCATTTATTTTAGTAATCAAATGATACCATAAAGTGCTTATGAATAAATAATTTATAGAAGACTAAAACTGGAGATAATTGTAATATTTTAAAATATGCTCAATTAACTTTTGACAAAGGCACTGATATAGTTAAATGGCCAAAGGAATGTGTTTCCAATATATGATGCTGGAACAACTAGATAGTAATAAAAAATAAATTATATTTCTTGTGAGATAGATCATAGACTAAAAGTGAAAGCTAGAGGCATAACATTTTCTAGAAGAACACTTAGGAGAATATATTTATGAACTTGAGGTAGGCAAAGATTTCTAAAAGAGAATACAAACAACATCAATAATAAAAGAAAAAAATTACAAATTGGACTGCATCGAATTTTAAAACTTCTAATCATCAAAAGACAACATTAATAAAGTAAAAAGACTAGGAAGAAATATTTGTAATACATGTATCTGACAAAGAGTTTGTATCTAGAATCATAAGGAACTTCTACACATCATTAGTAAACACATAAATCACCCAACAAAAAAAGATATTTGAATAATCACTATGCACATGAAAATCAATAGTATTAAGGAAATGCATGTTTAAAGCACATTAAAATACTACTATATCTATTAGAATAGTTAAAACGAAAAGACCAAATATTGGTGAGGATGTGGAGCAATGGAACTCTTATGTACTGTTCGGAGTATAAAATCATCAACTACTTAGAAACCCATTTGGTAGTTTTTAATAAACTGTAACAACTCAATCCTAGCAATTCTATTTCTAGGTAGGCATCCAAGAGAAATAAATGGATGTGTCCACAATGTAACTTTTATCAGAATATTCACAGGTGCTTTATTCATAAAAGTCCTAAAGGAGAAGGAATCCAAATGTCTACAAGTTCATCAATATTGTTCAACAACAAAATTGTGGTATAGTTACAAAATAGTATATTTTTCAGCTAAAAAACAAACAAACAAACAATGATTCATAGAACAAAATGGATGAATTTCAAATCATTATATTGAATAAAAGAGCCAGACCAAAAAAAGGACACATTTTACATTCAGTATTAAATAATTTATATGTAAATGAAGAATGTCAAGAACATGCAAAACTAATTGACAGTAATATAAATAAGACTACTTCTTTTGGCAGGGTGCGGTGGCTCACATCTGTAATCCCAGCACTTTGGGAGGCTGAGGCAGGCGGATCACGAGGTCAAGAGATCGAGACCATCCTGACCAACATGGTGAAACCCCGTCTCTACCAAAAATACAAAAATTAGCTAGGCATGGTGGTGCACACCTGTAGACCTAGCTACTTGGGAGGCTGAGGCAGGAGAATCTCTTGAACCCAGGAGGTGGAAGTTGCAGTGAGCCCAGATTGCGCCACTGCACTTCAGCCAGGCGACAGAGCGAGACTCCATCTCAAAAAAAAAAAAAAGAATACTTCTTTCCTTTGGTAGGGGGATTGACTGGACAGAGGCAAAAGGGAACTTTTTAGCATGATGAAAATATTCTACATCTTGGTCTGAGCATTTACTGGGTGAATAAATTAAGATTTTTACATTTACTGTACTTAATTATACCTCTATAAAGTTCTGTTAGCACTAAAAAAAGAGCATGTAAAATATGAAATGGCTGAACATTGGAGTAACTCGAAGAGTATTAATTATATTATATTCAAGCTTTGCTTTCAGTAAATATTTGGTGCCATGGGAAATGCTTATGCTATAATCTTAAGTGGGAAAATAAAGGAAGATTCACAATTTATCCTATGATTTCAAATCTGTAAGAGAAAAAGTATATGTTTATATGTGTATAGAAATGAATATTTGTATATTCACATACCCATTCATCAAAAAAAGACTGCAAGAAAATTTACTAGAATATGAAAGGTGACTATCTCTGGATGAGAAAGTTATGTTAAACTTTATGTTTTTACATTATTTGGTAACTTTACAAAATATGGAAGAATGGTCTTCATAATTAGATGAAAATAGAAGCATTCTTTTTATAACATCTTAACTGTCCAGAGTCCCATTTCCTCAGAGTCACTTTAGAGCTTATCATAAAAGTTAATTGAATCCCAAGACTAACAGTGGCACAATATGCTATTTATCCAAGATCATGTGGATGAAGATAATACTTTAGTCTTAAGCCAAATAATTTTATATACAGTTTGAGTGTGTAGTAGGCTAAATAATGAACCCCCTAAGATGTTGATATCTTAATCCATGGAACCTGTGATGATGTGAACTTACATGGCAAAAGGGATTTTACAGATGTGATTAAGTTAAAGATTTTTAAAAGGAGGGATTATCCTGGATTATCTGGGTTGGCCCAATGTAATCACAAGAGTCCTTATAAAGAGGAAGCAGTAGTATTACAGTCAAAGAGAAGGTGACATGATGTCAGAAGAAAGAGAAATCTGAAGATGCTCCTCTGCTGACAGTGAGGTAGAGGGATGGGTAGAGATAAGGGATTCAGGTGGTCTCCAGAAACTGTAAAGGGCAAGAAAATGAGTTTTTACCTGGAGCCTCCAGAAGGATCTAACTCTAACAACGATCAGTCTGGTAAGACTGATTTTGGAATTCTGATCTCCAGAACTGTAAGATAATACATATGGATTGTTTTAAGCAAGTAGGTTTTGGGAATTTCTTATTGGCAGCAATAGAAATTAATATAGGGAAAAGTTGATATCTTGAGTTTGGACAGAATTTCATTGTTCAAATATACATACCATGTACATAGCCACCTGTGGTAAATCAAGGAAATTCTGAAAAATTTGTGAAGAGTCGAGAGATAATCAGACTCTTTGATATCATCTTTGGTTTATCCTTTAGTACCAGTGAAGGTCTTCAAAGCAGCTCCTATTTACCTCCCCAACCTTCAGATAGATGGATAATGGCACAGAGAACTCTATATGCTGGCCAAAATAGATACAGCCCCTATCCCTAGACCCAGAATGCTTAAATTTTGGGAGGACTGTATACATCATTGAGAATCTGATAAAAGCTCTGCTAGGAAAAATATACATTCACAAATTTTTGCACATAATTTTAAATGTCTCAGAAAATTCCCTAAAGCCAAACTATGTTAATATTAAGTGGGGAAATGAAGGAAGATGAATCCTGGCTGAATAACTTCTGCTCTGATGGCAAGAAATGAATCTCTTTCTAACTCACGTGGTCACATCAAAGAATTGCCTCTTAGAACAGCAGCACTAAATCCAGCAAGCTTAATAACAACAACAGCTTGAGGTGCAGCTACATCTGGCTGTGCCTAGAACCTGCTTCTGCAGGGCCTGAAATTGTGGACAGGCCTGAGATTAGAAGCATGTTCTATTTCATCAATTGCTATGGTTTAGAATAGGAGTAACCACTTGGTTTTCTTTTTTGTGAAAATAATGTTTTAAGTTAAACAGATGGTATGTTCAATCCATTCTACATGCCCTGCCAGGTGGGTCTTTCTCCATCATTGCATTGCTTTAGCCTGTGTTTTCTTCAAGAATATTAGGCAACCCTTCACTGTTCACTTTCTTTTTCTGTTGTATATTTGCCATATTCTAGTGTAAGAGTGATGCTGGCTTTGTAGAATGAGTCAGGAAGGAGTCTCTCCTTGATTTTTTAGAATAATGTCAGTAGGACTGGTACCCATTCTTAGTTCTTAGTATGTTTGGTAGAATTTGGCTGTGAATCCATATGGCCCAGGACTTTCTTTGATTGGTAGGATTTTCATTACTGATTCAATTTCAGAACTCAATATTGGTCTATTTAGAGTTTTGATTTCTTCCTGATTCAGTCTTGAGAGGTTGTATATTTCCAGGATTTTATCCATTTCCTATAGATTTTCTAGCTTACATGCATAGAGGGGTTCATAATAGTAAGTGAGGATATTTTGTATTTCTCTAGGATTGGTTGTAGCATCACCTTTGTTTTTCTGATTTTGCTTATTTGGATCTTCTCTCTTTTATTCTTTATTAATTTAACTAATGATCTAACTAGCAATCTTGTTTATCCTTTAAAAAACAGCTTTTGGTTTTGTTGACACTTTGTATGCATTTTGGGGTCTCAATTTTATTCAGTTATCCTCTGATTTTGGTTATTTCTTTTTTTATAGTTTTGGGGTTAGTTTGTTCTTATCTTCTACGTGTTCTTCTACGTGTGATGTTACATTGTGAATTTAAGAGCTTTCTAACTTCTTTATGTAGGCACTTAGCACTATTAACTTTCTCCTTAACACTTTTAGCTGCATCCCTGAAATTTTGGTATGCCATGATCTTCATTTGTTTCATTCAATATTTTGGTATTTTCATTTATTTCAAATCATTTTTTGATTTCTGCCTTAATTTTACTGTTTAACCAAAAGTCATTCAGGAGGTAGTAGGCCATTATCCTACCTGATTTGACACCGGAACAGAAAACCAAATACCTTGTGTTCTCACTTATAAGTAAGAGCTAAATATTGAGTATACACAAACGTAAAGATGGGAACAGTAGACACTGATAAATACTAAAGGGAGAAGGGTGGGAAGTGGAGGAAGCTTGAAAAATTATATACCAAGTACTATGCTCACTACCTGAGTGACCAAATCTTTTGCACTCCAAACTTCAGCAACACAAAATTTATCCATGTAATGAACATGTACACGTAACCCCTGAAACTAAAATGAAGGTTGAAAAATAAATGAATAAAAAATATTTACATTGCTTTAAGCAATGGATAAGAATGCTAGCTTCATTACATTCTTACTAGCATTCACAATTATAAATTTTATTATCATTAAACATTGCATTTGTGTGATAGTGATATCATAGATTATGTGATTTTGTGAACTTTATCCTCAGGTCTATGAGGAATTATTTTTTAATCCTAACAAAACAAAGGAAAGATGCCTATTGTCCAAATATATTTATCTTAAGTTTCTAATTGAGGATGTATAGAAGTTTGGTACTTTTCATGGCTAGTGATTCTATAGAAAGACTGTTATTAAATTGTTAGGGCATGGGGGAAAACAAAGAAAAAATATGCAAAACATATAAACAAGGCAAAAGAATTACTGAATGTCCTTTCAAAGTTATATTGCAGCATTGTCTAACCAGCCTGCACAAAGATTATTTTATTCTATAGGATGACATACCTTTGTTTCACATGCTACTTTTTAAAACAGTTTTATTAAGATATCATTGATATAAAATTGTGTATATTTAAGGTGCATAAGTTGATGTTTTGATATACATATAATGTGAAATGATCATCACATTCTAGCTAACATGTATATATATACACACACGTATATATAGATGTAGAATATATACATATCACGTATATATAGATGTGGTATATATATTCTGTGTGTGTGTGTGTGTGTGTGTGTGTGTGTGTGTGTGGTAAAATAGCTTAATAGCTATGCTGTTAGCAAATTTCATGTATATAATAAAATATTGTTAACTATCATCACCATGCTGTATTTTAGATCTCTAGAACCTTTATCTGAAACTTTATGTCCTTTGGCCAACAGCACCTTATGGTATGGTTTGGCTCTGTGTTCCCACCCAAATCTCATGTTGAATTATAATTTTCAGTTTAGGGGAGGGAGCTGTTGGAAGGTGATTGGATCATGGGGGCAGATATTCCCCTTTCTGTTCTCATCTTAGTGAGTGAGATATCACAAGATTTGGTTGTTTTACAGTGGGTAGCACTTCCCCCTTTGCTCTCTCCTGCTCTGCCATGGTATGATGTGCTTGCTTCCCCTTTGCTTTCACCATGATTGTAAGTTTCTTGAGGCATCCCAGCCATGCTTCCTGTACAGCCTATGGAACTGTGAGTCAATGAACCTTTTTCCTAATAAATTACCCAGTCTCAAGTAGTTCTTTATAGCAGTGTGAGAACAGACTAATACATTTCATTTCCTCCTTCCGTCGTCCCCTGGAAATCACCATTTTCCTCTCTGCTTCTACAATAGGTTTTTCCTTTTTTGTTACTATGAGGCTTACATAAATCTTCCTATAATTATATTTATCTGCTTTAATTTGATAACAACTTAAGTTCAGGGGCATACAAAAACTACATTTTACCACCCTCCCCACAACACACACTTTATATTCTTGAAGTCTGAGTTTACTTCTTTCTTATTATGAATCTGTTGCCAAACTTTTGCAGTTATTGTTATTCTTAGTATTTTAGGGTTTAAAAAATCTTTTGTATTAGAGTTATGGGTAAACTGCACATTACCATCACAATGTTAAACTGTTCTGTATTTGACTATATATCTGCCTTTGCTTGTGGGATTTATACTTACAAATTCTTTAATGGTACTGCTTAGTGTGTTTTGACTCTATTTGAAAAACACTCTTAAACATTTCTCATAAGGCAGATCTAGTGGTGACAAATTCCCTTGGTTTTTATTTGTCTTGGAAATATTTGATCTCGCTTTCATTTTAAAATGATAGCTGTGCAGTGTGTAGTATTCTTGGTTGACATTTTTTTTTTCTTTTAGTACTTTGAATATATCATCCTGTTCTCTCCTGACCAGCAAAGTTTCTGTCAAGAAATACACTAATAGTTTTATAAGCATTACATGAATGTAATGAGTGATTTTTCTCCTGCTGCTTTCACAATTCTCTTTGCTGTTGTCTTTTGACAACTTATTCACAATGTGTCTTGGTATAGACCTCCTTATGTTCAGTATATTTGAGTCTGGATGTCTATTTTCCTTCCCAGATTTGGGAAGAGTTCTGTTATCATTTCTTTAAATCAGGTCCTTTTCCCCTTTTTTTTTCTGGAACTCATAATGTGGAAAATGGTTTGTTTGAAAGTGTCCTGTAAATATTATATGCATTCTTTACTCTTATTATTATTACTTTATTCTTTGACTAGATAGTTTCAAATGATCTATCTTCAAGTTTGCTGATTTTTTCCTCTGCTTAATAGAATCGTCTGTTGAAGCTCTGTTGTATTTTTAAATTTCATTCATTTTATGCTTTAGTTCCAGATATTATGTTTAGTTCTTATTTATAATTTTTTTCTTTTTCTTTTTCTTTTTCTTTTTTTTTTTTTTTTGAGACAGAGTCTCGCTCTGTCACCCTGGCTGGAGTGCGGTGGCACGATCTCAGCTCACTGCAACTTCTACCTCCTGGGTTCAAGCAATTCTCCTGCCTCAGCCTCCTGAGTAGCTGGGATTACAGGCATGCAACACCATGCCTGGCTAATTTTTGCATTTTTAGTAGAGACAGGGTTTCACCATGTTGGTCAGGTTGGTCTCGAACCCCTGACCTCGTGATCTGCCCGCCTTGGCCTTCCAAAGTGCTCGGATTACTTTGGGTGTGAGCCACCATGCCAGGTCCTAGTTCTTATTTATAATTTATATTCCCTTGTTGAACTTCTCATTTTGTTTTGTATTATTTTATGATACTGTTAAATTGTTTTTCTGTGTCTCTTGTAGCTCACTCAGCTTCTTTAGAAAAATTATTTTGATTTTTTTGTCAGGTAATTCATGGCTCTCCATCACTTTGAGGTTGGTAAATAGAAGTTTATTGTATTACTTTGGAGGTGTCCATAATTTTTCATGTTCATTGTTTCTTGTGTCGATGTATGGACATTTGAAGAAGCAGTTACCATTTCCAGACTTCAAGGATTGGCCTTGGTAAGGAAAAATCTTCACTTGAGGTACAGTGTGCAGAGACTATGGATGAAATGTTTGGAAGCATGCTGTGGCACTGGATCTAGTGGTGCACAGGATGCCAACTCTGGGCCTGATAAAGTGTGACGGTTTGATGGCTCAGGCAGCTGGAGTCCATGACATTAGCAACTACATGGTCTTTGCTTGCAAAATTGGTGAAGAAATGATACTTGGTGACTGTGGGAGCTGTTGGAATCTTCAGTGGTAACCCTGGGTCTAGAGAAGAGCACGGCTGGGGAGGGACGGGGGCTCAAGCCACAGTGGTGATGGCTGAGGCTTGCAGTAGGGGCCAGGGCTGGCTTTAGTCATGATTGTGCAGTGATGAGGCCCAGATAAATGAATAATTATGACTATTTCTTCTCATTTCCTCCCTCTGTTTTCTTACACTCCATCTTCCTGAACTTCTCTTTCTCTTCTTCTTCCTCCTGGTTCTCATTATCCTCTTTCTGCTAATCCTCTACCAAACTCCCTTTACTTTATATGCAGGGGGTGATTTTTCTTTGAATTACCACAATCTTAAAGTTATGCAGGCTGCCTCTTGAAAAGTCATTCTATTCTGGCACCTTATGGGTCGATGTCCCTGCAAAAAGTTTATAAAATCTTCAAAACCAGGTATCAAGACACACGCCCATTGGCATATTCAACATGTTGGGTAGTTTTTGCTGCAAGGAATTATCCTTCCTAATATTAGCAGGATAATGCATAAGATTAGGAGAATTCTATTTAGAATGTAGACAACTGAGGAATTCACTTTTATAAGGAATTCACTTCCATAAAATGACAGAGAAGGTTAGGCAGATTACAAAGTCTAATTGCAAAGGCCAACCTACTGCTGTTATACCAATAAAAAAAGAAGTCTGGATTTTCATATCTTCTTTGCATTAAAGGGCTTGCGCAAATAACTTTATTACTGATCCTAGGATGCCCCTTCCACAGAGATAATATGTGATGAAAGATCAACTTGAATAGCAGTAGTTTATTTTTCTTATGATGTTAAAGAAAAATCCAGGAGGCAGGCACTGCAGAATCCAGCGCTGAATCATAAATGACTGCGACACCTAAGCAGATCTTTTTTTTTGTTTATTCTCTATGACAAAAACCTGTAACCATCTTCTAAATTTTGAATCACAATATATAATTACCTTATTTACTATTTTCTTATTTGTTGTCTATATTCTCACTGTATTGCAGACTCTCTGAAAGCAGGGACCTTGTCTATTACATTTTATGGTGTATCTCCTGACGTTGCATTGCCTGGCCCTAACCTTGTGTTCTGCTGCTATTTGTTTAATGTATGCATGAATTAAATGGTTTCCTTTTTGTGGCTTACATATTTCAATTAGCTCCCAACACACCAACAAAATCACTTCTACCACTATAAGAACCCAGCAAAGTAAGATTTTGATAGTATTATGGTGGAAATCTTTGCCAACTCAGGGATATTCATTTTCTGTGCCTTTTTCTAGTTTTTCATTTTGCCCTTGGTATTTTCTGATCTGTAGCCCTTGCTGATAGCATTGAAAAATTGGGCTTGCCTAGACATGATGATGCCTAAATCATAGCTTGGATCCTTCTTTCTGTTCAGTTTCAACATCCATCTGAATCTAAAAATTATATAGATTTTACACATCAACAAGGGTAATGTTAAAAGCATTCTAAGATAATAATGGAACGCAGCCTATTGACAGGTGGCCCAGACAAGTCTAATATGTAAGAAAAAACAGAAGACTGAAACATAACTTTAAAAATGCCTTGATCCTAAAGAATAACAAGAACTGAATTATTATCAGAATAGTTTTGTCACCACTTAGGAAGCTAGCCCAATACCCCAATTCTAATACACTATTATCTTTTCATTATTTGAATTCTCCAAAAACCATTTTCTGATTTCTGTTTCTAAATTATGTTAGGTATACTAGACATTCTCTGATTCTACTAACATTCTGTGAACTTTCTGTCAAGGTTATAGTCAAGAGTAATTGATTGGTTTCATGCACAATACATTGCAGCAGCTCATTTACTCCTATGTCTCTAGTCTGTGAGCTCTGTAAAATCCCTTTTTTGTTTGAAATGTATCTTTGGCACCCATCACAGTGACTAACATATGGGAAGAAATCAATAAATATTTGAATTATTAAAAATTTTAATTTCATAGTCTTGAGTTCCCATACCTAGTACACATAAATCACCAATTAATAGGGCCATAGGATGTTACCATTGGGAAGGATTTCACAGCATTTTCTAGTTGAGCTCCTTCACTACGTACATGAAGAAACTGAGGTACAACTAAGTATCTTAAACAAGTTTCACAAGTCACCTCTAAGAAGTGACTAATTGTGCCCTTTGATGTTCACAAACACCAAAACTTGATAGAATGTATTTAATAATACAATCACAATGAATATAGTAGGATCTTTTCTCAGTAATTCTCCAGCCCTCAAACTTCTTGAGGTTTTTCTGAGTTCTTGTTAGGCATGATAATTTCTTGGAGAGATGTGCCAGTTAACAGAGTTTCCTGGATTTTTAGAATGTCAGATGACAGGGAGCTTCATTTTTTCTCTGGGTCAACAACAACCAAAAAGTGTATCTAATTTGAAATGCAGCCAGTGCTTCTGAGTTAATAGATTAAAGACCTTATAATGTTTATTTTTCACTTATTTTGTGCCAGACATTTTTCAAAGTGCTTTATATGAACTAGCTCATGTAACCCTCATGGCTGTCCTGTAAAGTAGGTTTTATTATTATCATTTTTATTTTGCAGGCTGAGGAAATCAAAGGACAGAGAAGTTAAGCTAGGAAGTTAACTTCTGCAAGGTCACACAGCCAGCTAGAAGAAAAGTCAGGATATGAAACCAGACATAGCATTTAAAGACAACAGAGAAAGTGAAGTATTATCAATCTAGATGGAAGTCTCTCTTCCTAAATCATTTGCAAAGTGAATCATCCAGAAACACCCTCACAGACTCAACTGAATAATGTTTAATCAAATATCTGTGGACCCTGTGGCCCAGTCACATTGAAATATAAAATAATCTTTGGACTGCTGAATTATATGAGCTCATAGATACTCTATTGTGATTAGGCCTGCTAGAGCTGGATTTTGTGGTACTTACCACCTCATTATTCCTAACTGATATAGTTTACATGTTGATTAAATAAGTCATGTGTACACAGAGCTATGCCTAATACTTGGTATGTATCAATTATTCAACAATTTGTATTCAATATTATGCTAACCACGACTTTCTTTCTAGTATTTTAAGCATTTCATTACTGCCTCTAAGCTGCTTTCTCAGGTTCTTAATCTCTCCAAAGCCCTCTTCGCCTATTAAAATCTTATCTACATTTTGCAGTCCACCTCTCCTTTTCTCCAATGACTTTGCCCAGATCCCGGGTCTCTAACCAGCCTAAATGAGACGCTTAGGGCCTCTTCTCCTGTGTTCACAGAGCACCTTTCTTCTGTAACTTTACACATGGCATTGTAATTGATTCTTTGTCTCCCCATTCCTTGAGGACAAGGACATGTTTTCTATGGCTGTTTACAGACTCACAGATAGTAGACACTAAATAAATCGAAGTTATCAAATTCAGTGAAGTTTCACTACGCAGACTTATCTTAGGAGTAATGCCCATTGTATTAACCTAGGTTTTCCAGAGAAACGGAACCAATACATACCTATCTGACTGTCTGTCTGTCTATCTATCTATCTAATAATAAATTGGCTCATGTAGTTGTGGAGGAGAGAGACGTTCTAGGATCTGTAATCAACAAGATGGAGACTCAGAAGATCTGATGGTATAAGTTCTAGCTTGAGTCTGAGTCCAAAGGCAGAGAAAGACCAAAGTCCCAGCTTGAAAACCAACAGACAGAATGAGGGAATTATCTCCTACCCAGGTTTTTAATGGATCAGATGAGACCCACCCACATTGGAGAGGGCAATCCGCTGTACTCAATCTTCAGATTCAAAGGTTAATCTCATCCAGAAACACTCTCACAGACTCAGCACAACAATGTTTAATCAACTATTTGTGCACCCTGTGGCCCAGTCAAATTGACACATAAAATTAACCATCGCACCCATGGAGAGTGAATAGAAAGAACTCAAGAAAGCCTCCCTGGTATATCAGAATCATATTAATAATTCATCCCTAAGTAGCATAGGAACAACAAAGCAGAGGCAGTTTTTCTAACTAACTACATATTTCTGAAAATAACAAGGGATTGGTTGACTGGAAGTTACGTATTAAGCTATAATATATCAGAGTCTCTTGTAATGGTTCGTAAAACCTTGATTTTTTTGGTTAGAAAAATATTTCCTCACTTCCTCATCCTAATGCCCCATATTTAAAACTCATTTTTCAAGTATTGCCGAGCTTAGAATCCAACGAGAGCCTCCCAACCCACCCATGAGGAGTTTTTTCATCATTTCTGCCAGTGATCAGAGGAAAGGCTTGAAGTTTTAGGGAAGGGTGGGGGTTGCTGGGGGACTCCTTGCCTTGGCTGTCTCAGTAGACAGAACTTCAGGCCAAATGTTTTCTTTTAATCCTCAAGTTGAAAGTAATTTCCACATTCTGTGAAAGGACCAGAGATAAGACTGAAGTGAGGTGTTCTGTGAGGGAATGAACAACCTCCTACAAGAGGGCTTTCCAAGGAGACTGATTAGGTCTCTTGTATTGTTCAAGAGGAAAAAGGAGAGCAGAAAGGCATTTGATGCAGAACTCGAGCAGAGCCTCTCTGGGATCAAAAATGCTTCTATCCATTTACTCAGACTCTTAAGGTCAACTTCAAAACTCTGCTTCCGAAAGAAAAGCTGGAGTATAGGAGACTCCTCTCCCCTGTGTCCTGTGAAGCTGGACAGCCTGGAGCTTCCTCGTTTCATTGTACTGAGCTGGGGATAAGAAACAGGAAACAAGGACAATGCCCTTTTCCAAATCCAAGGAGTGTGAGAAGGTCATCAAATATAAATATTTCAGTTCCAAATGATAATCACTTAGTTTTGGATTTCTAAAACCAATGCTGTTAATCACTATACAACATCTCTAGTCTTAGTAGAGATTTTTTTGTTTTTTGTTGCTTGTTTGTTTATATTACCATATTGTGTTCTAGTTAAGAATCTCTGCTTACTCAGACTTTCTTACCTGAAACACAAGGTTTTCAGCAATGTTATTTCCACATCTAACGTGATTTCAGGGAAGCCTTTTGATTTGAAATAATTTTATAATATCACCATAGCAACTTATGTAAATGTGCAGTTACTAAGAATGTAAATCCACAGCTGAACTATTAGGAAGAAAAAACTTTAAGATATACAGTTAGCATTAAATAAAAACAGAATTGTGTTTTATAGGGATGATGGTACAAGAAGTGTTAAAAGTGAATCAGGGCCAGGTGCAGTGGCTCACGCCTGTAAACCAAGCACTTTGAGAGGCCGAGACAGATGGATGACTTGAGGTCAGGAGTTCAAGACCAGCCTGGCCAAAAATAGTGAAACCCTATCTCGATTAAAAAATACAAAAATTAGCCAGGCATGGTGGCACATGCCAGCTATTTGAGAGGCTGAGGCAGGAGAATCACTTAAACCTGACAGGCGGAGGTTGCAGTGAGCTGAGATCACACTACTGCACTCCAGCCAGGGCAACAGAGTGACTGCGTCTCAAAAAAAAAAATCTGATACACACACACACACACACACACACACACACACACACACACACATATATAGTTTTTTTTTTTTTCCTTGAGTTAGAGTTTCACTCTTGTAGCCCAGGCTGGAGTGCAATGGCACGATCTTGGCTCACTGCAGCCTCTACCTCCCAGGTTCAAGCAATTCTCCTGCCTCAGCCTCCCGAGTAGCTGGGATTACAGGCATGTGCCGCCATGCCTGGCTAATTTTGTTTTTTTTTTCAGTAGAGATGGGGTTTCTTCATGTTGGTCAGGCTGGTCTTGAACTCCTGACCTCAGGTGATTCGCCTGCCTCTGTCCCTCTGTCCCCCAAAGCGCCGGGATTACAGGAGTGAGCCACCACACCTGGACTGATTTATATTTTTAATATGAGAAACTGCAAGGGAAATTCAATGCAATGCGACCGTTTTAAAAAATTCCTGAAGAAAATAGCGCTTGTGCAGCAATATAAGACAGGGTTGCAGGAGGAGTTTTCATATTAGAAGCAGGTTGAAAATGCACTGAGTGGGCATAGCTGTTGAATAATTCAAGTATTGATGAAAATGATCAATAATGGTATTGTCAGATTAGTCCCTTCCCCAGTCAAATGTGCCCAAATTGGGAGTTTCAAAACTAGGGAATTTTTCAAAAAACTATTAGAACTGAAAGGATTCTTAGAGGTCATTAACGATGCTTGACTCCGTTTTTCAGTAAATGAATATGCCAATAATTTTACAGTGGTGGATTTGGCTCTTTTGCCTGCACAGCTTCTGATCTTCCTTCATGTGGTAATATATACCGTGATTTTCTTTGGTAGACTACCCTCCCCATTATATCTCTGTGTTTGAGCAGAGCCTAATCCACCCTAACCTGAGGCTCCTGGGGAGATGCATGGCCCACAACATCATTCCCTGACCACAAAAATGAGATCAGAGCCTAAGCAAGGGCTGAAGTCCAACAGATGAGAGCTCACTCAGATTTTTTTTCTGGAGCTATTGGAAAAGAAGATTTCTCTTTCCACTGGATTTGGTATGGTGGTAGGATATAAGCCAAGAGAAGCAGGTAGTCATCTTGGTATAAACAGGATTGAGCCTGCCAGAGAATGAAGGCAGCCTCCAGAAATGTGACTGCAAACCTCAAGTGAGCACTTGGCCATGCCTGGCAATTCTTATATACAGTCCTGATCAATCTACTTTCTCATTTTCTGTGAGGTCCATTTCCTTTTTTCCCTTCATTTTCCATTTCCTTTTTCCTTCCTTTCCCAGCATCCAATACATTCCCCTCACCATCCACTGGCATCTGATGATCCTGCCTTTTATTTCACTGTGAAAATAGAGGCAATCAGAAGAGCTTCCTCTGTCTCCAATGGCAAACCTATCAACATTCCAGATTCTTTAGCCATATGTTTTTCTTTCTTTCATTACAATGATCTCTCTGTTCTCCCATCTAATAACAACTCCCTCTTCTGTGCATTGGATCTCAAATTGCAGAACCTACTACTCAAAGAGGTTGCTCCTGGATTTACCCCTTGTTGTCCTTCATTGCCAATGTTCTCTTCTCTGTTGTGGTATTGCTACTAGTTTATACGTTTTGTGATTTTCTCAACTTAAAAACACATATGCAAAAAAAATGCCTTCCCTTAACTATCATATCTTTCTTCAAGTTCTGCCCTATTTTGTTGTTGTCATCTATAGTGAACATTTTTCGTAATATTATCCACTCTCCCTGTTTCCTCAGCCTCTCCTCTCATTTCCTCTTTAACCTTCACCAATCAGGACTAGAATCCCCTCATCCCCTGAAATCACTCTTGTCATGTTCTAATTTTCCACAATGTCTCAATAGCATTCGGCAGTTAATCACTCCTGCCCTCTTGACATATTGACTTCAGTTGACTTTGAAGACATCTGTTTTTCCCTTGTCATTTGCTGTTTCTTTTTCATTTTTGTGGCTAGACCCTTTTTCTCTTCTACAGCAGGACTTGGTCCTAGCTCTTCTTCTCTTCTCCACTTACACTCGATGTGCATGGCTTTAAACATCGTCTTGCTACTCATGAATAATTACCATGTTTTTACTGTCATCCCTGACTTGTCCCCTGAGATGGTCTAATATGCATTTCTGTGAATCTCAGAATACACTCACAAATATTTTTTTCTGGTTAGATTCTGAAATATCATAGTCAATCTTCGTTCCTCTTTTTCTCTTACACTGTACATCTAGTCCATTGGTAAGTACTGTTGGTCACAAATCTGACAACCTCGCTCTCTCTACCTTTAAGCGTTTTCTTTGTTCATCTCTCACTTGGATAATAACCATAGCCCCCTAACTGAGTATCCTGTTCTCGGAGTGCCTTGTTTCCCTCAGACAATACTAATCAGCAGGCAGATGAGTTATTTTAAAATATAAATCAGGTCATGTACTTCAGTGCTCAAAACCTCCAATGGTTTTGCATCAGTTTTGTAGGAAAACCCAAACTACTTACTCTAGCAACAAGTTCATACAGGTACTAGTTTCTTTTCCCTCCCAAATTTCTTTTTTACCACTCTCACTCATTTGGCTACAACCAGGCAGAACTGCCTGATACTCCTCCAAATGCAGGTATGCTATGTGCGCGTTCCAGCCCTGGCACCTGTACACCTGCTGTTCTCTTCACTTGGGCTGCTCTCCTGAAGGTATTTCTATGGCTCACCTCCTACTCATTGTCATCTCCCTGATCTGTTCTAGTCCAGCCTAAAATCTCACTATAACTCATTTTTCCTTAACCTTATTTTATTGTTCCTCATAGCACTTATCACTCCCTATGATATTATATATTTATTTGTTTACTGATTGTCCCTACCACTTGAACATAACTTCATGAAGGCAGAGCTATGTCTACCCTACCACTATGTACTCAGCACCAGAATAGCATCTGACACGGAATGTGTATTCAACAGATTTTTTTTGAAAATATCAGTGAATAAATGAATGAATGAAAGCATCAAAGTTTCTGATACAACATTTGAGCACCCAAATCCAGCAATGCCAGAATGCAGCCCTCCCCACACATTCTCAAACACATGAATGAAAAGACCCTCTCTGATTTATATATAAGTTCAATTTCCTGTAACTTACAGCTGAAATAATTTTGGTACAGACAGTGATATCCTAGAACTGACTCACATTAGTTTATGAGCATGGAAAATACTCTCATTTCTTCCCAACTCCGCTTTCAGTTATATTAGTTTGAAGTCAAGTATATTGGGATTATTTATACGATGGGAACCAGCAAACTTACAAACTAGGGCTTTACTTTCTTATGGAGAACTAGTTTGAAACATTTGCCAGATATTTAAAAAATATCACTCTGGTTTTTATGTGGCGTGTAGATTCTCAGTATGAAGCATGTAGGCAGGGAGGAAAATTATAAACAATCCAAGACAGATATGTAGCTTAGTGTTATCAGTAGAAATGATTGTACCTTGAAGGATCTATTTTGAAGGCTGAGCCAATAACAATGGAGGATAAATTGAGTGAAAGTACTGAGAAATCAAGAATGAGTTCTTGGTTGGTGATATGCACAGGTTGATAGTGATGACATTTACTGAGATGAGAAAGAACAAAGTGAAACCAATTTTAAAAGGACCTAAGCCTTTCATGTCAGAGAAATAGGATAGCAAATCCTTTCAGATAGTTGCTGTCGAGGCTAAAGAATAATGTATGGCACATTAGCACAGATTTTTAGCTCTAGGTCTCTTGCTGATTATATAAGTGATCCCAAGTATTCCCCTTAACCACACCCAAGAAAGTCTTATATTTTTTAATTCTTTATATAAGTGGACTAACTTGGGTTGTTTTGAAGGTTTCTTTCAGTTTTTCTCTTCTCTTATTTCCAGCAACACCTGCTTCTCCACAGTCCAACACTCACAAGTTTCTGTTGTCTCACAAAAAGAGAACTCTTTGTTTCCAGAATCGGAGCTGGGTATTCTGTTCCTTCCCCTCTCATTTTAACTTATTTTGCATTTTTCTGTTGACCAGGCAACTGACTGAAAAACAGTTTATATACATTCATATCCTAGCTTTTCCAGCTGTGTAAGTTCATCCCTTTAACACACAGACTTGAAATAATTTACTTTGTTCAAATTGGGTCTTATAATTGGAGAAGTATATTAGGAGTGTGTTTATATATGAGGGAATCATATGTACTTCTTATCTCTGTTGAAGGATATTTTCCAGTGGTCATATTTGTCCAAACGAAAGACCTCCCAAAATGGTATGGGTAGATATTTATAAAGAAGCAGGGTAAAAGGAAACAAAGTAAGAAAGATTAATGAGTCCACCTTCAGGAGTAATGTGCTGCTTGCTTGAGAAAGAACCAAGTACTGTTAATTCCAATAATGGTTCCATTAATCAAAACCTTGAAGTAACTGCATAATCAGGCAAAGAAGCTAATGGATATTAACAAGTTGCTATACTCTCTCCTTTGCTGGTATCAGCAGTAAGGTCAGGGTCTTCTTTCTGTCCCAAAATATTATAGGTAGGGAAAAAGAAGCAATGTCTACAATTCCCAAGCATTGAAATCTGCCCCCAAAGAAGGCAGGGCAGTTTCTCAGATAGCACATAGAGGGAACTTTGCATATTCTGTACTCATCTTGGAGCTTTACACAGCACATTATAAAGTCTCGCAGTAAAATAACCTGTTTAATTCTGTTGCATCCAAAGTTTCTGAAATTACTTTGCTGTTACTACAACAATCTAGAATACACTTTGAGAAAGGTTCTGTTGAGTCTCTACAGCTTTGTTCACTTAATCCTCTCTCTAAGGATAAACAAGCTAGAATTATACTACTTGGGCTCCACAAGTCTCTATAGCATGGCATTTATATTGTCTTTATCTGAGCAGAGTGCCTGGTATGGAATTTGTGCTAAGTCAGTCTCAAAAATTATTAACTCAATTTGAATTACATTGAATCTTATCATTTGCCTGATGTGAATATAGATTGTCCATCTCTGTTTCTGTCAAAATGTGAAGTCATTTTCCCAGTTTAGCCAATCCCTATTTGAAGTCTCTCTTCTAAGAACATGTTTTGAACTTATTTAAAGTCTCTGCTTTGAGAAAATTCCACATAGTTACTTCCTGGTTTAAAATCTAGAATTACTTTTTATTTATTCAAAACACTGTTTTTAAGCTTCATGGAAGTCTTCCTGGTCTTCATTGTTATATGGTGCTTATTTTGTTTCAGAGAAAAGCTGTGATTTTAAAGTTTCCAATTGGCTTCTTTGAAGATGGTGAGTCTTAGAGCAGCTTTCTTTGTTGTGGGAAGAATCTGACTGGCTTTTCTGAGGTGAAGCCTAGATACAGAGGTCCATAGCACTTGTGGGGACTGTGTAACATAATCTTGACAGCCTCCGAGCTCGGCTAGGGAGGAAGATTGTTGTTTTCTATGGCTCAAATGAGCCTTTTGAGAGGGAAGGTATGGAAACCAACCTCTTACTTTTTGGAGAAGTTATTAGAAATTATCTGATAAATTAAAATGGTACTACAAAAGTTTTGCTATCGAAAACAAAAAAAACAAGGGCCTTCAAAATGGAATTCATCATGAGGAAAGAAAAATCTAATTTGGTGAGGAAATAGACAGTTATGAAGAAAAAGCTAGTTTGGACAGCGACCAGCATCCTAGCACTTAGAACAAGCTTAGGGACACTGGCCGAACCAGTGAGCATAATGTAAAGAGCTTACACAGAGGCAGGGAACTGCAGAAACAATGGTGCAGCACAGAATCCTGGCAAATTATACTACGCGGACTAATTTTCAGTACTCACACTGTGTGGCAGTAATAGAAGCTCCTGTAAGTCAAACCCAGGAATCTTTCAGTAGAAAGATAACATTTTCTAATTATTTTGTGTGGAAATGGATTTAACCCACTTGGCTGGAGTAAGCCCCCAGTGGCCTGTAAATTTGAAGCAAGAGATTTGGGTAATTAATAGGCTTTTAAGAAGATATGTGACCTTATTCTGTATTTGTTGTTTTTCCCACCCCCAGAGTTGTTCCTATTGCTTCAGAAGTCTGACAACTTGGCTCTGTGCTCTTATACCCTGTCCTCTTCCTTGGATAATTTTAGTAAAATACCCTCCTGATGTTATTCAAGATATCCTGTTTCCTGTGGAAAGAATGCTTGCCTTTTAATTTTTTATTATTTTAACAGAAGAGCCTACTAAAAGCATGTGAGACAGCACAAAGAGGACATTTTTCACTAAAAAGTTTCCTTATCTGATAAAAGGGGGTAATGTCAAAATTCCTCCCTGTATTATCTAATATAAAAGCTTTTTTTAACCAAAGGAGTAATCTGTCTTTTTCATTTTCTCCAACATCTAGTAAAAATTCATACATATGTTAGGTATTCAAAAAATACTTGCTGGTTGATAAGAGAGCAAGAAACATGGAAGTAACAGAATGATGTTTATGCAGAAGGCAAACATGATAATGAATCCAGCCCTTGAACTTCCCAGGTGTCACCTAGCCTCTCCTGGCTTCACTTTTTCCTTTTGAATCGTTAGGGTTGACACTAAATTCTGGAGTACCATCTAGCACTGAAATTTTGAAGACCTAGGTTAAGTATAGTATTATTTAAGGGATTTATATTTTGAACAAGTTTCCTTGTTATTACAAGATGACAAATTCTAAATAAAGAAGCAGTCCTTGGTTATTATTAATAGAAGTGTGCTGATTTCCATTTAATTCCATTATTTATCCCCAAGACACATAATCATCAGATTCTCCAAGGTTGAAATACAAGAAAAATGTTAAGGGCAGCCAAAGAGGCCAAGTCATCTACAAAGGGAAGCCCATCAGACTAACAGCAGACCTCTCTGTGGAAACTCTACAGGCCAGAAAGATTGGGGGCCAATATTCAACATTCTTAAAGAAAAGAAATTCCAACCCAGAATTTTACATCCAGCCAGACTAAACTTCATAAGTGAAGGAGAAATAAGATTATTTTCAGATAAACGCATGCCTAGTGAATTTGTTACCACCAGACCTGCCTTACAAGAGCTCTTGCAAAGTATGAAAGTATGAAGAGTAAAAACCATGGCACATGTATACATATGTAACTAACCTGCACATTGTGCACATATACCCTAAAACTTAAAGTATAAAAAAAAAAAAAAAACCATTACCACCTACTACAAAAACACTGAAGTTCACAGACCAGGGACACTATAAAGCAACCACATACACAAGTCTGCAAAATAACCAGCTAGCATCATGATGACAGGATAAAATCCACACATAACAATACTAACTTTAAATGTAAACAAGCTAAATGGCCCAATTAAAAGACATAGAGTAGCAAGCTGGATAAGAACCAAGAAAGACCCATTGGTATGCTGTATTCAAGACACCAATCTCACATGCAAAGACATACAGGATCAAAATAAAGGGAGAGAGGAAAATTTACAAAGCAAAAGGAAAACATAAAAAACTAGGCATTGCAATCCTCGTTTCTGACAAAAGTACTTTAAATTGGCAAAGATAAAAAAAGACAAAGAAAAGCATTACATAATAGTAAAGAGTTTAATTCAACAAGAAGAGCTAACTATTTGAAATATATATGCACCCAACACAGGACCACTCAGATTCATAAAGCAAGTTCTCAGAGAGCTTCAAACAGACTTAGATCCTGATACAATAATTTTGGGAAATATTAATACCCCACCGACAATATTAGACAGATCATTGAGACAGAAAATTAACAAAGATATTCAGTACCTGAACTCGGTTCTGGATCAAATGGACCTGATAGATATCTATCAGGCAGGAGGGAGGCTATACCCTGCAAAGCCACAGAGGCAGAGCTTCCCAAGACCATGGGAACCCACCTCTAGCATCAGTGTGACCTGGAAGTGAGGCATGAAGTCAAAGGAGATCATTTTGGAGGTTTAAGATTTCACTGGATTTCGGACTTGCGTGGGGCCTATAGCTGCTTTATTTTGGCCAATTTCTCCCAATGCTTGTACCGCATTGTATCTAGGAAGTAACTAACTTGCTTTTGATTTTACAGGCTCATAGTTGAAAAAGACTTGCCTTGTCTCAGATGAGATCTTGGACTGTGGACTTTTGGGTTAATGCTGAAATGAGTTAAGACTTTGGGGGCCTTTTGGGAAGGCATGATTGGTTTTGAAATGTGAGGACATGAGATTTGGGAGAGGTCAGGGGCAGAATGATATGGCTTGGCTCTGTGTCCCCACCCAAATCTCATCTTGTAGCTCCCATAATTCT
Source organism: Homo sapiens (assembly GCF_000001405.40). Taxonomy (NCBI): domain Eukaryota; kingdom Metazoa; phylum Chordata; class Mammalia; order Primates; family Hominidae; genus Homo; species Homo sapiens. The sequence goes on from NC_000005.10 coordinate 161,143,592, forward strand.
CACGTGTTGTGGGAGGGACCCAGTGGGAGATAATTGAATCATGAGGGTGGTTTCCCCCATATTGTTCTTGTGGTAGTGAATATGAATATGTCTCACAAGATCTGAGGGTTTCCGCTTTTGTTTTCTCCTCATTCTCTCTTGCTGCCACCATGTAAGAAGCGACTTTCACCTTCTGCCATGATTCTGAGGCCTCCCTAGCCACATGAAACTGTAAGTTCATTAAACCTCCTTTTCTTCCCACTCTCATGTATGTCTTTATCAGCAGCATGAAAATGGAATAATACACTGATTATTAGAGAAATGCAAGTCAAAAAAATCAAAACCACAAGGAGACACCATCTCACGCCAGTCAGAATGGTGAATATTAAAAAGTCAAGAAACAACAGATGCTGGAGAGGTTGTGCAGAATAAGGAATGCTTTTACACTGTTGATGGGAATGTAGACTAGTTCAACTATTGTGGAAGACAGTATGGCAATTCCTCAAAGACCTGAAGACAGAATTAGCATTTGACCCAGCAATCATATTACTGGGCATATACCCAAAGGAATATAAATTGTTCTATTATAAAGACACAGGAATGCATATGTTCATTGCAGCACTATTTGCAATAGCAAAAACATGGAATCAACCTAAATGCCCATCAATTATAGACTGGATATAGAAAATCTGGTACATATACACCATGGAATACTATGCAGCCATAAAAAAGAATGAGAGCATGTCCTTTGCAGGAACCTGGATGGAGCTGGAGGCCATTATCCTTAGCAAACTAATGTAGGAACAAAAACCCAAATACTGTGTGTTCTCACTTATAATAAATTATGTGAACACATGGACACATAGAGAAGAACAACACACTGGAAGGTGGAGGGTGGGAAAAGGGAGAGCACCAGGAAAAATAAGTAGGCTTAATACCTGGGTGATGAAATAATCTGTACTACAAACCCCTATGACACACATTTACCTATGTAACAAACCTGCACATCCTGCACTTGAACCACTGAAAAGCTTAAAAAAAAAGAAAACTAAAAAATATTCCATTATTGTCAGAGAACATGCTTTGTTCCATTTTAACTTCTAAAAGTTTGTTGAGGTTTGTTTTATGGCCCCAAATATGGTCTATGTGCACTTGAAAACAATGTTTATTCTACTGCTGCTGGGTGGAATATGCTACGAATGTCAATTAGGTCTAATTGGTTGATGGTGTCATTTGGGTCTCTTATAACTGTTGATTTTTCTAATTATTCTGTCAATTACTGAGAAAGGAATATTGAGTACTCCAACTATTGTTGAGGTTTGTCCATTTTTCCTTTCTGTTTCATTAGGTTTGCTTCATGTGTTTCAAATCTCTGTTGTTAGCTGCGTTCACATTTAGAAACTCATAACTTCTTGGAGAATTGACCCCTTTATCATTAAGTAATATCCTCTTTTTTTCTGGTAATATTTCTTTTTCTGAAGTCTACTTTTTCTGATATTAACATAGTCATTCCAAATTTGTTTTGATTCGTGGTTGCATGGTACGTATTTTTCTATCCTTTGTTTATACAGACATTTCTACATTTAAATCATGTTTCTTGTAGACAGCATATAGTTGGGTCTTGCATTTTTATCCAACTTGTTAACCTATCATTAGTTAGTGTATTAGAACAATTTTAATTATTTATATTGTTGGATTTAAATCTACCATTTGTTTCATTTGCCTTTGTTCTTTCTTTTTGCCTTCTTTTGAATTAAGTGCTTTTTATTATACTATTTTATTTCCACTATTGGTTTATTATTTATACCATTATTTCTAATTTCCTTAGTGGTTGTCTTAAGGTTTACAATGTGAATCTTTAATTTATCATTGTTTACCTTCAAATAATATTACATGACTTCATACATTGTATAAGAACTTTATGAGTATATTTCCTGTGTCAATATCCTGTTCTTTATGGTTTTGTTTTTCTATGTTTTATTTTTACATATGTTGTAAATATATTAAACAAAACTAAATATAATATAAAAAGAAAATACTGAAAACTAAATATAACATAAAATATTGTGTATATTTTATTCTAACATGTTTTCATATGTTAAAGTAAATGTCAAATATTTTTGTTTTATATCATTAATTGTCTTTTAGAGTGATTAAAATAATAAAAAATGTCTTCTATATTTACCTTCATTTGAATATTTTCTAGAACTTTTTATTTTTTGTGTTTAGATCCAAATTTCTGTCAGGTATCACAGCCTTTTGAAGAATTTTATTTAACATTTATTATACCACATGTCACCAATAATACATTTTCTCTACATTTCTTTGTCTGAAAAGCCTTTATTTCACCTTAATTTTTGAAAGATATTCTTACTGAGTATAAATTTCTGGGTTGATTTTTTTTTCCTTTTAGTATTTTTAATATGTAACTTTATTATATTCTAGCTTGAAGTCAAATGACTTCTATCTTTATTCCTCTATATGTAATAGTGTAATAATTTTATAAATATCTTCAAGACTTTTTGTTTATATTACAATTAATTTTCAGCAGTTTGTATAGTTTTGATTTTTTTTTCTCCCTCTGCTTGAAGATTTCTGCATTTATTGGACCTATGGTTTGATGCCTTTGAATATTTTTGGAGCATTCTTGGCCACTCTCTCTTCAAATACTTCTTAGGCTCCATTCTTTTTTTTTTTCTTTTTGAATTTCAAATTACATGTACGATAGATCCATTTACATTGTCAACAGACTCTTTAGAAACTGTATTTTTTCTGTCATGTTTCCTCTTTGTGTTTCAGTTTGAGTGATCTCTACTGACCTATCTTCAAATTCACCAATTATTTCTTTGACTGTGTTGAGCCTATTGCTAAGCCTGTTAAATAAATTCTTCATCTCCGATATTCTGTGTATTTGTCTTTTACTGCTGCTGTATCAAATCACTATAAACTTAGTGGCTAAAAAACAACACAAACTTATTATGTTACAGTTATGGAGGTCAGAAGTCTAAAATGGGTCAGCAGGACTATATTTTTTTTTCTGGAGGATTCAGGGAAGATTATGTTTCCTTGTCTTTTTCAGCTTCTAGAGGCTGCCTCCCTTACTTGGCTTGTGACTCCTCTCTTAGTCTTCATAGCTAGTGGCACACTATCTTCAAATCCCATTCCTTCTTTTTGATCTCTACTTCTGTCTTCCCATCTCCTTTTCTGACCTGACCTTTCTGCCTTCCTATTTTAAGGTTCTTTGTAATTACATTGGGCCCACCTGAAAAATACAGAATAATCTCCCCATCTTAAGATCTTTAACTTAGTCACATCTGCAAAGTCCCTTCTGTCATGTAAGGTAACATATTCACAGGTTTTTCCGAACTAGGATATGGTTATCGCTGGGGGACCATTATTTTGTCTACCACATCCTAGTTTTAATTTCTAGCATTTTCATTTATTTTTTAGTTATAATATAATTAATTACCCATTTGCCCATGCCAATTCCCACCTTTTCCATTGTATCGTTTAACCTGTTAACCATACTTATTTTAAATGCTGTGATCAACAGTTCTAATAACTGGTTACTCTCTGAGCCTTGTTCTTTGGTTTGCTTTGCCTTTTGACAATGGGTTGCTTTAGTCTTGCTTTTTTGTATGTATTATTATTAATGAAATTCCAGTCATCTTGTATAAAATAAAGGATACTGAGCTGAATAACATTTATATCAGGAAATAGTCATATTGCCCCTTCTCAGGCAATAAGTATAGAGAATTGAGTCAGTCTAGCCAGGAATTGAGTTCATGTGAAGTTTGTTGTTGCTAGTTTCTTTCAGTGTTCTACCAGTTTTTAATTTCCCTAATGATGGCTTGGGCTTAGGGTAAGGCTAGAGCTGCCGGAGAGTTTTTAACATTTTTTTTCTTCCACTCTAAGCTTTCAGACTTCCCTATATACCAGTGCACCAGCGGGACCTCTTCATGCTCTTGTCCCACTACTAGTGGTAGATTCTGTTGTTTTACGTGGTTCTTGCCAGGCTGGTGGTTAGGGTCAAGGTGTCTTCTGTGATCTATTATTGTTTCAGTTTTAGGCAGAACTTGTGTGCCCAGGGTTTCTCGTAAGTCCTGTCCTTCTTCTCCATTGCCAGAAGCCAAACTCTCCCTTATATATATAGTGTGGGAGAATAACATTCCTGCACCCAGTGGTATGAGACCTCTAATAGTATTACTATAGGATTGTGTACTCTGGATTTACTTTTTGCCCCTGCCTTATGGGTCTAATGCTGTTTTCCATTTATTTTCTGTAATATTTCCTCTTAACCCTGACTCTTGGGGATTATAGAGTGTACTGTCCCCCTCTCAGATGCTTAAGACTTTGAGTAAAAAGCCAATTTGAGGCTAGGGCTGATCTTTTGTCCACATTTGCAATGCCAACAGAGTCTTTCTATGGCCACCTGATGTGCCCCTAATCTTTCCCATGGGCATTGGTCAAAGTTCACAGAAAATAACCCGTGAGTAGGTCCAAACTCATTTTTGTCTGTGAATCCAGCAGGTCCATATTGTCACATTAGTCCATATTTGAGCTTTAGCAATTTATAACAAATGTAACTGATACCTTTTAACCTATTTTTATGGTGGCCCCATGTTTTTCTTTTCCTCTCTTACAGATGAGGTCGTCTAGTGTCCCACTTCTCCTTGGGGGTGAGGTAGGGTATTTCTCCTTGGATTTCAGCCTACTTGATTTCTCTGCCAATCCACCTCTTTGAGGTGTAATGATAATAAATATTGTGATTTTCCAGTTTATCCAGCTTTTCTTTTTTATTGTTTGTGTAGGAGGGATTGACATTCTTTCCAAATTAATACATTCTAAATAGAAGCAGAACTACCTATAAAATTATTTACTAAGAAAATATTGATGTTCTTTTCCAAAAGGGAGAAATGTTTTGGTGAACCATGTAATCTCATTCTTTTCAATTAACAGTCTTCCTAAGTAATAATAAAAATGATAATACTGATGGTATTGAAGATGCTATTGATGAGTATGCCAGCTACATTTCATTAAGTGCTTACTGTGTTCCAGACGGTGAGCTAAGTGCTTTACATGCTTGATTTATTTTTAATACTTTCAGCAAACCTAGGGTATGGGTAATGTTATAATCATCCTCAGTCTACATATGGGAAAAGATGATTAAAAGTTTCCCAAGCTACTGATTAGAAGACCTAGTATTTAAGCCTGATACAGAGCCCCCTTCCAAGTTAATCCCCAGGTTATACCATTGCCTGCTTTACTTTCTTTGCATTTAAGTGCTCTTTTGCTCAAATGCCTTTTCTTTCCCTTGACCTTCGCTGGGATTTATGTCTTTTAAAACTGTGCCATTGCCCTTTTAAAATAATATATCATTTCTTATATTTATTGTCATGGCAAGTTTTACTTCTCTATTAGACTCCTGAACTTGAAACTCATGGTGGAATTCTAACAAATTTTAGTTCATTGTGGCCTCCAAAGTTTTTAGTGCAAAGCCTTAAACATAGATAAGTTTTACATATGGGTTTGCCAATCTATCACCTCCAATTAATTTATAGAAATTTTGAAAAGAAATACTCCACTTTTTGCTACTTAACTTAGGAGAATGGTAGAAGACATCTGAAAATGTCATAAATCACTCAGTCATTTCTAGACTTCTTCAGTTGTTGCTGTGGAGTTTGAAGGATCTATAGAGAACTCAAATAATTCATTCAACATCTCTCACTTCCTGATTCCACAAGATGTCCCTGCACCTAAGTATGTGATTCTTCCTGCAAAGTTTCCTATCAAAGTAAAAGCCACAAACTAGCAGGTACCCTGTTTTTAAGACAGGAACCTTAATATAGTCTTTTGTTTCCTATATTCCCACCCTCCAATCACCATATCCAATCTAGAACAAAACACTCTAGATGCCAGCTCTTACATAATTCTTGAATTACTCTCTTTATATCTCCTAGCATCACCCTAGTCAGGGCCACTTTTATATTGTCTGAATCTGTGCGATATTTTTCCAACTCATCTTCCTATTTTAAGGGAGGGATGACGAGTTTCTCACATATCAGAGCTAGAATAATCCTTAATATGTTAATCCAAACCTGTTACCCGCTTAAAACCTTTCAGCAGCTCTCCACTCCTCAGAAAAAAAGGGACAAACTTACTAAGAACTGTTCTAGTTATTATTGCTATATAACCGACTACCCCAGGTTGGAACTTTATCTGAGTACCCCATGGACTTTAGATAGTGAAGATGGCTTGTTTCTCTTCCACAATGTCTAGGGTCTTATCTGGGAAGAATTGAAGACTGGGAGTAACATGATGGCTGAGGGCCGGTATTGTCTAAAGGAGAATTCACTCATATGTCTGGTGGCTGATGTTGGCTGCTGTTGCATATCAGCCAGCAATTGTTTAAATGTCTACATGTGATCTCTCTTCCTCATCTTTTTGCATGTGCTAGTTTAAGGATTTGTCACTGCAAGGTGACTGAGTTCCAAAAGCAAATGTCATCAGAGAGTAAGACAGAAGTGCTTGACATTTGGATAATCTAATCTGAGGAATCAAAATGATCACCCCGGTTCAAGGGAAGAGGTATAGACTACACCATTTGATGGGAGAAAACTGGGAAGGTCATATTCAAAAAAACATGTGGGATGGGAGGTACTGTTGTAGTTATCTTTCGAAAATACAATTTTTGTAAGGCCCTTCATGATTTGACCCCTGCGTACATCCTTGTGACATGCCCTTCATCTGCCCTGAACCCCTCTCACCATGGTATCCCCTGAGGCTAGTATGTGCTGGCCTACAGTAGGTGCTCCAAAATACTCATTGAAAAAATAAAGTACTGTGTTTTCTTGACAACATATAGAGGTTTGTTTGGAGAATTCATGGGGCTAGGCAGAGCTCTTTGAAGAAGGCTCCAGGCTGGAACAGTGCTATATGAACTGTAATTAACAGAACTCTTCAGAGTTGTCATAAGTCTGTCGCTTTAGCATCCTAAGGTTTCTTGCAAGCTGATTCTCTTCATTCCCCACTCAAATCAACATTCTCTGCTCAAAGCAAATAAGCTAAATTGGTCACATAAAACTTGCCAAGTGAAGAGCATCTTAAAATTGCTGCCAGTAACTCCACTAGGGATTGAAAAAAGAGATTATATGGTTTTTCCTCCCTCAAATTGGCTAACAGAGCTATGTGAGCTTCTCAGTCTTCCTATAAACATTGCTGTGGTGACTGACAGGTAATTAGCTGTTTATCATACACATTCACAGGCATACTCACACAGTTCCAACCTGGAGTCCTCTTGCTGCAACAGCATGTTAGAATAAGAAAAGGAAATTAATCTGTAGACTGTTTTTAAAATTACATTTTTTGGAAAGTCTTCCCATCGTGAATCTTCCAGGTAAACAAAATATTTATGGTATAGACAAACATTACTAAAAATGAGAATATTTTCAACTTTCCCCTAAACATTCTTTATTTCACTCCTCCCTTAAAAATAGCATTTGTGTTTAAAGTTTTATCATATAGTTTGAGCTGAGGAGCTGAGAGAAGAGATTACAAAGCAAAGGGATAGAGACAATAATAGCAGCACTAAAGGTGAACTCAACTGTTAAGAAAATACACAAGAAAACCAAGTTTTCTTTCAGCTAGAAGTCATAATGACTATTATTTTCTTTCTATTCCTGACATCCTCCACAGTGCTAATCTGAAAAAGAAATAGACAAGGCGGTTATTAAAAAAGCACAAATTGCTTATTTTAGTCTGATTCGAAATTATTTTATGAGAAGAACACTAAAGCCTATTGTGTATTTTATTCACTTAATTTCTGAACATATTTGTATATAGTAACCTTCCACCTATGTGTAATTATATCCTATTTATGCATAATCAAAAGAGGTAGTTGGAAGAAAAACAAGCTCATAAGATCTGCTGTAGAGATTAAGAAGAGCCTAATTAATATTTTTAAGGAGCAATAAATTCGTTCTCAATGCACACTTATAATTATGTCATTTAAGTTTCTTCATACACACCTTTATTTTGCAACATAAAGAAAAAAAAACCTTTGAAATAAATTACCAGAGTATTTATTTGGTCTTGCTTAAAGGAACATGGCAGCAGATGCTTCAATGTATGGAGACATAACCTAAGTTAGCCTAATATTTATTAAATGAGAACACATATCATAGATTAAGTGAGTTTAAAGAGCATATTTCAGAAATTGTGCTAATGTGTTTCTCAGCAAGGAGCCTCTGCTCCTTGATCACTTCTCTCCAGGAAGCCAAGTCTCATGTTATACATTACCGGAGAGGGAAGTTGAAGAAGACAAGTCATCAAGACGGAGACAGGAAACTTATTTTGTAAACTCTTGAAATCTGAATGTGTAATATATCTCTCAATAAACTATAATATCCTGAGTTATCACAGTTTATTCAGAGGCATATTTAACAGAAAAAAGGCAGGAGGTATATTTTCTGCCTCCTGAGTGTGACATTTAGGGATTATCTTTCTGGTTAAAGCAAGAAACTAGGGGTGCCACCTCCCTTTCCACATTCCAGATTCCCCAGTCTCTTCTAGATTCCCCAGTCTCAGCCCTCACCTCCAATGAGAAGAGACTGTTCATTTGAGCTTTCTAGACTAAGACACCTAAAAGAGGGGCAATAATAGGCACCTGCAGCAAATCTGCTGGCTTATAGTTTGGAGAAAGAGGACATATACTCCTGTTCATCTGAGGTTAAGTTTTGATTTGATCTGACCATCACACCACTCTCATTGGGAAGAGGAGATGCAACACAACTGAGTTTTGCTTCCCTCAGCCCCTGCTCTTGGCTAAACTGGGTCCCCCACCAAATTCACATGTTGAAGCCTTACCACTAAATATTACTGTATTTGCAGATAGGGCCTATAAAGAGGAAATTAAATTAAATGAAGCCATGAGGGTGGGGGCCTCATGATGCTATAGTGGCCTTATTAGAAGAGACAGCCTGTGCATGTTCTCTCTCTCTCTCTGTCTCTCCACTGTGTGGATGGGAACATCCGCAAGCCAGGATGTGGGCCCTTATCAGAAATCAAATCAGCTGGCACACTGAACTTCCTAGCCACCAGAATTGTGAGAAATACATTTCTGTTTTTCATAAGCTGCCAAGTCTGTGGTATTTTGTGATGGCAGCCCCAGCCAAGACAGCCCCAGAGTCTCTGATGGAGCCCAAACTGACAATGACGTTGTCCATACATAAGGGATCTTTCTGGATCTGAAAGCTCCAGTCTTGCCATATCCCTGCCCTTTTATACTTGGGTTCCATCAATTAGTACTTCTAATTTAAGGAATGTTTACAAACATACAGCACTCCTAGTTCTCTAGCATCAACACAATCATGTACTTCACTGTGCTGAGCCTGGGGCATACGAGAGAGGAAGGCATAGTCAGTGCCCAGAGTCCCTAAAGAATATCTCTGCCTCTAGCTTTCTCACTTCTGGGAAAACTCATGTTATTGTACTATCATTACTTCTGGGAAACTTCACCGCTTTCCAATAGCTAAAACCAGGATCATTTCTTATTCTTATAATTCTCACAACACTGTGAGGTGCTATTCACCTCATCACTCCAGAGGAGCCACCTGAGAAGTTCAGTTGTTCGCCCAAGATCATAGGTCCCAATTCTAGATTTGAGCCCAGGGCTGGCTGATCTCAAAGCCCAAGTTGATGATTGTAATGCAATAAATTCATCCAAATATCCAATGTGGATATATTGCAGAATGCAGAACTAGCCTGATGAAGGAATCCAGACTCATGAATAAGCTAATTCCTCTTAGACAATGTACTGGAATCTTAACGAACATCATTTTTCTGTAGAAATCTTCTCAAATTGGGGAGTAAATTTTTGGCCTTTTTAAGTAGATGTGTAAGAAATTTGATCTACAAGAAAAAATAATAAAAGGCTCATGGTCAGCTTTGTGGTTTATCCAAAGCATGCAAAGGATCCAGAAGACAAAATTCTGCTTTCCAAAGCTAGTGCATTAAGATGAAAAATACTGGGTATGGGTTAGAGTATTACGATTATGAGTGTGCTTGTCTTTTTTCTCATGATTCCTGTAATGTTATTAAACTGCTTTCACAGGTGAAAAAAATTACAAATTTTGTTAAAAACTTACTCTTAAGCTGTACATGCTTAACCGATTAATAGCTCATTACATCCTTACAACAATCTTGTGAGTTAACTACTATCATTAAATTTGTTTTACAGATGAGAAAACTGAGGCTCTGAGAGGTTTAATACTAGTAAGTGGCAGAGCCAAGATTTAAAAGCAGGCATTCTTTCCCCAGAGCCCATACACTGCACTCCTACAATGTACTGCTTTTTTGAATGTATAAATCTAGTGAAAGAGAGAAATTCAGAGTATGAGAGACTGGAGGTCTAAGAGAGAGAAGAACAAAAAGGAGATGGGATTAGGAATCCAGGGTGTGGATAAAGTTGCTTGGATACCTGAGAAGAAGTTGCTTCTGGTGCATAAGAGGTGTCAGAAAGAGCTTTGCTCTGTGGCAGTCCCCTTTCTAAAGTTAATATGTTATTAACACCCAGTCTTAAAATAAGTGAGTAGCTTTAGATCCTTGTCTTCTCATCCACAATAATCATATTTCACGCTTTATTTCACTGAGAGTTTCTCATCACAAATTACAAGGTAAATGCCTTTAATGGGTATGCTTTAGCCTCCTAATTAGCAACCTTACATGGCAAATTATTTTTTTAGGTAATCCCATCCAGAAAGGTCAATACCTGTAGTACTAAAGTGGTTTGCAAATAATGGACACAAAATGTGCTATCTAGAAGCCAGGGCACTAAAAAAACTCAGGTCAAGCAAAACAACTGTCTGATATTTTATACTAACCCATCATGCCTCAAAAATAAATATGTAAGTGATATCAGTTCTACTCAACTTGCAACGACAGTAATACAAATAAATCCGGGAGCGTAAATATCCTCCTACTGTGCATTCTAATGGTTTCACCCTTTAGAATGAACGCATTTTACCTCATCTGAGGAGAACCTTTTGGCAATTAGCAAAATCACCATTTGGAAGGGCTACAAAGGAAAAGAAATCAAGTTCCTTGCCTCCATCCATCCAACTATCCTTTCATCTCTCCTCCCTTGATATCCACCAATCTAATAGGTATTTGTTGAGCACCTAGCACTGAGTGGTATAGGTCAATCACAAACTGCCAGTTTGCTGCTATATACCTTGTTGAGTGCTTTCTCTTTATCATTTGCTCCTTGTTCATTTCTTTTCTAAGTATGTTCTGTGAACCACCTGGCTCAGAATATCTTGGGTGTGTTCTTAAAAACACATACTCCTGGTACTCATCATGGATCTACTTGGTCAGAATTGGTGGCAGGAATATTCATTTTTTAAAAATTCCAAAAATAAATTCCATCTAGTATAGATTAAGAAAACTAACCCAGACCAACTCTGTTCCATAAGAATGATTCTTAAAAAAAGTTTCAGAATCGCCACAATGTCTTCCACAATGGTTGAACTAGTTTACAGTCCCACCAACAGTGTAAAAGTGTTCCCATTTCTCCACATCCTCTCCAGCATCTGTTGTTTCTTGACTTTTTAATGATCACCATTCTAACTGGTGTGAGATGGTATCTCATTGTGGTTTTGATTTGTATTTGTCTGATGATCTAAAGGTAAGGAAGTGGAAAAGGGTGCAGAAGACCCTTCTAATGTCCTTTTAAAGGACATTAGCGGGAGCTGCATCTCCTTTGGCTGAACCCCAGAGGTAAGAGCCTAGATTGAGTGAGGTAAAATTAAAGATCTCTGAAAATTCTCAGACAACCTTGCTTGTTCATTCATTCATATCTGATGACCTTCTTTTATGACCTCTGACTACTTATATTCTCTTCAGAAGCCTACATACCTAACTCTGAATTTGGAATCAGAATCCCACATTATTTCTATGACCACAGGCAAGGTACTTAACCTCCCTGATCTTTAGATCCCCTATATGAAAAATAGGATGAATCATACCATGTATGATAACTCTCAGACTGTTTAAAAGCAAATGCTGGTGGCTACATTCCTTTTAGTTTTGCAATCCTGCTCACCACTAAATTAGGCCGTGATGGCTCTCAGCTACCTGCAGCTCTCTAGTCTTGTTGGACCTGCTTATTCTTTATTCCTTTTCTTCTTCTAGCCATCTATCTCAAAGGTCTAAACCTGTCCTTTACACTTACAATTCTGTTGGATATGAAGAATTATTTCTCTGTATAGCTGCATGCTAAGATCTAACAATTGTAGCTATCCCCAACAAGTTGAATTTTGAATAATTCAGAATAGGATTTTCTCTAGCAACCAGTGGAGAATTTCATAGTAGACAGCATTGAAAAAGGACAAATGGGAGACCACACTACATATAAATCATAAATTTTAGAAATGCTTCTGATGCAAATAATATCACTAAAACACCATTTATGGACATTCAATACTTAATTCATTCACTTATACGTGCATTTACTTAATTATTGATTGATTTTCTATGTCAGACAGTATGCTAGGGGCTAGGGTTTCAGCAGTAAGTAAAATACCTTGGATACCTTCTCTCACAGATCTTATAGTCTAGGGAGGGAATAGAAACACATGATTTTATGCATGTGGACAGAAAGACGAAAGATGTTCTTTTGTCTTAGTGATGTTCCAGCAAGTCAGTTTTACCTGTAGGTGGAAATTAAACTTGTGTCCGTAGGTAGATCTATGAGGAATGGACAAAATATTTAGCAGGGGAAAAAACTGGAAAGAGAAGTTTATATTTTAGTGGGTATAAATACAATACATTTTAGGACTTTTTGTCTCTGTTCTTTAGATTTACCATGATTATCTTTTATGGAGTCAACACAGCATTGTTCATGGTCATGTTCAAAATTCTCCTCATTCAGTTTTGATACGTCAATTAAAGTGGTGGGTGACCCCTCTGAGGTAGAGCTCTTTGGTGTGCTTAGGGAGGGGTTGTTGGTGTGTGAGTGAATGAGGCAGAGAGGATGGTCTTTAAACTAGGGTTGAACTTTTCTGAAACTAAAGTGGCAAATATCTCAGCATGAAGGTTGGAGGAAGTAGATGAGAGGAAACAACACCTATGAAAGGGCCATAGTCTAGTTCTTGATAGGGGCTGGTCCCCAAAACCATTGGGGTACACAAAATTCACAAATATTATCTCCAACATCAGCAGGTTGTCATGTGTAGAATAGAAAAGTGCCTTACCAAAGGACATGATCAAATACTTCTCAGAAGAAGACATACATGAGGCCAAGAAACATGAGAAAATGCTCAGTATCACTAATCATCAGAGAAATGCACATCCAAATTACCATAAGATACTATCTCACACCAGTCAGAATGGCTACTAAGAAGAAGTCAAAAATAACATGTCAGCAAGGTGATGGAGAAAAGGAAATGCTTATACACTGCTGGTGGGAATGTAAATTAGTTCAGCCACCAGGGAAAGCAATTGAGATACATTCCAAAGAAATCAAAATGAACTACCATTCAACCCAACAGTCTCGTTCCTGGGTATATACCCAAAGAAATATAAGTCATCCTACTATAAAGACAAATGCACAAGTATGTTCATTATAGCACTGTTCACAATAGCAAAGACTTGGAGTCAACCTGGATGACCATCAATGGTAGATTGAATAGAGAGAATGTGGCACATGTACATGATGGAATACTATGCAGCCATAAAAAATAATGAGATAATGTTATTTGCAGAAACATGGGTCCAGCTAGAGGCCATTATCCTAAACAAGTTAATGAGAAGCAGAAAAAAATACCACATGTTCTCACTTACAAGTGGGAGCTAAATATTGAGTACACATGGACACAAAAAGGGGGACAATGGACACTGGGGTGTACATGAGAGTGGAGGATGGGAAGAGAATGAGGAAAGGAAAACTGCCTATTGGGTACTATGCTCACTACCTGGGTGGCAAAACCATTTGTACACCAAACCTCAATGGCATGCAATTTACCCATGTAACAAACCTGCACGTGTACCCCCTGGACCTAAAATAAAAGTTGGAAGAAAAAAATTAATTTGAATTTTACAAAAGAAAGGTAAGCTAAAGTTAAAGTGAAAACAAAGCAGTGAACTCATCTTATATAATTATTAAAATGTAATTTCTCCAAAATAAAAAAGTGCCTTATCCAAGGCCATGAAGTAAGTTGGCAAGAAAGCCCAAGGCGTTCCAGTTTTCTTTCTAATGTTCTTTTTACCACATCTCACTGCCTTCATAGACTGAAGCTTGATACTGCTATCTAAGAGGCCACTCATCCTCTGGATCTCTCTCTGGAAACTGCTGACAGAAAACTCATTTTCCACTGACTATGTAACACAAGTTAAGACTTATAACAGATGCCCCAGTGACGGTGGTAAACTTTTCCCTCCCATGGTGAAGATGAACTGCTTAGAGCAAGATGCTCTGAATGTGGGGCTGCAGCTCATATCAAGAAAGGCTCTACGCCAAAGGCTTTGTGCCATGGAACTGACACCTATTATCCTCATCATTGTTATAAATGTCAAAGTCATCAGCATCATTCAGACAAATCACATTAATTTGTGCCAGGCACTTCAACATGGTAAAGAACTCAAATAGTATAATCAGATATACACATATGCATACTTAACTTAATATGCATGAATTCAGCTCTGCACAGTTGCCCCCTAACCCACAAAAATGTGTGTAGGGATTAAGGTAGAGACAGAAGAGGAAAGAACACGGAAAGAAAGGAAAAATGGTTAAATAATATTGGCAATTTTACCCAGTCATCCCCAAATGTCTTTGCCATTTGGCAGAAGCAATGGCTAATTCCAGCCATAAGATTCTCTTCTTCAGGTAAAACATTTGGCAAATTGTACATTATGTGTTATAACAGATATATACTAACATTGAGCACTCACTTCATGCCAAATATTCTGCAAAAAGCTCTCTGCATATTGTCCTGTTTAATCTTCCCAGCGGCCTAACAAGCCAATGGCAGCTTGCATATAGCACAGGTTCTAGAATCATGAAACTGAAAAATTTTTATCTGGTAACACCAATTTTCATTTATGCTTGTGTTTATGGTTTTCAAAGTACATCCACATTCATAATCTTATGGAACTCAGTAATTTCACAGATGAGGAAATAGTAGGAACAGTGGTTGTCTTTCTGAAGAGCAAGCTTTCCTTTGGTGAGTGACTCTTTTCCCCTTCTATGTGGTCTTGGAGGGGATGTCAGTCATCATGCTCACAAGCTGCTACTTTGCCCATTACCCTCCCAACACTCAGTTACCAGCCTAACTTCTCAGATGATCACCTTCACCTGGTTCCTTAATTTTTATAAATAGAACACAGAGAGATGGAGAGACCCTTCCTCCTTTGGGTAGCAAGTTATAAGGCAAAATGCTTGAGCCTACCAATGGCTGTATTTACTACCTCGTTGAATCGATATGAGAAGAATGTCTACATAAAATGGGTCAGAGTTTAGATTACCTCAAAAGAAGGAGGTCTTATAGATGGCGAAGAGACAGACATTGTTATAATTGATAAGACTTTTGATCCAGCCGTGTCTGAAACCTTCCTTTCCTCTAACTTTGATTATGTAAACCAATCAATCTCTTTTTCCCATCCCCCTTCTTAAACTAGTTTGACCTGAGTTTCTATAACTTCCAACCAAAGCAGTCATAATAAATACACCTACAGAACAGGGACAAGAACCAGAATCCTGGTCTTTTCTGGTGTGTAGTGCTCTTTCTCCTAAATCGTATGTTTCGGGCAATCTGGTGCTTAAGAAATCATCCAGGGAAGGCTACTCAGAAAAGGTGGCAGAACTGGAACTATTTTGCTGCTAAAGAAAAGAGGAAGAATAACAGTGTGGAACTGCTTGTTCAGTAGGAAAGAGCAAAATGAAAGAGAACTAGTAAGTGAGTACAATGAAGACAAGTAACTTCTTTCTTAATTTTGTAGTTATTCCTAAAAATTATACTCAGTTGGCACCCACTGCTCACTCCAAGGCAACGATTCTTGTCAAGGAATTCACAGCTTCATTACTTAGGCATGGTAACCAAAATGGGGATGGTTTTACCTTTCTTTCCATCTTTACCACTATTTTGCACAATCCAGGACTTTTGACCTGCTTAGAATATGTTAATTCACAGAATATAGTCATTTCCCTTATCAGACCCTCCAGGCAGTTTGGCAAGAAGTATTTTCAGCTACAGACCTTACAATCAGCCACTCAGACCTGCCGGCTCTTGTGCGCTGACAGATAGAGCTAATTAGCACTCAGCAGCTTTTATGCATTATCTCTGACTCCAGAACATCCCTATAAATGAGGGGAAGGTTTGTCTCCACCCCAAGGGACAAGAAGAAAACCTCGGAGATTTGGAGGTTATACAACTTTCTAAAAGTTCCTCCTTCTATCTCAATTCTACTTATTCTTTAATGGTCAGCTCTTGTCCTGTGTTTTCTGAGCAGCCTTAGGAGAGTACATCAACTTTTTTTGATGTTTTGTCATATAGGCTTGTATGTAATTTTTCTAACATACCATCACTATATACAGTGCAACAACTGCTGGCATTGTTCTTATCCATCCATCATCCATTCCTCCATCAATCCATCCAGCACTTATTGAATGTCTACTATGTGTCAAGTGGGGATTCTTAGAACCATGTAGAAAAGAGCTTAGTTCCACACTAGTTGGGAGAGATAGATGATAGATAAGAAAACAAATTAGCAAGATATTTACTGATCATGATGAGAGTTATGGAGTTAATAAAATCAAATAATGGTATGCAGCATGAGGAAAGGATTGCGATAAGACCTCTCTGAAGAGGTGATGTTGAGCTCAGATAAGAAAGTGTCAGCCAAGCAAAGATGAAGAGATGGACATTTTTTCAGAAAGTCCTGAGGAAACAATAAATGCAAAGGGCTTAGTGTGGAGATGAGGTCTCTGCATTTAAAAAACAGAAGGAAGGTCAGCATGGCTGGACCATGATGAGTGAGAAAGAAGAAAACTTGAGAAGAGGTAGAAGATTCACCTCCTCTTTGAAGTTTCATCTAACTGCAGTGGAAGATCATCAGAGGGCTTTTACACCATAAGGTGACATAAATGGATTTAAGTTTTCAAAAGATCCTCTGGTTATTAAGTGGAGAATGGACTATGGGGCAGGAGACAAGCAGAAACTTTACTACCATCCTCCAGCTTACTATAGACCTGATACTGTGCTGCTTAGGCCATTTCTCCTGCATCAAAGAGGCATTGAGTATACTTGTATTTCATAAATGAAGAACCAGTTGAGAATTTGCCCAATATTTCATAAATATTAAGCTAAGTCAAGATTCAAATCTATATTCAAACCACTCCAAAGCTTTCGTCCTTAAATACTTGATTTATTGCATTGAGCTATGCCATAGATGCTTTATCTTTACAGATAAGAAAACTAACATCCTGTGATATATTAATTTTGTAGAAATGTCCATTTTTGTGCATTATAAAGGTGGTGTGTAGCAGGAAGACTGATGAGTGGTTCTTCAGTGGAAAATATGCAGTAACTACTATAAAAGATCTCTCTAGAGGATGAGCATAAGAAACATATGATTCTCCAGGGAACTGTGATTCAAGAGCAGTTTTTTCCTGATATATAGAATCAAGGATAAGAAGAAAACACTGCATTTTTCAAATATTACTTCTTTTTAAAGGGAATTTATATGCTATGGGAATATTTGCAAATTGGGGATTTCAGAACGTTTGCTGACATATTTTTCAGAATGTCAAGGGTCTATAATATATTTATAAGTGAAGGCTTGGGAATATCATCACCAGGCCCTGTTGGGGAGCCTTCCAGACTTTGTTCTGTCAATACCATGTTACAATTTACACATGAAAAAACCAATTTGATACAGAAGTCAATAGCTATGAACTCCATGATGAAATTTAAAAAATTAAGCCATGCGAAGTTTTGTAGTTGCCTTCAAATCCGGTCTTGGAGATGCTGGAGGTGTCAAACGTGTCATTTGGGAGATTTTCTTTCTTCTTTCTTTCTTTCCTCTTTCTTCTTTCTTTTTTTCTCTTTCCTTTTTTTTCTTTTTTTTTTTTTCTGAGACTGAGTCTTGCTCTCTCATCCAGGCTGAAGTACAATGGCATGATCTTGGCTCACTGCAACCACTGCCACCCGGGTTCAAGCGATTCTCCTGCCTCAGCATCCTGAGTAGTTGGGACTACAGGCATGCACCACCACACCTGGCTAATTTTTTTTTTTTTTTTTTTTTTTTTTTTGTATTTTTAGTACAGACGGGGTTTCACCATATTGGTCAGGCTGGTCTCGAACTCCTGACCTCGTGATCTGCCCGCCTCGGCCTCCCAAAGTGCTGGGATTACAGGCATGAGCCACCGCACCCAGGTGAGATTTTCTTTTTAAGGAAAGAATGGCAAATTGGGGTAAGCCCCTCTCCTAAACTGTAGCATTCATTGGGTAGAAAAGAATCATTTTCCTGGCTTTCCATGGGGACTAGCAGAATTCCAGTCTGTAGCCACTCACTGAAGTTGGAGATGATTGGGGGAAATTGACAAAATTCACATAGCCTCTAGCACCCACAGTTAAGTCTTCCCTAAATTGGAGAGAGTACCACCCCATTGTGTACAATACTTTGTACTGAACAAACCTCTTCTCCCCTTAGAGCATACCTGCACTAGGTATTTTCCTCTTTGGAGGCCAACAACTAATCTAATTATTTGTTCACATATCTCAGAGTATATGTAATTACCTCAGATAAAGTGATGACATTTTACTTGTGATTTTATACAGACAAGACCCATCCTAAAGACCCAGATGCTAGGGTAGCTCTGCGGGAAAGAAATATCTAGATAATCAGGCCTTATGGGCTCCCTAACTACCCCATTTACTCAAGGATTCCAGTGATTTGTTAAGGTTCAGTCCACAGAGATGCCTTAAACACAAGACAGTGGTAGACTATAGTGTCTAAAGGGTGAGCAAGCCCAGAAAGTTCTAGTTTTAGCAAATAGCCCCACTTTGCTCCCTATATTTTATTTATCCAATAAATTTTTATTGAGAATCTACTATGTTACAGACACTGTTCTAGGTGCCTGGGATATATCAATGAACCAAACAAATAGAAATCCCTGCCTCATACTCCCAATAACCAAGATTTTGGCTATTTTTTACAGATGAATGGATAAACAAAATGTATATAAACATACAAAGAAATAATGTGCAACCTTAAAACAGAAGAAATCCTATCTCATGCTGCATCATCAATGAACCTTAGAGGATCTTATGCTAAGTGGAATAAATCAGTCACAAAAGAACAAATACTATGTAATTCCACTTATATGAGATGTCCAAAGTAGTCCAATCCATAGAAATAGAAAGAAATATAAGGTAGAATGGTAGTTACCAAGGATTGGGGATGGCAGGAGAAAGAATTGCTGTTTGGTGGGTGTAGACTTTCAAACTTTGTAGTTCCTACAGAAAGAGTGTTTGGAACCTGGTGAATCAAAACACAGGTTCCATTCTGTGATATAAAACAGCACATCACAAAGCGTTTTTACAGATACCTTGTTTCTAATTTTTTTTTTTTTTTTTTTTCGACAGAGTTTTACTCTGTTGCCCAGGGTGGAGTGCAGTGGCATGATCTTGGCTCACTGCAACCTCCGCCTCACAGGTTGAAGTGATTCTTCTGCCTCAGCCTCCCGAGTAGCTGGGACTCCAGGTGTGCACCACCACGCCTGGCTAATTTTTTTTTTTTTTTTGTATTTTTAGTAGAGGTGGGGTTTCACCATATTGGCCAGGCTGGTCTTGATCTCCTGACCCTGTGATCTACCCACCTTCACCTCCCAAATGCTGGGATTACAGGTGTGAGCCCCCACACCCAGTCCCTTGTTTCTAATTTTTATCGCTGAATATGCATGTGTTCCTTCTTACAAGATGAAAAAATTCTGGAGATCTTTTTCACAATAATGTAAACATATGTACTGAACTGTATACTTATGGATAAGATGGCAATTTTTTTTTTTTTTTGAGACAGAATCTCGCTATGTCACCCAGGCTGGAGTGCAGTGGCATGATCTCGGCTCACTGCAACCCCCGCCTCCCGGGTTCAAGCAATTCTCCTGCCTCAGCCTCCTAAGTAGCTGGGATTTTTGTATTTTTAGTAGAGACAAGGTTTCGCCACGCTTGCCAGGCTGGTCTTGAACTCCTGACCTCAGGTGATCTGTCTGCCTTGGCCTCTCAAAGTGCTGGGATTACAGGTGTGAGCCACTGCACCTGGCCAAGATGGCAAATTTTATGATGTCCATTTCTTTGCCACAATAAAAAACATCCTTGCATTATGGAATTTATATTTATTCTAGTGAGAGTCAGGATGCAGTGGGGCTAATTCCCAGTAGATAATAAACATAATAATAAACTATCATAAAGTGTGTCAGAAGATGTTAAGTTCTAGGGAAAAAGTAAAAGGTAGAATAGGAAAGGGAGTATTCAAAGGGCCAATTGCAGACGGGAGTTCAGTATTCAATTAATAGCATTTAAGACCTCATTAAAAGCGATATTTGAGAAGCACTTGAAACAAGTGAGTCAGCTAAACAAGTAACTAGGAGGAAGACACACATTTTAGGCAAAGGGAACATGCAGAGTAGAGCACGTGTCGGGAATATACCTGTTCTGTTAGAATAGCAAGAAAGCCAGAATACCTGGGGGCCATTCAAGAATGTCTTTGTAGGGAAGTTGGTTAGAGTTTTCCTCCAAGGCTCATCATTTTTATGTCATGGTTGCATGCTTTCCTGTTCGTGAAGTTCCCAGTATTGTGCTAGGTGTTAAAGTGGTAAGACAGACAGGTATGTCCTTGTTGCCTGTAGGTGAGAGAAGCAATTATATCAGTAGCAATAACTGTGGTCATGTTTGACATGAATGTAGAAAAGAACTAACTTTATCTTGGAGGTAAGAGAATGCTGAATGCTTCTCTGAGGATGGAATGGATGTTCCAATAAAAATGTCAGAGAGTAGCAGTTAGCCAATAAATGAGCAAGCAGAACAGTGTTCTGGGTAATGGAGTAGCATCTCTAAAGGCCTGGAGGTAACAGATCTCCGTAATTTTATCATGTTGCAAAACTGAAACTCTATATCCATTTCACACTTTTCTCCATTTTCCTCTCCCCTTTCTCCTGGCAACCCCCATTCTACTTTCCGCTTTGATGAGTTTGACTAGGTTAGATACCCAATATGAGGGGAATCGTCTAGTATTTACCCTTTCATGATTGGCTTATGTCACTTAGCATGATGTCCTCAAGTTTCATCCATGTTGCATGTGACAAGATTTCCTTTTTTAAGGACTGAACATTGTCTGAATATACCACATCACTCCCTGTATTCATAAAAAGTATACTTTTACTTCTGCAAGAGCACTATTTCTGCTATTGGTGAAGTTTGGAGGAAGATGAAATAGTCCACAGGAGGACTGTTATATTCAAACTCCACTAGAGGGATTGGCTCTAGAATCCTGTGCACTTAAGAGATCAGTTAACCAGTTCCCCACGCCAGTGTATCACATGCTTCTGGCATGATATTTGATGCCTGGGGACTATGGTATTTATGGTGAATCTGTTACGATGCATGAAAATCCACTCGTGTCTCACAGTGTTGTGTCCAGAATTGGTGGGTTCTTGGTCTCACTGACTTGAAGAATAAAGCCGCGCACCCTCGTGGTGAGTGTCACAGTTCCTAAAGGCGGCGTGTCCGGAGTTTGTTCCTTCTGATGTTTGGATGTGTTCCGAGTTTCTTCCTTCTGGTGGGTTGGTGGTCTCGCTGGCTCAGGAGTGAAGCTGCAAACCTTCATGGTGAATGTTACAGCTCTTAAGGTGGCGCGTCTCCAGTTGTTCATTCCTCCCGGTGGGTTTGTGGTCTCGCTGGCTTCAGGAGTGAAGCTGCAAACCTTCGCCGTGAGTGTCACAGCTCATAAAGGCAGTGTGGACCCAAAGAGTGAGCAGCAGCAAGATTTATTGCAAAGAGCCAAAGAACAAAGCATCCACTGTGGAAGGGCACCCCAGAGGGTTGCCACTATTGGCTCAGGCAGCCTGCTTTGATTCTCTTATCTGGCCCCACCCACATCTTGCTGATTGGTCCATTTTACAGAGAGCCGATTGGTCCATTTTACAGAGAGCTGATTGGTCTGCTTTGACAGGGTGCTGATTGGTGTGTTTATAATCCCTGAGCTAGACACAAAAGTTCTCCACTTCCCCTCTAGATTAGCTAGATACAGAGTGTGGACAGAAAGGTTCTCCAAGTCCCCACCAGAGTAGCTAGATACAGAGTGTCAATTGGTGCATTCACAAACCCTGAGCTAGACCCAGGGTGCTGATTGGTGTGTTTACAAACCTTGAGCTAGATACAGAGTGCTGATTGGTGTATTTACAATACCTTAGCTGGACATAAAGGTTCTCCAAGTCCCCACCAGATTCAGGAGCTCAGCTATCTTCACCCAGTAGATCCCACACAGGGGTCGCAGGTGGAGCTGCCTGCCAGTCTGGCATCATGCGCCTGCACTCCTCAGCCCTTGGGTGGTTGATGGGACTGGGCGCTGTGCAGCAGGGGGCAGCATTTGTCAGGGAGGCTCCCATCGTGCAGGAGCCCACGGCTGGCGGGGGGAGGCTCAGGCATGGCAGGCCCAAGCCCTGCCCTGCTGGGAGGCAGCTAAGGCCCAGTGAAAAGTTGAGCACAGCAGCTGCTGGCCCAGGTGCTAAGCCCTTCACTGCCCGGGACCGGCAGGGCCAGCTGGCGACTCTGAGTGCGGGCCGCCGAGCCCGTGCCCACCCGGAACTTGCACTGGCCCGCAAGCCCCGCGCTTAGCCCCGGTTCCCGCCTGTGCCTCTTCCTCCACACCTCCCTGCAAGCTGAGGGCGCTGGCTCTGGCCTTGGCCAGCCCAGAAAGGGGCTCCCACAGTGCAGCGTCGGGCTGAAGGACTCAAGCGCGGCCAGAGTGGGCGCCAAGGCCGAGGAGGCGCGGAGAGTGAGCGAGGGCTGCCAGCACGCTGTCACCTCTCAGTGTGAGATTAGATCATTCTCATTAGCTAAGATATACAGCATTCTAAAGGCTTGAAGCAGGTAGGAAGACCACTATACTTCCCGGAATGGCCAAAGTGTTTTCTTTCATTTTTTTTTTTTTCCAGTAGGAAACCCTTTAAATCAAGTACCAGACACAGAAGTGAGAGCTTTTAATAGTGTGTTCTTTTCCTTTTCATTAATCCATATAGCCCCATTCTGGAACAGTTGTGAATAAACAGGAATTTAATGGGGTCAGGAAAAAAAAATCAAGATGGAGCTGTTACAGACTAAAATACTGGAGGAAAAGGAGAACAAAAAGGAAAAAAGGGAGAGAGAGAATCCTGGGAGGCCAGAAAAGCAGACAGTGGGATGCAGATGGAGGTACACAAGGAAGAATATTTACCATGGCACAGAGCATTACAAAAACCACAAAAACAAGTTGAAGAGGAGGTAGGAGAGGGAGAGAGGGCAGAGAAAGGGGCAGCGACCAGAGGCAGGAATTGGCCCAGTGTAATCATGCCAGCTCCCAGGGAGATTGCTGAGGGGTTCCAACCTGCAGATCCATCTGTCTCCTCGAATTCTAGGGCAAACCTCATTAGTGTGAGGAGGCACCCCACGGCTCAATCCCTACCTCTCGGACCTCAGATCCCCATCTGGCAAGCTAACAAAGCAAGTGTGTTTGCTCTGCCATAAGAGTTAGATTTTCTTATTCATTCTTTTTCTGATAAGTAAAATGTACCTTTCCCACTATTTATTGGCTTTTATTTGGTGTGCCATGTTATGTTATTCTAGCCTTAAGAGTCACATTAATTCATGTTGGGTTGATTGCTGCAGAAGGTGAATAACTTAACTCTTTGTGTAATTAAACTCTGAAAAGTAAATCCTCATTCTCAGTCATATGACCTGGCAGGAGGCCAAGGACATGTACCAGGCTTCCTAGTAGTGGTTCCTTGGATGCAGGCCTGAGGCTACAGGGCTGGGGTTACTCTGAAGGCTATTGGGTCATGTGCTTGATGAGATATTCTGTTTCTTCGTGGAAGAAAACAGAAGTTTAGGGGACCACTGAAAATCTAGATATTTACATTTCGGAGGGGGGAAATGCTATTGTATAGAGAAACCCCCCCAAAATCTGAAAAATATAACTAAAATTTATTCAAGATGCATCCATGCCACATAACCAGAGCTTACTTGATGGTGGTTAAAGTTCGCATACGCAAGTTTGTTTCTTTTTTTTTTTTTTCCCCCCAGACAGGGTCTTACACTGTCATGCAGGCTGGAGTGCAGCAGCATGATCACAGGTCACTGCAACTTCGACCTCTGGAGCTCAAGTGATTCTCCCTCCTCAGCCTCCTGCGTAGCTGGGATTATGGGTGGATGCCACCATGCCCAGTTAATTTTATTTTTATTTTTTGTAGAGATGGGGTCCTAATGTGTTGCCCAAGCTGGTCTTGAACCCCTGGGCTCAAGAAATCCTCCCACCTTGGCCTCCCAAACTTTTGGAATTAAAGGCATGAGCCACTGCACCCAGCCCAAATTCATTCTTATCTGGGATTTGAGGGCTTGTCACTCTCTTTATATCTACTTAATACGCTGATTTATTCAACAAATATGTGTCAAGTTCTTACCCAATGCAGGCATTGTGATAGGTACTGGGACTATAGTCACGTAAAATATTTTTTTCTTGCCCTCATGAAGCTTACAATGTTTTATAATAATTGAGGTTGGATTAGGAGAGGGGAAATTTTCAAGCAAACTTTCAGAAGACATAGATTACACTCCTCTTCTTTGGGATAGTTGAAGACACTGCTTCCGATTCCTCTCTGTCCTCCAGTCCATTGAGAATGGAGCAAGAAGGTGGGATTGGAACCGCATGCCCTGCCTTGTACTCCTGGCTCCTCTGCATATTGCTTGTGCGACCTTGGGCATATCATGTAACCTTTCTTTCTGAGTTTCATTTCTGGTATCTATAAAATCCAATGTATCAGATTTACTTACCTTACCAAACTTCTAGATATTTGAAATAAAATCAAATACAAGAAGCACCTTGTTAATTGTAAAGCTTTACATGATGAGGTGTTCTCTTCTGCCCCTCTTACCTTTGGCTCTGGCTTGGGGCCTCAGGCTGATCCAATCCCCACTCTGCTGCATCCAGCTCTGTGGCCTTGCGTGTTTTTGTGAGACTCTCTGAGGCTCAGTTTCCTCATCTGTAAAGTGGATGTTATTGTATTTAACACATGACTGCAAGGATTTTTAAAAATAACAATATAAGCTTCAACTCTGCTAGACAGAAGAGACGGAGTCTTGCTCTGTCACCCAGGCTGGAGTGCAGTGGCATGATCTTGGCTCACTGCAACCTCCGCCTCGCGGGTTCAAGCGACTCTCCTGCCTCAGTCTCCTGAGTAGCTGGGATTATAGGCGGGTGCCACTACGCCCAGCTACTTTTTGTATTTTCAGTAGAGACGGGGTTTCACCATGTTGGCCAGGGTGGTCATGAACTCCTGACGTCAAGTGATCCACCTGCATTGGCCTCCTAAAGTGCTAGACTTACAGGCGTGAGCCACTGCACGTGTCCACGTTTGCCTTCTTACTGCTCTGCCTGCTTTTCTTCCATTCTTAAGTTTACTTCTAAAAACCACTAGGGAAGCAAGATCAAGATTGCTGTGTGTGGGAGGAAAACTATAGAAAAGTTCAGCTTTCCCCATCCATAATAATTTTTAAGCACTTATCACCTCTCTTCTCTGCCAAAACAGTAGTCACTCTAATAGGGTTAATAATTGATGAGATATTAATAATAGCTAAAAAATTAAAGCTCACTCTGGAGTTGTGATCTAAACATTTCATAAGAATATCTCATTTAATCATCCACTCTCTTAATTAGGTACTGTCATCACCTGCCTTTTGCAGTTGAGAAAAATGAGGAACAGAGAGGTTAATAACTTAAGGTTACAGTGATGGAGCCAAACCTTAAGCCCAGAAAGTCTGATACCAGTATCAGCGTTTTTAATCACTTGGTGTTCTGGGATCCTAATCTCCATCTTTAATTTTTCTCCCTTCTATTTTTAGTTGATAAGTAATAATTGTACATATTTACAGGATACAGAGTGATATTTTGCTATGCGTATACAATGTAAAATGATCGCATAAGGATAATTAGCATAAACACCACCTCAAATATTTATTATTTCTTTGTGTTGTGAGCATTTAAAGTCCTCTCTTATAGCTTTTTGAAAATATTCAAAAAATTCTAGTTAATCATATTTACCCTATAGTGCTGCAAACACCAGAACTAATTCCCCCAATCTAGCCATAATTTTGTATTTATTAACCAACCTCTTCCCAACCTCCCCACCTACTTCCTTTCCCAGCTGCTAATACCCACAATTCTACTCTCAACTTTCATGAGCTGAAACTTTTTTTTTTTAGCTCCCACATATGAGTGAGAATATGTGGTATTTTTCCTTCTGTGCCTGGCTTATTTCATGTAACATAATGACTTCCAGTTCCATTCACGTTGCTACAAATGACAGGATTTCATTCTTTTTTAATACTAAATTTTATTCCGTTTGTGTGTGTGTGTGTGTGTGTATGTGTGTATTCTATATATATATATATATATATATATATATATATATATATATATATATATATATATATATACACAGTTCTTTTGCCCACTTTCTAATTGGATTCTGTTATTTGCTGTTGAGTTGTTTGAATTCATTTTTTATTCTGAATGTTAGTCTCTTGTGTGATGAATAATTTGGAAATATTTTCTCACATTTTACAGGTTGTCTCTTTATTGTTTTCTTTGCTGGGCAGAAGGTTTGCAGCTCAATATAGTCCTATTGTGTGTATATATATATATATAATATTTTCTTTATTCATTAATTCTTTCATGACACTTAGGTTGATTCCATATCTTGGCTATTGTGAATAGAGCTGCAGTAAACATGGGGGTGCAGGTTATCCCTTTGATACACTGATTTCCTTTCCTTTGGATAAATACCCAGTAGTAGAATTTCTGAATTGCATGTTAGTTCTATTTTTGTTTTTTTGAGGAACATCCATACTGTTTTCCATAATGGCTATACTAATTTACACTCCTAGCAACAGTGTGTAAGAATCCCTTTTCTCCCTATCCTCACCAGCATTTTTTTTTTGTCTTTTTGATAATAACCATTCTAATTGGGATAAGATGATATCTCATTGTGGCTTTGCTTTGCATTTCTCTGATGATTAGTGATGCTGAGCATTTTTTTATGTATCTTGGCCATTTGTAGGTCTTCTTTTGAGAAATGTCTATTCAGTTCTTTTGCCCACTTTTTAATTGGATTCTGTTATTTGCTGTTGAGTTGTTTGAATTCCTTGTTTATTCTGAATATTAGTCTCTTGTATGATGAATAATTTGGAAATATTTTCTCACATTTTACAAGTTGTCTCTTTATTGTTTTCTTTGCTGGGCAGAAGCTTTGCAGCTCAATATAGTCCTATTTGTATATTTTTTCTTTTGCTGCCTGTGTTTTTGAAGTTTTAGTCATAAAATCTTTGCTGAGACCAATGTCCTGAAGTGTTTCTCCTCTGTTTTCTTCTAGTAGTTTCATAGTTTTGGGTCTTACATTTAAATTTAATGCATTTTGAGTTAATTTTTATATATAGTGAGAGATAAGGGTGTAGTTTCATTCTTCTGCATATGGATATTCAGTTTTCCCAACACTATTTATTGAAGAGGATGTCCTTTTCTCAAAATATGTTCTTGGTGCATTTTCTAAAATCAGTTGCCTGAAAGTATGTGGATTTATAACTGGGTTCTCTATTCTGTTCCATTGGTCTATGTGTCTATTTTCATCCAAATACTATGCTATAACAAGAGTGTAAAAAGTAGATGTCCTTGTCTTGTTCCAGTTCTTAGAGGAAAGTCTTTTGACCTTTACTCATTCGATATGATGTTATCTGTGGGTTTCTCTTATAAGACTTTTATTATGTTGAGGTATGTTCCTTACATGCCTAATTCATTGAGAATTTTTATCATAAGGGGATGTTGAATTTTATTAAATACTTTTACTGCATCTATTAAGATGATAATATGGTTTTTGTCTTTCATTCAGTTGGTATGATATGTCACATTTATTGAGTTTGCAGAACTTAGATAAGAAAGTCAGAAACAATGTCAATTTCCTTTGACCAGCTCAGGACTTATAAAATATGAAGACCATACCACGGTCATGTTAGATATATCCCAGGAATACAAAGGTGATTCAAAATACACATTCAGTGGGTTGTACAAATATATAACGATCTGTATCCATAATTAGAATATCATACAGAGTATTTTTACTTCCCTAAAAACCCTCTGTACTCCAGCTATCCATCCCTCTCCCACCCTAAGGACTAGCAACCACTCATCTTTTCACTGTCTTCATAGTTTCACCTTTTCCAGAATGTCATACAGTTGAAATCATAGTATGCTGGCTTTTTAGATTGATTTCTTCCACTGAGTAATACTTAAGTTTAAATTTAAGTTTCCTGTATGTCTTTTTATGGCTTGACAGCTCCTTTTCCAGTGGTGAATAATATTTTATTATCTGGACGTACCACAGTTTATTCGTCCACTCATCTACTGAAGGACATCTTGGTTGCTTCCAGGTTTTGACAATTATAAATAAAGCTGCTGAAACACTCATGTGCAAGTGTGTCTATGAACATAGGTGCTCAACTCCTTTGGTAAATACCAAGGAGTGTGATATCTATGTCATCTTGTAACAGTATGTTTAGTTTTGTAAGAGACTGCCAAACTGTGTTACAAATGACTATATGATTTTGCATTCTCATAAATAATGTATGAGAGTTTCTGTTGCTTCACATTCTTACGTGCATTTGGTGTTGTTACTCAATGGCTTTGGTTACTCTAATAGCTGTGTGCTGATATCTCATTTTACTTTGCATTTTTCTGATGACACATGTTATAGAATGTTTTCATATGTTTATTTGCCATCTGTAACATCTTATTTGGTGAGATCTTTGGCCTGTTTTAAAATCAGATTGTTTTCTTATTGTCGAGTGTTAAGAGTTCTTTGTATATTTTAGGTAATAGTCCTTTATCAGATGTGTCTTTTGCAAATATTTTCTCTCAGTCTGTGGCTTGTCTTCTCATTCTCTCAACATTTGCTTAGAATGTTTTGCTCTTTTTATTTCCTAATTTTTCCTCTCCTTTTGTTTCAAACATAAACTACCACATTCAACATCCCTTCTCTTTATAGGAATGTCACTGCTGCCATTGCAGTTTCAGCTATTACCATCAGATGATTTATTAAATTTCTTGGACCCCAATCAGTTTGGTTCAAGTTCTATACATCACAATTACTTTTTCATTCAACTCCAGTTTATTGGTTAGGAATAGCAGAGGGGCTGTGGATAATCAATTTGTTACCAATAAAATTGATAACATAACCATTTGTGAGTCCTTTGGAAGTCAATAATTATGATAGATTGTTTTATCTTTTCCTCTTATTTCATTTGCATAATGTTCCTGCCAGGTGTTATTCTGCTCAAGTTGCTGATGAGGACATTAGGTTCAGAGACAGTGACCACAATTAATATGTAATGCAATCAAGTTCCATGCCTGGGCCTGTGCTCTTTTTTTTTATACTGAGCAAATTTCCACTGTCCTCCAAGTTTCAACTTTCTGATCAGTGAAGTGTTAAATTGACCAGTAACTTCTTTTGGAGCTCAATATTATCCTTCAGAAAAAAAATGCAAAATTGCTTTGTATGTGTTTCTATTATGAACATTATCTTTTTCTTTCTTGTTAAAAGAGCTGCCTCCTGATTGTAGTATTCTCTCAAGACCAGTGACACCTAAGAGATTTGCTTCATTCTTACATTTTTATTCACATCACTTTTATCCTTGCATAATCGTCACATATCTATTTTAGTGAGGAGTGAAAAAATAGCATAAAATTCTCTTCTTTACCATGAATGATGTGTTGTGACCATAAATATAAATAGCTTGAATTTATTCCAAGTGCCAGGTCTATTTCAGCAAATGCCCATTGTGAATGTTCATTATAAATGTTAAAATACTGATCTCACCTTTGCACTGGGCAGGCAAAGTCAGGATAGGAGTTGTGACGTTTTCTTTTGCAGTTACACCATGTAGGTCCATCTTCTATGCCATTTTCTTGTGCTTCTTGTGGAAGCAGCATGTGCATAAAAATGTCAAAAAATATTCCTTCTTATAATCTTCAAGCATGCTTCATTATGTCTTCCTCCCGCTTCAGATGCATCAACGGTATCTGGGGAAAGCTATTATCTTAGTCCATTTTGTGTTGCTATAACAGAATACCAGATGAAATTTATAAAGAAAAGAGATTTATTTGGCTCACAGTCCTGGAGTCTGGGAAGCCCAAGACTGAGAGACCACATCTGGTAAGGTTCCTCTTGCTGTGTCATAACCTGGCAGAAGGCAACACATGGTGGGGAAGTTCACTTGAAGACAGAGAGAGAAAGTTGGGCCAAACTCATCCTTTTATCAGGAACTCAGTTCTGAAATAATGGTATTAATCTGTTCATAAGGGCATAGCCCTCATGACTGAATCACCTCTTAAAGGTCTCATTTCTTGATAACATCACCACAATGTCAACTAAATATTAGCATGAGTTTTGGAGAGGACTTTCAAACCGTAGAAGCTGTTAAAGCAGGCAGGTGCGGTCCTAGCTTTGGAATGGAAGCTGTATTAATTGTGTCCTCTGGGAAATAGATGACTATGTGGAGTTAGGAGTATGAGTTTTATCGGGTGTGAAAGAGAAAAAGAAAAGAAGAAATAGTGGGCAGAGAAGCTTCCAACCACAGTGCAGAAATGAAAAAAGTCTTGACCAACCCAAAGGGGATCTCTGGAGCAAGTATTTCCCATTACAGGAGTTTTGGATTGGAGAAAAATACTCTGGCCCTAGAATCCTCACCATGCTTAGTCTTTAGCTGGAGTTGCTCAGGAGGAGCTTAGATTCCGCTTGAAAACTAAAGTGTCTTGTGAAGGTGTTAAAAACTGAAAGCTGTCAGCTTGCTGAACTACTTGCAACAGAATGACAAGTTCTTTCTTCAAGGGAGATTCAAGTAGCACACCTGCCTGGCTGTCACAGCCCATGAGAAATCTGATCCTGTTCTCACATGGAACCAGTTAACCCCAAAATCTAAAACATTCTTCAGCATTCTGCATTCTCTTCAAATGCTTTTTATACTTCATTGCATTTTTAAAAATTGTTGTCTTACAGAAAACAATATTCAGTTCATTTAGAGTGAAGGTAGCGCCTCTTCACACAAATACAGAAACTTTGCAGTAGTCTACATCCATGTATACCCAAAACTTTGTTATAGTTGTTATAAACATATTCTATGTGTTATAAATTATAACTATAATAAATTTTTCTTTTACCTGTTGTATAATTTATGTAATCTTCCTCATAAGAAAGTACGAGTAAAATAAAATAGAATAAAATAATATTTTGAATTTATCCAGATATTTACCATTTTCAATGCTCTTCAGTATTGTCTAAGGATCTGAGTTTTTATCTGGCATCATTTCTTTTCAGTATGTAGGATTTTCTTAAGCATCTTTGCTAGAAAAAAAAAAAAAGTCTCTCAGTTTGTCTTAGCCTGAACCTGCCTTCACTCTTGAAAGGAATTTTTTTTTCCTCCATGTAGAATTTGGTACAACTGTTTTCTGTTTCTTTCAGCACCTTAAAAATATTGTTTTACTCTTCTGCCCTCTGTGGTTTCCGGGAAATCAGATGTTAGTTGGATCGTTGTTCTTTTGTAAGGAATGTGTCATTTTTTCTTTGCTGCCTTCAAGATTTGCTTTTCATCTTTGGCCTTTAATAGTTTGACTGTGAGATAAACCTCAGTGCAGGCTTCTTCATGTTTCTTCTACTTTATGTTCATTAACTATCTTGTGTCTGAAAATTTCTTCTATTAAATATAGAGGTTTTTGAGTCATTATTTTCAAAAACTTGCTGTCATAATTTTAGAATTTTTACCCTCTCCTTCTGGGTTTCCAGTTGCATATATGTTGGATGCTTTGATACAATTTAAGAGGTCCCTGAGGCTCTATTTTATTTATTTATTTAAAACATTTTTCTTTCTTCAAATTTGATAATGTCTGCTAATCTACCTTCACATTAGTCTACCTATATCTGTAATCTGCAGATTTTTTTCTTTAGCTGAGCTGTTCTGATTCTGCTCATGTGTGGTCCAGGGATTAATTGGAGATGTGGGTAGAAAGAATTTGGAGATCCCCTTTTTTCCCCTCTGGCATTCTCCTATTCTCTTCAGCAGCCTCAGTTCCCTCTGCTAGAAAAAAAAATGCATTTTTTTTTCAGTTGCACTCTGCCACTGCATGTGAGCCATAGCAACTGCGCTTAGCCCTAGGCTGAAAGTTGTGGTAATAAGATGTTCCTTGTTCAACTCCTCTCTTCTGCTCAGAACGTGCACTCTCCACTTAAGTCTGCCTTCTGCTCAGTCTCCAGTACCTCAGGTCGCTGCTCTTTTTATTATGTTTAGGTTTTATAGGTTTTTTTTTTATTATTTCTGGGGAGTCATCAGGTAGGGTCTTACTCTGCCATTACTACTAGATGCTGTTTTAAAAACACTTCCTCTATATCTCAACTATGTGTGATTTTGTTACTTTGTTAACTTTGCTCCCTAAATACCTATTGAATCCGGTCACCTCTTTCTAGATTGCCTGCCACCCTACTAGTACCATTACATCTGTGCTGTCAACTGGTTTCCTGTTTCGTTTTGTTTTTCTCAGTCACTCTCATTCCTCCTTAAGATCTCAGCTCAAACATCATCTTCTCCTGGTAAGACCTTCTGGCCCTTCAGGTTAGGATAGAGGCCCTTGTGATAGGCTCTCAGAAGCCATAATTTTTTGACCATCAGTAGTGTATTATTCTAGCCATTTATCTTGAAACAACATCATTCAATAGTAAATGTTTCAGTTTTACATTTAGGATTTTGAGAAAAAGTTATGTCTCAAAAGATTCTGGGCCTTTTTTTAGTTTCTGTAGATTGAGGCTATCATGCATTGGCTGTGTCTTATTTAAAGCATTGAAAAAATTACACATTACAGTAATTAGAGAATTCAGTATGTTTTGGCAGTCAGGGCATAGTAAGTTTATTGGCTATCAGTGCTGTGCTTTTAGAAATTTCAACCCTGTTCTTGCATATTCACTTTTGGCAGCTTTCAAATATGATCATCTTTTGAGTTTTGATAAATCTGAGTGCTTTTATATGATTCAGGCCCAGGGCAAAATTGTATTTATTTTGAGTTTTTATTTTTGAAAAGAAGTTAAAGAATCTTGGAATTCATAAAAATTTAGTTTAAAAAGATGTTAGGTTTCAAAGTTTGAGCTGTGAATACATAAACCTGTGGAATAAAGTCCTCTGGGAGAGATGTAAGCAAAATGGGAGAATTGGATTTGTTGAAAAATGCTATCTCTTCTCTTCCCATTTAGGGAAAAGTATCTTTTATATCTCATGAAAACAGAATCAAAGAACTCAACTCGCCACCCTTAAAATGTCTTTGATTTCAGATTTTATATTCTTCAAGAGGACTGAAAAAATCTGACTTTTCTGGATTTATTTATGTAGATTTAATCAATACATGAAAATGGGGCTGTATACTCAAATTGTGCCTCGTATATTCTTATGTTTTTCTTGCTTGCACTTGTTTTATTAGGAACTAAAGAAAAAAACAAAACCAGAAAAGCCTCACTGCAAACATATCAGCATATGGATTTCCACCTCAATACAATGCATCACTTTTTTAAAAGGCAAAATTTCATAACATAAAATTAACCACTTTAAAGCATAAAATTCAGTGAAATTTAGTATACTCACAATGTTATCAAACTATCAACTCTGTCTAGTTTCAAAACAGTTTTATCACCAGAAAAGGAAAGCCATATTCATTAAGCAGTCACTCCCGTTCATTTCCACCCCCACCTCCCAACTCCTAGAAGCCACTAATTGGCTTTCTTTCTCTAGGTATTTGCCTATTTGGGGTATCTATATAAACAGAATTATACAATATGTGACCTTTCACATTGCGGCATTATCAGTACTGCATTTCTTTTTATGGCTGAATAATATTCCATTGTATGCATGTATCACATTTTAAAAATCTGTTTCCACTTTTTGGCTATTCTGAATAGTACTATTATGAACATTTGTGTACAAGATTTTTTGAATACCTGTTTTCAATTTTTTTGGATATATATTTAGAAGTAGAATTCTTAGTCTCTTAGTAACTATGTTTAACATTTTGACAACCCACCAAACTGTTTTTCACAGTTGTTGCACTATTTTACATTCCTACCAGTAATGTGTAAAGCTTCCAGTTTCTTAACATTCTCACCAAAATTTACTTTGTTGTTATTATTTTATTACTAAATAAGTTATTACAACTTGTTATGGTTTGTGTATTTTTAAAAATTTATAGACTAATGAGTGTGAAGCTGTATCTAATTGTGGTTTTAATTGTATTTTCTTAATAACTAATCATGTAGAGCATCATTGCGTGTGCTTGCCAGTTATTTGTGTATCTTTTTTGGAAAAATACCAATTCAATTATTTTGCCCATTTTAAAAAAGATTGGATGGTGTGTCTTTTTGTTATTGAATTATAAGAGTTCTTTATCTATTCTGGATATTAGATCTTTTTCAAATACATGATTTGTAACTATATTCTCCCATTTTTATGTTGTTTTTTCACTTTCTTGATACTGTTCTCTGATGCACAAGCATTCCTGATTTTGATAAAGTCCAATTTATTTTTTTCTGTTAATTGTGCTTCTGGTATAATATATAAATATCTTTTTCCAAAAGTAAGGTTATTAAGATTATCCTTATGGTTTCTTCTAAGAGTTCTATAGGTTTAACTCTAACATTTAGGTCTTGGATCCATTTTGAGTTGATATTTGTATATGAATTGAGGTATGGGCCTAACTTCATCTTTTTACATGTAGATATTCAGTTCTCAAAGCACCATTTGTTAAACAGACTATTCTTCAATTGACAACTGATGTATGGGTCTAATGCATTCTTGTTCACCAATGTTTTAACACCCATAAACATTACCTTGCTTAGATAATACAAACAAAATGTTTTTATTTTAATTGGCATACGTTATTTATAAAGATCAGTCTGAACTCTACATTTTACTCGTTAGGGTAAATATTGATATTCTCTACTATAATATACTATGCTGTTCTTTTATTCAACTCTTCATTACTTTCATTGTAGAATTATGGCTTTTTTGCAAAGACCAAAGTTATTGATGGGCATGGGTCCACACTCTCTATCTTGGTTCTTAAGTTTAATATAAATGTTAGGAGTGAGGAAGAGCAACATGGCCAGATAGAAGCCTCTAGTAATTGTCTCCCCAGCACAAACACCAAAATTGAACAACTATCCATGCAAGAAAGCACCTTCATAAGGGCCAAAAATCAGGTGAGCAATCACAATATGTGGTTTTAGCATCGTATCAAGGAAAGAGGCATCGAA
The DNA here is from genome assembly GCF_000001405.40 of Homo sapiens. NCBI lineage: Eukaryota > Metazoa > Chordata > Mammalia > Primates > Hominidae > Homo > Homo sapiens. The sequence goes on from NC_000005.10 coordinate 161,179,212, forward strand.
AAGGGTAAAAAAGACAGTCTTGAATTGCTGACATCACCGCTCACCCAACCCCCAGGAACAGCCACATGCTATGGAGAGAGAATCTATGCTGTTGGGGGACGGAGAGCACAGTGATGGTGGGACTTTGCATTGGAACTCAGTCCTGCCCTGTCACAGTAGAAAGCAACCTGGGGCAATACTCAACTGGAGCCCACAGAGGTAGCATTTAGACCAGCCCTGGCCAGAAGGGAGTTACCCATTGCAGAGATCAGAACCTGAGTCTTGGCAGCCCTGCCACCACAGCCCAAAATGGTTTAGGGTCCTAAACAAACTTGAAAGACAGTCTAGGCTATAAGGACTGCAATTCCTGGGCAAGTTCTGGTGCTGTGTTGGGTTCAGAGTCAGTGAACTTGGGGGACATAGGACACAGTGATACACAAGTCAGAGAAACCAAGGGAGTGCTTGTGCCACCTCCTCCCCAACCCCACACAGTGCAGCTCACAGCTTCCCCTTGAGGAGAGGAGAGGAAAGAGTAAAGAAGACTTTGTCTTGCAACTTAGATACCAGCTCAGCCACAGTAGGATAGGGCACCAGACAGAGTCATGAGGCCTGCATTCCAAGCCCTAGCTCCCAGAGGACATTTCTAAATACACCCTAGGTCATTAGGGAAGCCATTTCCCTGAAGGGAAAGACCTAGTCCTAGCAGGATTAATCACCTGCTGACTAAAGAGCCCTTGGGCCTTGAAAATAAACATCAATGGTACCCAAGCAGTTTTCACTTAGGTGGGACCCAGGGCCATCCTAGCTTCAGGTGTGACCCAGAACATTACCAGCTATGGTGGCCATGGGGAGAGATTCCTTCTGCTAGAGGAAAAGAAAAGCGTAAAGGGGACTTAGTCTTGCAGCTTAGGCACCATCTAGGCCACAGTGAGGTAGAGCACAAAGCAGTTTCCTGGATCCCCTGATTCCAGGCATTGGCTCCTGCATAGCATTCCTGGACCCACCCTGGGCCAGAGGGGAGCCCACTATACTGAAAGGAGAGACTCAGGCCTAGAAGCATTCAAAAAAGCTGAATAAAGAGCCCTGGAGTCTTGAGTGAACATTTACAGTAGCCAGGCAGTAATCCCCATGAGCCTATAGGTGGTGATGTCCATGGAGAGGAATTCTTCTTCATGAGGAAAGAAGTGGAAAGAGCGAAGACTTTGTCTTGTGGCTTGGATGTCAGCTCAGCTGCAGTAGGATAGAGTAGCAGGTAGATTCATAATGTTCCCAACTTCAGGCCCTGGGTCTCAGACAATATTCTGGACCTGTCCTGGGCCAGGAGAGACCTCACTACTCTGAAGGGTAGGACACAAGCCTTGTTGGATTCCTCATCTGCTGATTGAAGAGTCCTGGGTCCTTGAGTAAAATCAGTGGTAGCCAAGCAGTGACTGCCATGGGCATTGGGTGAGACTCAGTCCTGTGCTGGATTTGGGTCTGATACAGCACAGTCCCAGTGTTGGTGGCCACAGGGTTGCTTGTGTCTTCCCTCCCCTAGCTCCATGTAACTTAGCATGGAAAGAGAGAGAACCTCTGTTTATTAGTGGGAAAGTAGGGAGGAGAATAAGAGTCTCTGCCTTCCACTCCAGAGAATTCTTCCAGATCTTATCCAAGACCACTGACATGGTAACTCTTTGAGTTTGCTAGTGTCACAGTGTTATCAGGTTTGAGATGACCCCCAATGAAGATGTGACCAAAGCTTTAGATCACAGCAGTCAACTCTCTTTTGATACCTGGAAGGCCTTCCTAAGAATGATGGGTGCAAATAAGCCCAGACTGAAGACTATAAAAAATACCTAAGTCTTCAATGCCCAGACATCAACAGACATTCACAAGCATCAATATTGTCCATGAAACCATGACCTTATCAAATCAATATTGTCTATGAAACCATGACCTCATCAAATGAACTAAGGAACCACTGACAATCCCAGAGTGACAGAGATGTGTGACCTACAGACAGAGAATTTAAAATAGCTGTTTTGACAAAGCTCAACAAAATTCAAGATAACACAGAGAAGGAATTGAGAATCCTATCAGATAAATTACAAAGAGATTGAAATAATTTTAAAAAAATCAAGCAGATATTCTGGAGCTGAAAAATTGAACTGACATACTGAAGAATTCAACAAAGTTTCCCAACAGTGGAATTGATCAAACAGAAAAAATATCCAATGAACTTGAAGAAAGGCTATTTGAAAATACACAGAGGAGAAACAAGAAAAAAAGAGTTAAAAGAATGAAACATGCCCATGAGATCTAGAAAATCGTATCAAAAGGGCAAATCTTAGAGCTATTGGCCTTAAAGAAGAGGAAGAGAAAGAGATGGGGTAGAGAGTTTATTCTAAGGGGTAATAGCAGAGGACTTTCCAAACCTACAGAAAGATATCAATATTTATGTGCAGGAGGATTATAGAATACCAACCTGGTTTAATCCAAAGAAGACTACCTCAAGGCATGTAATAATCAAACTCCTAAAGATCAAGGATAAAGAAAGAATCCTAAAAACAGCAAGATAAAAGAAACAAAAAACTTACAAAGCAGCTCTAATATGTCTGGCAGAAGACTTTTCAGTGGAAATCTTACATGCCAGGAGAGCATGGCATGACATATTTAAAGGGTTGAAGGAAAAACTTTTATCCTAGAATGGCAGAAAAAAAGAAATAGTAAAGATCAAAGAAGAAATAAGTGAAATTGAAATAAAAATACAAAGGATCAATGAAACAAAGGTTGTTTTTTAAAAAAGATAAAGAAAATTTGACAAACCTTTAGCCAGATTGACTGAGAGAGAAAATTCTAAAAAATAAAATCAGAGATAAGAGAGATACTACAACTGATATCACAAAAATTCAAAGAATCATTAGAGATTACTATGCACAACTATATGCCAAAAATTGAAAAACCTAGAAGAAATAGATAAATTCCTAGATACATATAACTACAAAGATTGAAGAACAAAGAAATCCAAAACCTGAATAGACAAATAAGTAATGAGGTCAAAGCCATTGTAACAAGTCTCCAAGCAAAGAAAAACCTGCAACCCAATGGCTTCACTGCTGAATTTAACCAAACATTTAAGGAAAAATTAATATCAATCCTATTCAAACTATTGCAAAAAATAGAGGAGGTGCAAAAATTTCAAACTTATTCTATGACACCAGTATTGCCATGATACCAAAACCAGAAAAGTACACATCCAAAAAAAAAAAAAAAAAAAAGAACACTACAGGTCAATATTCTTGATAAATATTGATGCAAATATCTTCAACAACAGATTGGCAAACAAAGTTAAACAACACATTAAATAGATCATTCATTATGACCAAATGGGATTTATAACAGGATGCAAGGTTCACTCAACATAAGCAAATAATTCAATGAGATACATCATATCCACAGAATGAAGGACAAAAGCAATGAAGGACAATGATCATTTCAATTGGTGCTGAAAAAGCATTTGATAAAATTCAGCATCCCTTCATGATAAAAACTCTAAAAAACCTGGGTATAGAAGAAACATACCTCGACACAAGGAAAGTTATATATGACAGATTCACAGCTAGTACCATACTAAATGGGGGAAAAATAAGTATTTCCTCTAAGATGTGAAAAAAATAAGGATGCCCCCTTACACCACTGTTGGTGGGAATGTAAATTAATACAGCCACTGTAGAACTGAGAACAGAATGGAGCTTCCACAAAAAACTAAAAATAAAACTACTGTATGATCCAGTAATCCCACTATTGGGTATATATCCAAAAGAAAGGAAATTAATATATTGAAGAGATATCTGCACTCCCACATTCATTGCAGCATTATACACAATAGCCAAGATTTGGAAGCACCCTAAGTGTCCATCGACAGATGAATGGATAAACAAAATGTGGTACATATACACAATGGAGAACTACTCAGCCAAAAAAAAAAAAAAAGAATGAGATCCTGTCATTTGCAACAACATGGATGGAACTGAAAGTCATTATGTTAAGTGAAATGAGCCAGGCCCAGAAAGACAAACTTTGCATATTAGCGCTCATTCGTGGGATCTAGAAATGAAAACAATTGAACTCATGGAGAGGAGAAGGATGGTTACCAGAGGCTGGGAAGGGTAAGAGGGGTTGTGGGGATAGGGGATGGCTAATGGGTACAAACATATAGTAAGATAGAATGAACAAAATCTAGTATTTAGTAGCACAAGAGGATGACTACAGTTAACAATAATTTATTGTACATCTTAAAGCAATTAAAAGTATAATTGGAATGTTTGTAACACAAATAAATAATAAATGTTTGTGGCAACAGATACTCCATTTACTCTGATGTGTTTATTAAACATTGTATGCCTGTAACAGACTATCTTATATACCCCATAAATATATGTACCTACTATGTACCCACAAAACAAAGAAATAAAATTTTATTAAATGTTAAAGAAGTCCTTATCACACCTACCATGCATCTTAGCCTATTGTAAAAAATTATTAAGAAGGCTGTAGGAAATGCCATTGATATTAAATATTTGAATATTTTGAATATTTTAATTAAATGTTAATCAAATATTTTAATATTTAAATATTTAAATATTTAAATATTTAAATATTTAAATATTTTAATATTTTGAATTTTAAATATTTTAAATATTTTAATATTTTGAATATTAAATATTTTGAATATATTTAATATGTAGTATTTTTATTATGTTTTTAAACTTTATGCTGAAATTGATGCCTCTTGATTATACTGTGGCTACTACATTATTTCTACTGAATTTCATTATGTTAAGTTAAAATGAATAATTTTCCATTTAAGGATCCATACTAAGCACAAATCAATTCCTATTGAATTTGTATTTTATAAAATTTGTCCAATGGACTTTCTTTTCAATTCTAACTCTACTGGAGAAATGCCTCTAAATATATAGAAATTGAAATCTAAAAGTAATGTGGACAAAAACCTAGGGAGATGAATGGAATCTCTAAGTATGTGCGAATGTAAGTTTTGCTGCATTTACTTTGATTTTTATTAATATGTTTAGCTAAATTTCTAACCATAGGCTGCTGTGTATTTGTGTGTGTATATGTATGTGTTCGTATGTGTATGTATGTATGTATGTGTGTAGCCATATAACAAGGGAATGTCAAGAAAGAAGCACAAATTGATCAGGCAAACCTCTAAGTCAGTGGTTGGCAAACTGCAGCCGGTGAGACAAATCTGGCCTGGCACCTACTTTGTATGATCCTTGTGCTAGAAATGGTTTTTAAATTTTTTAATAGCTGAAGCAGATAGTGTCGCATAAAAATTTTGTGAAACTCAAACTTGCCTCTCGACAAGTAAAGTTGAATTGGAACATAGCCTGATTATTCATTTCCTTATTGTCCATGGTTGCTTTTGTGCTACAATGGCAGGGTTGAGACATTGTGACAGAGGCTCTATGGATCACAAGCAATGCCTGAAATATTTGCTATCTGAGTCTTTATGGAAAGTGTGTGCTGACTTCTACTCTAAATGAAGGCTAGAGTAGAGTGGTAAGCAGGACGCTTTTGACCTAGGGATGTTTTGAAACCGGTGAATTTGAGCTTCAGTTTCCCAGGGCCTTTCCTTTCTGAAAAAGGAGTTTTAATAGGAAACTTTTACTGTGTAAGTCTGGGAAAGCACAGGGCAATGCTTTTAGAGTAAGTTACAAATCAGAAATAAATGGCTCTTCCCGCCCCTAAGGACTGTAATTGAATGTTGCCTTGGTGCTAAGCAGAGTACAGGAACCTCTGAATTGTTTAATAATAAGACCTCCTTGAAGGGGCTTCAAAGCAACAAATTAATGTGCCTTAGGTAGTCCAAAGAGCTTCAAGTTGTAAATTTATTTTAAATTTGTCCCGGAATACTTCCAGGTGCCTGGCAAAAGCAAGTTGATATATGTACTTTTATCATTATTTATTTATTATTTTTTCTAATGTGGTGTCAAAGTCTCTCTCAAAGATGGCTATAGGCTGGGAGTGGTGTAATTCCAGCACTTTGGGAGGCCGAGGGGGGCGGATCACCAGAGTTCTAGAGTTCCAGACCAGCCTGGCCAACATGGCAAAATCTCATCTCTTCTAAAAATAAAAAAATTACCCAGGCATGGTGGCAGGCGCCTATAATCCCAGCTACTCAGGAGGCTGAGGCAGGAGCTTTGCTTGAACCTGGGAGGCAGAGGTTGCAGTGAGCCGAGATCATGCCACTTCACTGTAGCCTGGGCAGAAGAGAAAAACTCCGTCTCAAAAAAAAAAAAAAGAAAAAAAAAAAGAAGAATGGTTATAAACCCCAGCCCTGCCCTGTGGGACTCCAGAGGGTTTGGTTGTGGATGTTCATAGTGTTCCTTTCATGGGATACTTCTTTATCTTGGTGGATGGACTAATGTCTAAGTGGCTGACTTGTGACCAGGTGTCCTTCTCTTAGGAAATTTGTTTAAACTGACAGATGCCCCTGTGGCTCTTGTCTGACCTGTGTCTAGTTTACTCCTACCAAAATAGCCTAGGAGAGCCCTAACTAGGACAGAAGTTAGGCTCAGGTGTGCTGGTCAGGCGAGACATAGAGGAGGCAACTCAACAAAACACGTGAAATAACAGAAGCAGTTTATTTCTCACAGATCTCAGAGAGAGGCAGTCAGCATCCTTGTAGGGTCAATAGGAAGGAGGGAGGCCATCTGGGACACACATGCTCAGCCAGTGGATGGGGAGCAAGAGAGAGAGATAGACCTGTGTACCAAAGCCTTTATTCAAGTCCAGGGCATTACCCAAGCAGGTTTTCTGTGGGGAGTTCTAATTGAGGGGTTTAGGGCAGGCAAGAGATCTGTAGAGACACACTGTGATTGCGAGGTGGTCACTGCAATGTATCTGCATAGTCCGTGCAGGGTTTGGGAGTCAGTGGGGTGAATCAAGTGTGTTGTATCTAGCTGTCCCATAGGGAGGTGGTCACCAGGAGTAAGTTGTGTAAGGCAGATATCTAGATCGACCATACTGAGGAATTTGGAAGAGGCAGATAGATGGAAACTGTCAATGGTGACCAAGCCCTGCTTTGGTATGAGAAAGCGCACCTTATATTCAAAATGGATTCTGAGTCAACATAAAATTATAAGAAATCACTCATATCTCATTCTTCTCTTATTTTCATTGTTAGATAAAAAGTAGAGTTTGGAAAGTTGGTGTCTTAGGCTGTTCTTGCGTTGCTATAAAGAACTATCTGAGACTGGGTAATTTATAAAGAAAAGAGAAACCTTAGGAAAGAGGCCTCAGGAAACTTACAATCATGGCAGAAGGTGATGGGGAAGCAGGCACGTCTTACCTGGTTGAAGAAGAAAGAAGAGAGAGTGAAGGGGGAGGTGCTACACACTTTTAGACAACCAGATCTCGTGAGAAATCATTATCATGAGAGCAGCAAGGAGGAAGTTCATCCCCATGATCCAATCACCTCCCACCAGGCCCCTCTTCCAACAATGGGGACTACAATTCGACCTGAGATTGGATGGGGACAGAAATGAAAACCATATCAGTTGGTACATTGTCTGTTAATTGTCTATATTGTCCATTTTTCTGTATTCTATTTCATTAGTTTCTATTCTTGTGTTTAAGTTTTCCTTGCTTCTATTTATGGTGAGTTTAATTTGTTCTTTTTCTAACTTCATAAGTTAGAAACTTCGATCAGTGGTTTTTAAACCCCTCTTGTTTTCTAATATAAACACTTGAAGTTATGATTGTTATATGCTACAGATTCACTCTAAGCACTGCTGTGCATGCCTTCTACAATTATTTTTAACTTTGTACTTTGAACAAATTTTAGATTTAAGGAAAAAATTTAAAAAACAGAGTACAGAGAGTTGATGGGTTCATGTCCTCAAGCTTTCCCTAATTTCGCTGCCTTTCATAACCATGGGATGACTATCAAAACCAATACATTAATACTGGCACAATACTTCTAACTAAACTATGGACTTTGCATGAATTTCACCAGTTTTTCCAATTTTTGTCCTGTTTTGTTGTTTCTTCTTGTTCTACTCCAAATGGACAATTCCTCAGTGTTTCCTTGTCTTTTATAACCTTAACATTTTTGAAGAATGTTCATCAATTATTGTGTAGAATGTCCTTCAATTTGGGTTTCTAGCACTTTCTCATGATTAGAATAAGATTATGCTTTATTCTTTGTAAAAATACCACAGAAATAATGTTTTGTACTTTTTAGTGAAACACATCAGGGAATTCATAACATTAAATCTTATTATTTTTTATTTAACTTTGATCATTTCACTAAGTATGCTGTATGTTCTTTACCATTTGGACAGAAATGTTTTCTAATATTCTTTGTCATTTATTTTTTAAGTGATTGATTATTTACAAGTGTGCTTTGTTTTATTTAACGAATACCTGGGATTTCTAAACATCAATTTATTAATTTCTAAATTAATTCAATTTCATCAGACAGTGTACTTTGTAAGATTTTACTTTTGTTGGAATCTATTAAAACTTACTTTTAGCCAGGCATATGGGTTATCTTGGTGAACATTCTATGTGAACTTAAAAAGAATGCACATTCTATGGTTGTTAAGTGAAGTTCATAAATGTCAATTCGCTCAGGGCGTTTAAAATCTCCAACTGTGTGAGAATTTATCTCTTTCTCCATTTAGTTTTATTAGTTTTTCCTTCATACATTTTAAAGCTATGCTATTAAGGCATGTGCATTTATGGTTATTATATTCTTCTGAAGAATTTTCTGTCCATTATTATAAAATGTTCTTCTTTATCTCTGATAATGCTTTTTGTCTTTAAGCCATTTTTTTCTGATGTTAGTATAGCCTTGCAGCTTTTTATGCCTACTGTTTGCATGACATTTATCCTCTTAGTTTTAACTTATATATGTTGTTATACTTAAAGTAGATTTCTTTTTTTTTTTGAGATGGAGTCTTGCTCTTGTCACCCAGGCTGGAGTGCAGTGGTGCCATCTCGGCTCATGGCAACCTCCATCTCTGGGGTTCAAGCGATTCTCCTGCCTCAGCCTCCTGAGTAGCTGGGATTACAGATGCCCGCCACCAGGCCTGGCTAATTTTTGTATTTTTAGTAGAGATGGGGTTTCACCATGTTGGCCAGGCTGGTCTCGAACTCCTGGCCTCAGGTGATTCACCCGCCTCGGCATCCAAAGTGCTGGGATTACAGGCATGAGCCACCATGCCCGGCCAGATTTCTTGTACACAGCTTATCTTATAACTGGGTCTTCTATTAAATCCAATCTAACCATCACTATCTTTTAATTGAAATGTTTAGTTAATTGAAATTTAACCATTGCTATGGATGAACTTAACTGCTATTTTGTAATTTATTTTCTATCTTTCTGCCTTTTAAAATAAATCTTTTGCTTCTGTCTTTCTTAGGGCTAATACTTTAAAAAAATTTCTCTTTTAATACTTCTCTTGTCTTTTTAGCTAAACCTTTTAGCATTATTTTAGTGACTTCTATAGGATTGCAATATTTATTTTTACTTTATCATAATTTTCTTATAGTTGATTTGTACCACATCTAGTAAAATAAAAGAATTACAGCAGTATAGTTTCAGTTACTCTCTGGCCTTTGTGTTATTGTTACTTTACATGTTACATCGATATATATTAATGAGCTCCATTAAACATGTTATAATTTTTCTTTGAACATTCTTATGTCCTTTAAAGAAATTAAGAGAAGAAAAAATCATATATATGTATATATTTTTTTTTTCAGTGCTCTTTCTTTCTTCTTGTAGATACAAGTTTCCATCCAACAGCTTTTGGTTTCATTCTATCCTAAAGAATCTTGTTTAATATTTCTTGTAGTGTAGGTCAGATGATGATGAATTATTTTTTGTATCCTTTTATTTGCCAATCTGCTTTCCAGTTTATCCAGCCAATGTGTTCTTTCAAATATTATACTTTATAGTTATAGAATTTTTATTTGATTCTTTTTTTTAAACCAAAATCAGGTTTAATTTCTGTCAGAAAAACTCTGACTTCACTTCTCAAGTCAAATAAATGTATTAACAGGCATCCCAGTGACCACTTTACTTGATATAAAGTTTTCCTCTAAAGTAAGTCCCCTTCATGTCAGGTATTTTTAACTCACACTATCCTTGCTTTGCTCCAGGACAATCTCACTCAGGCAAAATGCCACCTTTGACTGCACTTGGGGTGAATGAGAGGAAATCTTTAAATGAAAATACTCCTCGCTACCACATACTCTCTAATATGCCTGAATTCAGAACACCACAATACAGGCCAACATAGGCCATTCATAATGCTTTGTCTTGCTGTTAAGGTATCCCAGGGAGGCACTTACCACCTTTTGAACAGCATTAGTTTGGAGGAATGAGTTTTAGAGCCTAGGAAGCCTGCTGCTGTCTCATCCTTCCCAGGTAGCTCAGGGAAGGAGTGGCAGCCCACTCTGTGTCAGTTGCCACTAAACCCTGATGACCAGTCAGTTTGCTCTGGTGAGGAAAGCACAGCAGGTGACTTAGCTCAGTCAAGACAAACCTGAGACCCAAGGATGGAATTGTGACTTCTAAGGTTAGAAAGCAGAGGCGAATGAGAACCTTTATTTGGTTCTTATAGTTTCTATTTCTCTGCTAGGTTTTCACATTATTTCTCTATTATATGCATATTTCCCCTTAAGTCCTTGAATGTATTTAGGATAAGCCTCAAAATCCAAATTCTGTCTTTCCTGTGGTGGGCAGCAAAGCAATTGTTCAGCTCTCAATCTTCCATCTATTGCTTTACACTGAGAATTTTGGAGCCTCCCTGATTCGGGAGCAGCTCAGGAATTGCCAAATAATTTAGGCAGAATGTATTTGTAGACCTTGACAGGCAGAGGTTCCTTCATTTCCACAATTGCCACCGTAATTTTCCAGGCTCTCGGCCTGCATTGAATGTCATTGCCTGATTCTCTAAACCAGTGAGAGTGAGGCCATGCCTGAGGTGTTCAATTACATGAAGTAATAAATCCCTCATACACTTCTTTTTGTCTTAAGCTAGTTTGATTTTTTTTTTATCTGTTGCAACTGAAGAATGCCTGACTAATATAAAGTCTGTTGCTAATTAGCAAGCCCTCTGGCAAACATTGTTCTTGTTTAGTGGGGAGTAATGGATTCCAATCCTCTTGTTTGAGTTAAATCTGAGTGGGGTGGAAACTGTGCTTCACCTGTGCCTTCCCCTGCGTAAAGTCACAACTGTAATTGGTTGTTTGTTTAATTTCTATATTTCTTGCTAGACTGCAAGATCGTACCAGAGACATCATCTTCTTTGCCACTGTTTTTCCAGTGCATAGCAGGGAGTGATCAACAAATATTTGTTTAGAGAATAAAATGTGGCATTTGAATTTCTCTATTGGATTGCAAATTACTATTTATTCAAGCAGTTATCAAGTCAGGGATTAATTGTCAATCTATTCTCTATGCTATAGCCAAAGTAATCTATTAAAGAATCAAAATAAGTCATGTCACAGATTACTAAAATTATCCAATGGTTTCCAATGCATTCAAGATAAAATGTAATCTCATTTCCAAAGTACAGAAAGTGCTCCATGTTGTGGTACTTTTCTCTCTCTCTAATCTCATGTCTTACCACTCCCCCTCTTTTTCATTATGCTCCAGCTCATTGGTCTTCTTTCTGCTTCAAGAACTTATTCTCGCCAAGCTTATTTCTGACCCAGAGCCTTTTCACTTGCAATTCATTCGGTTTACAATGTTCTTCCCACAGCTTTCCACATGGCTGGTTCCTTATTCAGATGTCAGAAGCTCACTTCTTCAGAGAGCTTTCCCCTTATCTCCCTACCTCTTATAGCACATATGCATGAGTACTTTCTTACCACAAATATACTCTCTTCAGTGCATTACTTCATTTATGCTATTTATAGAATTATTGCTTTAAGAAGCCATCATGATTATTTATTTATTTCCTTCTTTATGGTTTATCTCACGTCAAAAAAGATAATCTGCATGGGAGCAGACACTTCATCTGCCTTGTTCATCTCTGTATCATGCATGGAGTGCCCCTAACAGTGCTTGCTGGATGCATAAAAATGGATAAAAAGTATTTGATGAATAAGCCAGGCCTGGTGGCTCACGCCTGTAATCCCAGCACTTTGGGAGGCTGAGGTGGGTGGATCACCTGCGGTCAGGAGTTCAAGACCAGCCTGGCCAACATAGTGAAATCCCGTCTCTACTAAAAATAGAAAAAAAAAAAAAAAAAAAAGCTGGGCATGGTGGCACATGCTTGTAGTCCCAGGTACTACAGAGGCTGAGGCGGGAGAATCACTTCAGCCCTGGTGGCGGTGGTTGCAGTGAGCTGAGATCACGCCATTGCACTCCAGCCTGGGCAATAAGAGCAAAACTCCGTCTCAAAAAAAAAAGATTTGATGAATAAATAAATTTAATCCTAACAATAAAACCAAGAGTGACTGCAAATAATCCAGCTGTTAAAATGGTCAATTCACTCTAAACATAAGTCAAACCAATTATTTGGAATCATGAGGTGAAACTGTCACTCCTCTGCTTCTGTATGGTGAGGAATTAGTTTGGACCACAGAAACACAGCCTCCTTACAAGGAAAATAATAAAGGACCAGCCCACATTGTTTTATTGTTCTGTTCTTTTTGAAGTAGAATTTATACATACAAATGAGAAGCATTAAAGTTAATACTCTCATACAGCCAGACCACATCGATTTTTCTCCACAATTGATCTTATTCATTCTGAGCATTTACTATGTACTCAATATTCATTTAGGGGCAGGCATTGACCTCTATATTCATATGATCGTTTTTGTTTTTCATTCTTTTATATTTGTTGCTCTAATCACATCCATATGAGTATATCTGGTAATTTTTACTGTAGGATCTGCCATTGATTTAAATGTAGATCTCTTCTTAGCACATTTATTTATAAACAGAATAGACATGTACAGCACTACTTGACTGTTTATGCTATTTGCCTTGCAATTGTGTCTGGAAGTGGCATAGAGAAAATGACTTTACCACCAAGACTTCAGTAGTGTTAAGCAGGAATAAAGACAAGTATAGTTTTCTGGCTCTTTCTTTTACATGTTTTTCAGGCTTGCCAATCTCTGGAGAGTTCTATTCCTTCCTGAAGATTCCCATAAACCATGGAGGTGACTTGAGAATAAGTCTGGTCAGTAATCAGAAACAGAGCACTGTGTTTTCTCCCCTTTTTCTGGCTCTCTTTTAGGGAATGTCATATCTCTGCATATTCATCTTTGGGCACCACAGCTATTTCTTTCTATGTGATTCACTACTTATTTTCTCTGGGTACTGCCATGTGCTATTACTGCCCCCATTGGTATGGGGCTCTGGTGCTCTGGTGTCTAGAAGCACTTAACTGCTAATAGTTGGTATGTCCCCACATAACAACTATTGGTAGTTAAGTGCTTCTAGACACCAGAGCCCTTGAAGTGGCAAAGCCATGCTATTTTAGGAAGAACAGAGGGTTTGATTTCCCATTTTTTGTTGCTTACTTCTCCAGATGGCCTCCAACAAGGAGATGGTGCTTCCTGGTGAATTAGCTGCTTCTGATTCGGGGTTCTTTATCTTCACCTCTATTAAGACTTTTGCACAAATCCATAGTAAGGTACATAGGCAAGAAACAAATCTGCAATAATTGTGCACCCACTCTGATGACTTAAGTCCTTGTTACTGAACCATGTGTATCTGCCTGGATCAATAACAACTACTAATATTTATAGAGCATTAGTCATGTGCTTGGCACTATACCAAGTGTATTATGTCTTTAAAGCTCAATTAAATCCTCTAATGTAGTATATTAGTCAGAGTTCTCCAGAGAAACAGAAGCAGTAGGGTGTGTGTGTGTGTGTGTGTGTGTGTGTGTGTGTGTGTGTGTGTGTGTATTTCCAGTCTGAAGGCCAGCAGGCTTGAAACCTAGGAAGAGCTGAAGTTTCAGGTTGATTTTGTGGGCAGAAAACAATTACAACCACAACCTTTGTTCCAACTTGAAGGCAGTCCAGCACGAGGAGTTCCGTCTTATTTGAGGAAGAGTCAGCATTTTTGTTCCAGTCTGAAGGCCAGCAGCCTTGAGAACCAGGAAGAGCTGATGTTTCAGTACAAGGATCATACCAGCACAATCTTGACCACCCCGGCGAAAAGCTAGTTTTCTTTTCCAAGTGAACTTACTCATGGCATAACCAAGGCTATTGTTAAGCTAGTCAAAAAATGGTAGCTGTTTATATTAATCATCTCAAATTGTGTAGAATGTGTCAGTTTTTTGTCAATTGCATGCTATTTTGAATATTTTTTGTGCACATGTCCTCTCTTCAGCTAGATCTCAAGAAACTTGAGGACAGAGTCCATGTTCTTTTTTGCTTTACTGCACACAATGGGGAGGCTATTGTTAGATACTAACCATTTGCTAGTGACTAGAATTGATTGGCAGACATGGTGATTACAACTGGGTAGGCTCTTGGCAAAGGATACTGCTCTTTGACATCACTGTGCTTTCTTTAAACTCCACTGTGTTGAACCTCACGGTCAACATAATTCAGAACCAGAGTATAAAATTCCCAGTTAGACAGTGTTGCATGGTAATGGTTGTATTCACTTGAGATTTTAATTTTTGATGAAAAGTTCAGTTGCTCACTTGTTGGAAGGCTTTCTAAAGTACCTAAGCAGTTCATAAGTGATTGCGGTTAAACTTCCTGGAGTAGAGAAAGTATGTAGGCAGAGCATTTGTCCAGGGAAATTGATACTATTTTCTTCCCCTGATGATGATTTGGCCTTGCTCAGCCGACCATGGCTCAAAAATCAGAAGAGTCTAGAATGTGTCAATATTACCTTAAATGGAAGTACAGTACACAGAGAGTTAAGTTCTTCCTGAATGGTGATATGTCACCACAAATTGGATTTTTCTCAAGTCCAACACCACCTTACCCTGCAAGAAGTGCCACTAGCAACCTAAGCCTTCCACTAGGGACACGGATGTAGAGAAAAATCTAAGATGAAATATGCTGCATCTTCATGTGCTACAAAGTTTCTATGCCCTTGGACTAAACATAAATTATAATATTTATGGGTTTCTGTAAACCTTTCCAATCAATCAAGATCATGTCTGAAGTGCTCAGAGATGTCACCTGTTTGTCTAACACTGAAAAGGAAGGGATTATCTGTTAACTCTTTGCAATTGTGTGCCTCATTTAAATAAGTCTATTCTGTCTCCAATATTTTCAATATGAGTACAGAGTTATTTGGCCCTGGTATATCTGGGTAATTATGCTTTTTCTCTGAATTGTTTTGTCATTTAAGCATAGTCAAAAATGAGAAAAAGATATCCTCCTAAATGTCTATAAGGTATGACTTTAACTAGGACTTTGTATCTGTGAAGACATTTTGAAGCTGTAATTCTTGGCTGCTAGCACAAACCTTAATCTCAAATTGCATCATCTTAAAACATCTTTAAAAGCTGTCATTTCATCAATGACAGTTTTGAAATGATAGACTTAGAGGAAGATGAAACTATGTTATCCCAAGCAGATCACTTTGGACAGGACCCAGAAGCAGAAACAAAGATTAAAAAAGGCACCTCTTCAGGTCTCAGCGGAAGGACACTGGATACTCAGATTTCTAAGCGTCCAACCCATGGCCATTTTGTAGAATAAAATGCATGGAGCTTACAACCTATCTTAAGCCTCATGCATTTGCTGAAATGTACTATAACTTACAGGTATCTTTTATATTTGCTCTATATTTATTTTTATTTATTTATTTTGAAACAGAGTCTCACTGTGTTGCCCAAGCTGGAGTGTAATGGCGCAATCTCAGCTCACTGCAACCTCTGCCTCCAGGGTTCAAGCGATTCTCCAGCCTCAGCCTCTTAAGTAGCTGGGACCGCAGGCATGCACCACCACGCTCAGACACTTGTTTTTTGTATTTTTTGTAGACATGGGGTTTTGTCATGTTGCCCAGGCTGGTCTTGAACTCCTGAGCTCAAAGCGATCCACTTGCCTCGGCCACCCAAAGTGCTGCGATTACAGGCATGCGCCACCATGCCCGACCTATATATGCTATTTAATTTCATCTTCTCAACCAACTTATAAAGCTGGCAGGACTACATCTGCATCAAAATGTGGAAATTGAAACATGGAAAGCTGATGATGGTATTGAGAACCTTGTTTGAGTTTTGGCTCTGCCAGAAACCCTTTGTAGCTATTAAGTCAAGTAACATAATCTCATTGAGCTATAGCTTCTTTATCTTCTAAATTAGGACAAATAATACATATCCAACTTCTATGAGGAATACATGAGGCAAAGTGTGTAAGGTGCTTACATAGCACAATGTCTGGCACATAGTTCGTGATTTTTTTTTGGCTTTTTCAAGGTTACTATGTTAATAAATCACTGAGCCAGGCTCAACACATCAATTTTTATTAAGAAGTAAATAGTCTAAATATTGAAACTCAGTATAATATTATCTGTCCAGTTATCCTCGACAACTTTTGAAATTCATGTCAGTGATGTCAAATACTAGGACAATGCTATAGTTGGCACCTTGCATTTCTATTGCATTTGGTATTTTCATAAAGGCTCCCAAAGGAGATTCTCTTTCCTCCTCACAATAATCCTATTAATCAGGGTAGACCATATACCTACTTTACGGACAGATCAGGAAATTAAAATGTAGGCCCATCTGGTTCTCTCTCCATGGCAGTCATTGCTTAGTAATGAAAATGGATGATACCACAAGATGACAGGGCTTTTTTTCAATACCTCTTCAAATTAGAAATTGTGGTTGACTGGATTCACTTGTCCATATCTTTCCCCTTCCTTGTGAGTAAGTATTTTGGATTGTACTTTGAAAAGAGTTTCAAATCCATCCACTTTTCTTCACCTAGGTCAGAACCCTGGACCAAGCCACTGTTCTCTTGGAGTCCTACAGTACCCATCTAAATGGACTTTGTTTTCACTCATTTCCCTCTAATCCATACACCATGCTGCAGTCACAGAGACCACCTTAAAGTTTGGTCACATCATGTCTCCATCCTCCAATGGCTTCCCATGCTTATGGGAAAGAGTTACAAATTATCATTGTGTTCTTGGAGGCCCAGGGCAACCTGGCCTTTATCTCAGGCCGCTCTCCCTCTTGATCATCAAGTAGGAGACACATTGGCTGACTTTTGCTATTTTTTTTTTTTTTTGAGATGGAGTTTCACTCTTGTTGCCCAGGCCAGAGTGCAATGGCGTGATCTCAGCTCACTGAAACCTCTGCCTCCCGAGTTCAAGCAATTCTCCTGCCTCAGCCTCCCAAGTAGCTGAGATTACAGGTGTGCACCACCATGCCCAGCTAATTTTGTATTTTTAGTACAGATGGGTTTCACCATGTTAGTCAGGCTGGTCTCCAACTCCTGATCTCCAGTGATCCACCTGCCTCGGCCTCCCGAAGTACTGGGATTACAGGCGTGTGTCACTGCACCTGGCCATGACTTCTGCTTTTTTTAGCTCAGGAAGCTCTTTTCCATCTCACTGTCTTTGCAAATGCTGTTCCTTCTCTTGAAATTCATGTTCTCCCAACACCACTCATACATCCACAAGGATATGGCTGGTTCTTTCCAGTCTTTCCACCTTCACATAAATGTCTCCTTCACAGAGCTAATATCTTTGGCCTCCTTGACTGAAGTCACCTTGCATGGTTATTCTTCACACTCTTTCCCTAATATTTATCATAATGTGTAGTATTTTATCTGTGTGCATTATTCAATGTTGTGCCTCCTTTTTTAGACTGAAAATTTCTTGACAGCAAATACTAGGCTTGTTTTGTTTATTGCTGTATCTTCAGCACCTAGAATAATACCTTTCTTATTCTAGGAAATTTCTGCAGATCACCAAAGCATATTTATTGAGTGAATGAATAAATCAACCCATTTGTTGTTTACCTGGCCATTCTCTGAGCCCAAAGAGGGCTCAGGGACCAACTAGTGGTTTTTGAACTGCTCTTAGGAGTCTTTTGTTCTATGTTTGTGTCTTAAGGAAGAGCTGATTTCCAACTAGCATGCTACAGATTGACCTAGGTGTACCCAATTCATCATTCCCTCAGCTTTGAAGTGACCTTAGACCCCCCGCCAAGTCTAAGCTAAACCCCCAAGTCATTCACTTTCACCCAGTCCTGCCATCAGCCCATCCATCTGCCTAGGTGAGCTACACAAACATTATCAGTTCCTATGTGTGCCGGAAGTGAAAAGAGTGCCTTAACCTTGGCTCAGTTTGAAGTGGGAGACTGTGGGTGAGTAGAATGGTTTGGGACTGAAGTCATCCTCCTTTCTTTGCACCTGCTGCCCTATCCCACCTGCAACCTGAGGATCAGAGCAGCTATAAACTTATCAGTTTTAACAAGTGAAGATTCTGGTTAAATTTTACTTCTTAGATTTTTTTTTTCATGCAAAGGACTCTGTTCCTGAAAAGATAATTGCAAAATATTATTTAAAGGGCCTCATTTTACTAAATAAAGAAATTGAGGCAAATGATCCTCTATGATGGTCTGTTCTTTATTTCCTCTCAACAAGACATTATAAGGCAGTGGTTCTCAACTTCTAAAGCTGCAGGGTAGAATCTGCTGGACCCTTAAATATTTTTCTAATACCCAGGCTATACCCCAGACCAAGTAAATCAGAATCTCTGGAAATGGTTCCCAGCCTTGAGGATATGATTAAAAATAACAAACACTTGTCAGGATTCATAATAATAATAAATAAACTAAATCTCTGACCCTTCATCTCCCTAGTGACTTGTGGCTTCAGATGTCTCTGAATAATGGCAATAAAACTAAGAAATAATATTAACTTAGCTTTAAATTAACTGGCTTAAAGGCATTTATTCAGTAAAACTTTTTTTAATTGGAAAAGTGATCATTTTCTTTTAACAGTGAAAGAGCTCTGGAACTGAGGATTGAGTTCTGGAAAAAGTTAGGTACTTGCTAAATTTAGCAATTTGTTGCCTAATTGGAGATAGCTATTAACCTCTTTTTTTGAAGGCAACATAAAGTTTTTTTCATATTTATAATAGAGTATTGGTATACTATACAGGCTAGAGTACCTAATGCCAGTTTCAGATTTATGGGGAATATTACTTAATCCCATAAACAATCAATGATATGTGGCCGTTTTTAACCTGGGGGCTGTGATTCTCAGTGATGCTCCACCAAAGGCATGTCTGTTACATCAAGTGTGGTGATTAGGCATACTACAGTTTCCTCCTGGAACTGTCCACCTCTACTCTGGGGAAAAGAGTCATCACTTGCGGGTTTTCTGTGAGATTCAAACGTGAAAAATTTATATCAAGCACTTAGCACGATGCTTGTCAAGTGACATATCCTCACTAAATGTTGTAGGCCATTGTCATTCTTATGATTGTGTTATTATGATTCTTTTATTACTAAAAATAATCTTAAAACCAAGAGGGCTGAAAATACCCTTTTAGCACACTCCGTATTCCTTTGGCTCATTCTCAGTACCCAGTACTGTGTTTGGTGTACTCTTTTCTTACATATAAACTGTTACTGTACACTTAGATATTTAGTAAGTGAGTGACTTCACGGAAGAAAACCAAATCCAGAAGTTCTCCTAACTTGTTAATTAGTGGAGATCTTTACTGGTTCATCAATTTTTCAGGTTCTTATGAAGAAAACATTAATAGTAGAAATTATATACACATTATTCCTCTTTCTGTCAGCACTGAAAAATTCTCGTTGATTCCTCTTTATGAAATGAGATTCCACAGAAGTCAAAGAGTAAGAAGATAAAGAATGTTTCCCCCTTAGTAGAGATAATATAAAGAAAGACAATACAAGCCCATTGTAAAATTACAGATCATAAGTCACTGCTATTACCCTGCAGGTCTTGGTGTTAAATGGAAAACACAGGAAGGGGAGGGAACATTGGTTAAGTTGTTTAAAAACATTTAACTATCCTCACTTCCTGGAAGCATATATAGAAAGGCATACATTTAAGTGTCTACATAATAAGAGAAAGTATATTGCACCAATACATCAACACTAGAGCAACAATTACATTATGTCACTCTACAGTGGTGAATCATTAGGAAGCCACAGTCAGCATCAGTGAAAAGAATGTTTCCTTGAAATTGGATTGTTTAAATTACAGGATGTGCATTTGGATACTACATTCACCATGCTGGGTTTTAAATAAGAAACTTGAGTTACAAGTCTTGTGGAGTCCTGACTTCCGTCCCCTTGCTTCTAAGCAAGAATAAATCTCCCTCACACACTTGCTCTCTTGCGCCCTAATCTTTTACTCTTTTCTCCCTTCCAAAGGATCACCAGGTTGTGGGTAGGAAAACACCATCAGCAGTTTTTCAAACAATGGTTGGGTTCTCTGCCAGCTACAAAGATTTTCTTAACTGCTCCTTCATTTAAGCAGGCTTCCCTGATAGTCATGTAACACTCCTGGATTGGAAGTGGACATGTCCTTTTGGGGAGCCCATAGTCTTGTTCAGTCTTGTTCATAGGAACTTGGGATGAAGTGAAGGGAAGAGGAGAGAAGGAAAGGTGGGGGAAGAGAAAAGAAAAGCACAGTGGCTCCTTCTTATCTTTGAGTCTCCACTCAAATGCCCCCTTCCTTGTAAAAGCCTTTCCTGACCACCCAAGACAAAACAGCGCTCTTTAGTCACCACCCCCGTTTTACCTCCTTTGTGCCATGTATTCCATGGAATACTATTGTTCTTGTTTGCGTATCCCATTTCCTATCTCTTTTCTCAGATGATGACTGTGCAGGCAGTGACTTTGTTTTCCTTGGTCACTATGGCTTTGAAGCCTAGAACAGTGCCTGGCACACATAGACATTCAATTTGTGAATGAGCTTTTGAAAAAAAAAACCAGAAATATGATTTTTTCAGAGACTCAGAAGCCACAGATCAATATTTCTTTGTCCATACAGGGTACCTTTGTCTGATGTCTTAGTGATAATTCACTTAAAAATATCAAAAGCTAAATTCTTCCAAAGGCCTTCTTCCCTCAAATCATGCTTCCCTTTTATATTTACTTTCTCAGTGAAGGATACTCTTCAAGATGTAAGAAGCACCTTCTAGAATTATTTAACTCAAGCTTATATGACTGTAAGCATTTCTCCTTCATTTTCCTTCCCAAATCTCATAGCGAAGAGGAAAGGTGGATTGATTCCCCAGTTCTTGGGGGGAAAAATGCCTAAAGAAGAAAAGGAAATCACTAACCTCATTTGAAATTTTGCAAATGCTTGGCTTCCCTTACTAACCAACTTTGAGATTTAAAATAGTTAAATGCTCTCCTGTACAATAGGAACTAATCACAGGGCAGAGGATTCATTCACTCGTCATTTAAGCTAACTTTATTTGAGACCTGTCATGGACAGGGAATAGGCTATACAAAACAAACACATGACTTTCCTCCAAGAGTTGATAATCTAATCGAACATTCTAAATGAGCACAAAACATAGTAAAAAATAAAAAATAAAAAACTAGGGTTAAGTGCATAACTGTACAGCACATAAAAGGAGCCATGAAAATTCATAGGTACAAGAGCTCATTTTTGGATGTAGGGTAGCATTAATATTTGGCCAACTAATATTTGTTTATAAGCAATGATTAGACATTAGGCCCGGGGTGGGTAGGAAAGAATTGGTCTCTTTATTTAGAAGAGGGGAATGAGAAGTAAAGAGATAAATAATTACAAATTATGATAAGTGCTGTTACAGAAAAGATCAGGGTAGTATGAGAAAATTATCTTAGGAGACCTACTTTAGGTGGTAGGCAGGAGACAAGTAGTCTTGAAACCTTTCTGAGAAGATAGAAGTTGGGCTTAGATCTAGAGCAAGGGAATGACATAGTCAAGAAGCAGGAGGATGCAGGCAGAGGAGACACATGTTTGAAGGACCTAAGGAAGAAATCACCCAGGAATGTTAAAGGAAATGAAATAAAGTCACATGGCTGGAATAAAGAGAGCAGAATGGCCTGAGATGAGCTTGGAGAAGTGGGCTGATTATGCAAAGCCTTCTAGGAAATTGTAAAGCGTTTGTTTGGTTGGGGAAGATTGAAAATTAACCAGGTATGTCATAGCTCCTCATTTATCTGGATATCAGTCAATTAATAATTACTGATTGGGCATAGTGCTAGGCACTGCTTCATGGCAAGTTGAAATAAATAGATCTCAGCTGAATATTGCTGAAATGGATTGTTGACATCTATTGATAAGGGTGCTTGTCTAAGAATATGATGCTTTCTCTCTCAAGTCCAGTACTCACCCTCGGTCTCATTAAAAGCATTCAGAGATATAAATAGCCTCATGTATTCTCTGCTCATTATTGGTAAGAGGAAATTACAAAAGGGGAAAATGCCTTCATCAGAAGAAACTTCTTTAATCTAGTTATAACTAGATAATGTTTTATATCTGCTTCTGCAGCATCCCAAAGGGAGGCCTTTTATTATTAGCATTGCCAAGATTGTGCTAAGTCTGCTGTATGCCAAATGCCTTGGAAAAATCCCACTGACAGCCATGGCTGTTGTGATGTTTGAAAATTACAAGTGGTGATAAGATGTCAGGAGTCCCACCTGCTCCAATGAGTTGGAAGAGACTAAAATAGTACTTTGAAGGTAATAAGTGTGAAGAAGAACATGAAGCTTTTTCTTGATTCTGGGAGAATGGGGAGGGGAAATTTCAAACATTTCTATAGCCAGTTATTTCCTCTTTGATCTGGAATATCTTAATAGGTTGGGAGAGCAAAATGGGATTTAGACCAACCTGCAGAATCTTTGCACAGCTTTTCCAACTTTAACATGCAGGTGATTCATCTGGAAAGCTTGTTAAGATACAGATTCTGCCTCAGGAGTTACTGATGAGGCTTGACATGATGTATTTCCAATAAACTTTTAGAGATGCAGGAGGCGCTGGTCCGCAAGCCACAATTTACAAGAAGCTAAACAACTACTTTAGAAGTAGAGTGATGCAGAGCTGTTGAGGGATATTAGAAAGATACTTTTGTCCCTAAATATTTTCCTACTTATAAGTCTTTGTATCTGGAATGTTCCCAGTAAGTTATTTCCTCCCGTGTCTTCCTGTCTCAATTTCTAGTTCAAAATGCAAATACTTTATGAGCTGAAAAATATCAAAGCTCACCAAATTCTGTAGTGTTTACTTCCTAATATCTATACCACAGCCTCTTAATTTTTCATGCCTTTTTTCATGCCTTTATCATTTTTCCTCTAAACTGCTCCAGCAGCATGTTAACTAAACATCCTCCCTTTTGTCTCCTCGTTTTTCATACAGGAGGCAGAGCTATTTTTCTAAAATGCAAATCCTACATCATTCCCCATCCTAAGATCCTTCCACGGTGTCTTATTGCCATGAGGATAAACTTTAACAGTATCAAGAGAGGGATTTTTCCTGTTATTCTGAAATTAAGGCCCAAAGTTGAGGGCAAAAGGCCCTAAATTTTTTTCTATACAAACTCATCAATTGCTCGGAGAGATTAGCAAGAGATAGAGAAATAGAGATAGAAAGATAGATAGATTGATAAAAAAATTTTGAACAAGGAATTGGCCTGAAACATTTGTGAAAGCCAGTTAAGCCATCCCTGTGAATTGTTTTCTTTGTGCCTTGTGGGTAGAGAAGATGGATATAAAGTGGGGAGAACCGGAGTAAGCTGGAGCCCCACAAGACTGGCTGAAACCCTACCAGGTTTTCTTGTCTCTGACTTTGGTGACAAAGGTGCCCTGTAGAAGCCAGGGTCCTTCAGCTGGAAACTAAACACATAGCCTTTGCCCAGAAGTTAAAGAAGCTAAAAAAATAATCCAGAATAAAGTACAGCACTTTCAGATCTGTCTTCTGCTTTACTAAAACTGTGTCATCTGATCCGGAAATATGTATGTGAGCTAAATAATGGCTGCTGCTTCCCATTCTTTCTCCAAATTTTCCAAGGATCTTCCCTCAGCACACCCTAACTGGAGAGATACACAAAACAAATACTGGAAAATGTAGTCAACCTAATCAAGATGACACATTATAAAGTCATTACAGTTGAGTTCATTTTTTAAAAATAGGCTCCTAAGACCATATTCTTTTTTTTTTTTTCCTCCAGAGTACTTATCTTAGAACTTGGGAATACATTTTTCTTTAAGTAGGCAAGGAACTCTATTAAAGCAGGAAATTTACTTGGTTTTGCCCCCAGATTATATTCAAAATGACGAGCAAAAGGCTTCACAATAATAGACACTCATATACTTGTTAAATAATACATGGATGAATGCACAAATATATAAAAGCCAAGAAAACTGTAGGAATAAAATATGTTAGTTTGTATCAAGTTTCTGATTTATAGAGACCCTAAGCCCATGGGACATTTGAAGTAATTAAAGTTAATAGGACACAGTACTGGAGAGGAGAGAACTCAGAGAAATAGCCACAGAGGGTCTTCACAGAGTATACAGCAGAGTACTGATCAGTGCATGAATGTTAGAAAATTCCCTAAAATAAGAGACAGAACCATCCAAAAGGATTAAAGACTTAAGTGCTTGGCATTCACACAGGGCAAGAAACAGTGACACAGAAGTGACACAGATATTAGAATTAGCAGAAGAATACTTTAAAGTGGTAATTATAGCCGGGTGTGGTGCCTCATGCCTGTTAATCCCAGCACTTTGGGAGGCTGAGGCAGGCAGATCACCTGAGATCAGGAGTTTGAGACTGGCCTGGTCAACATGGTGAAACCCAATCTCTACTAAAAATACAATAATTAGCCAGACATGGTGGCAGATGCCTGAAATCCCAGCTACTTAGGAGGCTGAGGCAGGAGAATTGCTTGAACCTGGGAGGTGGAGGTTGCAGCGAGCCGAGATCATGCCATTGCACTCCAGCCTAGTTGACAGAGTGAGACTCTGTCTCAAAATAATAATAATGAAGAACAAAGTGGCAATTATACACTCAAAAATTAAGTAGAGACATGAAAGATGCAACAAACCAATCAATTTGAACTCCTAGACATGTAAACAACAATATCTAAGAAGAAAAATACACTGGATTGACTTAAAGGCAGATTAGGCATTGATTATATGTTTCAGTATAGATTAGGGAATTTGAAGATATATCAATAGAACATATTCAAAATGAAACACAGTAAAAATAAAGAAGAGAAAAATCAATGAAAAGAATGTCAGTGTACCCAGGGACCACTTCCAGTAGCCTAGTATATGTGACAGTAGCATCTACCAAAGAGAGGAGGAGTCCAGATCCATAAAAAATTATCAAGAAACATTGGCCAAAAACTTCCAAGATTTGATGGAAACTATAAACCCACAGGTGCAAGAAACAAAAAATTTTAATCTTAAGAATTATAATTTTAAAAGCTATGCAAGACACATCATAATCAAATTGCTCAAAACCAGTAATAAAGAATATTATGCATAAAGTAGCAAAGTTAAGAATAACAGTAAACTTTTCACCAGAAACAATGCAATCATGTGTGAGAAGACATCATTAAAGTACTGAAAGTAAAATATGTCAGCTGAGAAATCTATACCCAGCAAAACTATCTTTTGAATAAGTGAAATAAAAAGGATTAAAAGGGAATACTGTGAACGACTGTATGTCAACAAATTATATAACCTAGAGAAAGACAAATGTTTAGAAAGATTCAAACTACTGAAACAAACTCAAGAAGAAAATGAAAATCTGAATAGATCTGCAACAGAATATATTGAATTAGTAACCAAGAAATTTTCCCCAAAGAAAAGCCCATGACCAAATGGCTTTACTGATAAATTCTAAAAAAAACTGAAAGAACTAACACCAGATTTTCAAAAACTTCCAGTAAAATAGAAGATGGAGAATACTTCCTACCTTATTCTATGAGGACAACACTACCCTCATCCAAAAAGCAGACAAAGATATCATAAGAAAACTGTAGATGAGCATCCATTATTCATGTAGACTCAAAGCTCCTTAACAAATAGTAGAAAACATAATTTATTAACATGAAAAATAATCACACCACCACCAATTGTGATGTATCCCAGAAATGTAAGATTGCTTCAACATATGAAAATCAGTAAATGTCAATATACCATATTAGTAGAATTAGAGACAAAATCCCCGTGATCATCTCATTTGATGCAGAAAAAGCATTAGAAAAAAAAAGCCCGCCCCCTTTCATCTTAAAAACATTAAGCAAACTAGGAATACAAGTGAGCTCCCTTAACCTGATAAAGAGCATCTATTAAAAAAACCCATAGCTAATGTCATGCTTAATGATCTAAGACTGAATGCTTTCCCCCTGAGATCAGAAACAAGATAAGCATGCTTACCCTTGCCTCTTCTACTTGACATTGTACTGGAGGTTCTAGCCAGGGTAATTAAGCAAAAAAAAAAAAAAAAAAAAAAAAAAGAGAAAGAAAAAGCTTTCAGATTGGAAACAAAGAAGTAATCTCCATTTGCACATGATTTTATACATATAAAATTCTAAGGAATACACATAAAAAACTATTGGAGTCAATAAACAAATTCAGCAAGTTTACAGAATAGAAAATCAATATATAATAATCAATTGTATAATGCTAACAACAAAAATTCTGAAAATAAAATATTAAAATCAATTTATAATTGAATTAGAAAGAATAAAATACTGAGAAATAGTTTTACCTAAAAATATTCAAGGCTTGTGCACTGAAAACTGCAAAATATTATTAAAAGGAATGAAAGAAATCCTAAATAAATGGAAAGACATCACATGGTCATGGATTGATCTCTGCTCATGACTAGCCTTCACAAATAAGGGCTATGTTATTCTTCTACAGAGTTTTTGTGCATGACTAGGATTGGGACTGTCTTTGCTACTCAACATGAGCATCTTGGATGAATCCAGAGCATGCTAAAGACTTCTTGGAATCTCCGTTTATCAAAGCTGAGGAACTGGGCAACTCAATCAGCCCTGCGTCTAGTCAGCACTGTTCTTTTGCATTGAAACCGAGCCTAAGCATTGACTCTTTCCTTTCATTTTCTTTAGTACACATCTCTTGGTTTTCCCCTTGTTTCTCCACTCAAGTTTCCCACAAATGAGATGAGAGTATAGTGCTGAAGAGATTCTTGTTTTCTCATATTTGTTCTCATCACTTGAATACGGGCAACTGTCAGTCTCCCAAACAAAATTGTCCATCTTACATGCCAATATTATGTGGCCAATATTAGAACACTGAAAATATTTCAAATCAATGACCTCAATGTCTACCCTATGAAACTAGAAAAAAGGGGGCAATTAAATCAAATGTAAGCAGAAGAAAGGCCAGAATCAAAATTAAACCCAAAATAAATGAAATAGAATGCAGAAAATCAACTGAAAAAAATCAAGAAAGTCAAGTGGTCTTTTTGAGATCAATAAAATTATCAACCTCTAGCCACACTAATAAAAAAAATAGAATATACAAATTGCCAATATTAGCAATAAGAAAAGTGATATCACTACAGATTCTACAGATATTAGTAGGATAACAAGAAAATATTATAAATGACTTTTTTCTATAAACTTTCTAAAATACACAAACTATAAAGAAAGAGATAACATTAGCCTTGTATCTACTAAAGAAGTTAAAATTGTAGTTAAAATTTTTTCCATAAAGAAAATACCAACCCAAGATGACTTCACTGGTAAATTCTACCAAGTATTTAAGGGGAAAGTAATATCAATTCTACACAAAATTATCTAGAAAATTGAAGAAAACGGAATAGTTTTGAACTCATTCTATGAGACAGCTACCAAAACCAAAGATCTTACAACTAAAGAAATCTACAGACCAATAACACTCATATACATGCATGCAAACATTCCAAACAACATTTTAGCAAATTGAATATTGGGAAAGTACAATACATTGTGACTAATTGGGATTTATTTCAGGAATGCAAGTTTTGTTAAACATACAGAAATTAATCAATATTTTCAATATATTGCCTACCAAAAAAAGAATAGTCATCTCAATAGACAGAGAAAAAGCATTTAACATAATCCAGTATTTATTCCTGATAGACACTCTCAGCAAAAGTAGAGGCCCAATGGAACAGAATAGAGAGACCAGAAATAAAGTTGCACACCTACAACCATCTGCTCTTCAACAAAGTCCACAAGAATGACCAATGGGGAAAAGACTCCCTATTCAACACATGGTGCTAGGGTAACTGGCTAGCCATATGCAAAGGATTGAAACTGGACCCATTTCTTAAATATCAAAATCAACTCAAGATGAATTAAAGACTTAAATGTAAAACCAAAAACTACAAAAACCCTGGAAGATAACCTAGGAAATAGCATTCTAGACATAGGCTCTGGAAAAGATTTCATGACAAAGATGCCAAAAGCAATTGCAATAAAATAAAAAATTGACAAATGGGACCAATTAAACTAAAGAATTTCTGCACAGCAAAAGAAACTATTAACAGAGTAAACAGACAGTCCACAGAATGGAAGAAAATATTTGCAAGCTATGCATCTGACAAAGGTCTAATATTCAGTATCTACAAGGAACTTAAACAAATTAACAAGCAAAAGACAAACAACCTTATTAAAAAGTGGGCAAAGGACATGAACAGATGCTTCTCAAAAGAAGACATCCATGCAGCCAACAAACAAATGAAAAGAAGTTCAACATCACTAGTCATCAGAGAAATGCAAATGAAAATCACAATGAGATATCATCTCACGGCAGTCAGAGTGGCTATTATTAAAAAGTAAAGAAATTACAAATGCTGGCAAGGTTGAGGAGAGAAGGGAATGCTTTTATAATTTTTTCCACAATGGTTAGTTCAGCCGTTGTGGAAAGCAGTTTGGAAGTTTCTCAAAGAATTCAAAACAGAACTACCATTCGACCCAGCAATCCAATTACTGGATATATTCCCAAAGGAATACGAATTGTTCTACCACAAAGACACATGCAGTACCTTTCACAATAGCAAAGACATGAAATCAACCTAAATGTCCATCAGTGTAGACTGGATAAAGAAAATGTGGTACATATACACCATGGAATACTATGCATTCATAAAAAAGAATGAGACCACGTCCTTTGCAGCAACATGGGTGGAGCTGTAGGCTATTATCCCAAGTATACTCTCTTTTTCTTTCCATGACTGCACTGGATAGAATCTTCAGTATGATGTCTAATACGTGTAGTGACCAAGTGCAATGGCTAATGCCTATAATCCAAGCACTTTGGGAAGACTGAAGTGGGAGTATCACTTGCAGCCAGAAGCTTGAGACAAGCCTAGGAAACAAAGTGAGACCCCCATCTCTCCTAAAAATAAATAAACAAAAATTAGCCAGTCATGGTGGTACGCACCTGTCATTCTAGCTACTTAGGAGAATACAGGGACAGAAAACCAAATACCACATGTTCTCATTTATAAATGGGAGCAAAATATTGAGCACACATGCACACAAAGAAGGGAACCACACACACTGGGTCCTACTTGAGGGTGGAGGGTAGGAGAAAGGTGAGGATAAAAAAACTATCAGTTTGTACTAGGTTCTATGCTTATTACCTGGGCGATTAAATAATATGTACATTAAACCCCTGTGACATGTAATTTATCAATATAGCAAACTTGCACATGTACCCTTGAACCTAAAAGTTGTTTTAAAAAAAGTAGGAATAGAAAAAGAACTTGCTCCTACCACTTGTTTGTTCATTTTTTAGACAATCTCGCTGTGTCACCCAGGCTGGAGTGCAGTGGCATGATCGTGGCTCACTGCAGCCTGGAACTCCTGGGCTCAAGCTATCCTCCTTCCTCAGCCTCCCAAGTAGCTAGAACCACAGGTACGCCCCACCATGCCTGGATAATTTTTATTTATTTACTTTTAGTAAAACAGGGATCTTACTTTGTTTCCTAGGCTTGTCTCAAGATCCTGGCTGCAAATGATCCTCCCAGCCCAGTCTTTCCAAAGTGCTTGGATTATAGGCATTAGCCACTGTGCCTGGCCATCACACATATTAGACATGGCACTAAGGATTCTACCTAGTGCAGTCAGGGAAAGAAAAAGAGAGAAAAGGAGGGAGGAAGTAAGGGAGAAATGAAGTAAACAAGGGAGGAAAAGAAGGAAGGAAGGGAGGAAATAAGGGAGGGAGGATGGAAAAAAGGGAGGTAGGAAGGCAAGAAAGGAGAGAGAGAAGAAGGAGAAGAGAGGAAGGGAGAGAGAGGGGAGAGAAGAAAAAAGAAAGGAAGAAAAAAATAAAGAGACATTCAGATTGGAAAAGTGAAATAAAACTACACTGGAAATGAGAGTCAGCTGATGCTATTAGATGAAATTTACAAAAAAAGCTACTAGAACTAATAAATGAATCTAGCAAGTGTGTAATATAAAGTTTGACAAAGATCAATTGTACTTCTGTATGTAATCAATGAACAATCAGAAATTGAAATTAAGAAAGCATAACTATTTATAATATCATAAGAATGTTAAATACTCGGTTGGGGGGAGGTGGGAGGGATAGCATTAGGAGATATACCTAATGTTAAATGATGAGTTAATGGGTGCAGCACCTGAGCATGGCACATGTATACATATGTAACTAACCGGCACATTGTGCACATGTACCCTAAAACTTAAAGCATAATAATAATAATAATAAAAAGAAAAACAAAAACAAACAAAAAAGAATGTTAAATACTCAGAGATGCACTTTACTAATGACATGAAAGCCCTACGATACTGAAAACTGTTACACATTTATGGGAGGAGTTAAAGATTTGAAAAAACAGGGAGTTATCAAAAGACTAAATACTGTTCAGGTATCATTTCTCCCCAGATTATCTATAGATTCAGCACAATCCCAATAGCATCAAAGTTTTTCCCAGAAATTGAAAAACTGATTTTAAAATCATTATGGAAATAAAATGGACCTAGGCTAGACAAAGCAACTTTAAAAATTAAAAAAAGCTGAATATTGGAGAATTGATACTACCTGATTTCGAGACTTCGTATAAAGCTACAGTAATTGAGATGATGTGATTTTGGCACAAATATAGACAAATAGATCAACATAACAAAATAAAGACTCAGAAAGTAAACCTACACATTAAGGAACAACTAAATTTTGACAGTGGTGCAAAAGAAATTCAGGAGAAAAATAATAGTTTTTAACAAATTGTACTTGAACAATTGAATATTCATATACAAAACATCAACTTTGTTTTGGACCATATAAAGAAATTTAACTAAAAAGGAAACACAGAACTAAATGTAAAACCTAACATGTTAAAAGTTTAGAAGACTATATGGGAGAAAACTTTTGTAACCTTCAATTATGCAAATATTTTTTAGACATAACATCACAAGCACAATCCATAAGAGACCAAATTTTAAAATGTAAGCATCAAAATTAAAATCTTTTGCTCTTCAAAGAAGTTTGTTAAAAGAATGACAACAAAAGCCACTGGGATAAAATATTTGTTTATATCTCTATCTATCTATATATTATAAAGACTTGTATCCAGAATATATGTAGACTACTTAATAATTCCAGAAGAAAACAAACAATCCAATTTTTTTAATGGTCAGAAAATCTTAATCAACAAACACATGAAGAGTCTCACGTCAGTAGTCATTAGGGAAATGCAAATTAAAATCACAATGGGTAACAACTACACACCTGTTAGAATGGCTAAGATTTAAAAGATCAACCCTACCAATGCTGGTAAGGATGTGAAAATCTGGAACTCATACTGTACTGTTGAGATTGTATAATGATACAATCACTTTGGAAAACAGTTTGCAATTTCTTACAAAGTTAAACATACTACTAATATGTGATCTAGCCATTCCATTTGTAAGTATATACCCCACCAAAATGAAAACATACATCCTACAAAGTTGTACAGTAATGCTCCTAGCAGCTTATTTGTCATAACCAAAAATTGGGAACTCCCATTCATTAATAGATGAATTGACAGACAAATTGAGGAATATCCATATTGTGAATTCTACTAAGCAAAAAAGGGAATGAAACATTAATACACGCAACCACATGAAAGAATCTCAAAATAGTTACATTTAATAAGACAGGCAAAAAAGAATATGCATTGCATTTTTCTATTTATGTAAACATTTTGGATATGCAAACCAATATATGGTGACAGGAAACACATTAGTGATTGCCTGGGGGAGCAGTACAGGAATGGTGGAAATAAATGGTTGTAGAAGACCAGGATGAAACTTCTGTGGGTGATGGATGTGTTCATTATTTTGATTGAGATGAAGGTTTCACGGGTGTATAGATACGTCAAAATTTATCAAATTGCACACTTTAAATTTGTGTAGTGTATTGTATGACAATTATATCTCTGTAAAACTGTTTCTTTTTTTAAAGATCAATTTTAACCTTCCAGGTATTACAAAGTTTGAATGATTCTAACTCTGTTATTTGATTGTCATAAAACGTTTAAATCAGCATTAGGACAGATGCTAAAGGGCATAGAAGAGCTCAGAATGTTCGTGACATCTTGTTATCTGCTGCCTACAGAATCCAATAAAGCAGCAGCTCCCTACAAGTACAGTCAGATCCTCTTAGAAGTTTTTCTTATTTAGTTGAATGACTTTTCTTTTTTTCAACTGAAACGAGGAGTAAAAAACGGCAGAGATTTAAATGTTGTCAAATATATTTATACAACTCCATTTTCAGTCTTCATGTCTATTCAAAGTTTTTTCCCAATTTAAATTCGAACCCCAGATTTTCAACGTTAAATTTTGCACAATGCCTATTAATTTCTAATTTGCTATTATTTAAATGATTGGCACATGACAAATGTCATTAAAATAATGGAAAGAAGTTATTGCAGTGTCACTGAACAATGTTTGTATTTATATGTATTTCAGATTTGGGTTTCTCATATTACCATGCCAGTGTTAAACTGTTGTGATTTAAAAAACAATAATAATAAGGCAACAATAAAAATAAGCCAGAATGATTCTGTTTTCTGCTATGGCACTCATTCAGCAAAAAGATGAACTGGTCGCTCCCTATAGAAATAGCCATGATACTGCCATTAGTCAATGTGCTAGCCTTTTAGTTGATCTATGTTTATTACTTCCATACCTGCTCAAAATGATTTATTATATAATTCTCACTTTTTATTATCTTGTCTCATGCATTTTTCAATAAGGGGATGACCATAATTCTTTACAGTTGTACTAACAATAAAAGAAGGCTATCAGGATAGTTTTCTCTGGAGACCATTTAAAGTCCATAATATCTGGGATAACTTAAGTGATTTGTGGACTGAAGTTACAGATGACACCCTGCAGAAGAGTTCCCAGCTGGAAATTTCAGTTTGCAGTGAGGTTGCCTTGTTGTTGTACTATACCATCAGCTAATTCACTGAGATATTGAAACAGAGATTGAAAATACTTTTGAAACAAAGCAAGAAAAGTCCATTTAGGAGTGGACCTAAGTTTTATCTACTGTATATAACTTCATATGATTTAAATTTTTAAAAGTCAGTAATTCCTTTGCTGGTATAGTTTTATAGCATATATTCATTAATTCATTTAGCAAAGATTTACTAAGAGCCTACATTGTCCTAAGTGCTAGAGATACAGCAATGAACGCATCAGATACAGTCCCTGTCAAGACGTGACCAGTATAATGGAGAATAAGACTGCTTAGATATTTTTACCTTTGGAAACAACTTTGGAGAGTGTTACAGAATATATTATTTTTAATAACTATCTATGTATACATCTATCTATTCATCCTTCCAAGACAAATAGGGATCTCTCTTCAGCTCACGTTCCCAATTAGATGTTACTTTGTCTCCAATAAATAGCAGAATTTAGCCTTTTCTATGAGAATCACAACACAGATACCAGTTCAAATCTGCAGGACAAAGCTGCAACATCACCAAGGAAAGTCATTCCTGGGTAAGGAGAAATTAACGCTGAGAGACACTGGAGAATAGAAGGATGGAGAAAAACAAAGAATCTTTCCTTCCTGTATACATGATAGAGACTGTTACCTAAAGTAATTTTGAGTAATGTCATGAATGCATGAGGTTGGAGTAACATAGAATTGGATTGCAGTACTGGATATGGATCATGCACCCCATCCCATCTCACCCATTGCTTTCATCCCACTACCAGCTGTGGGACAATGGGCAATTACTTAATATTTTAGAGACTTGATTTCCTTCCTCTAATTTTATATTAGGTCCGTGCAAAAGTGATTGCACTTTCAGACCATGAATGTTAAATCATTGTAACTAGGCTCAAACACATCTTTATTAATCAAAACAGGAACCATTAGAATCAACACATTTTTGCCAATGATAAATAAGTTTGTTTATCCCTGTGGTGTAAAAATCCCGGCTTCGGAATTTGATGAACTCTTGAAAAGCATTTTCTGCATCCTGCTGGTTATGGAAGTGTTTTCCCTGCAAAAAGTTGTCGAGATGCTTGAAGAAGTGGTAGCTGGTTGGCGAGAGGTCCGGTGAATATGGTGGATAAGGCAAAACTTGGTAGCCCAATTTGTTCAATTTTTGAGGTGTTGGTTGTGGAATGTGTCGTGGAATGTGGAATGTGTGCTCCACGAGCATTGTCGTGGAGAAGAATTGGGCCCTTTCTGTTGACCAATGCCAGCTGCAGGCATTGCAGTTTTCAGTGCATCTCATCGATTCGCTGAGCGTATTTCTCAGATGTAATGGTTTCACCGTGAGTCAGAAAGCCGTAGTGTGTCAGACCAGCAGCAGACCACCAAACTGTGACCATGACCTTTTTTTTGGTGCAAGTTTGACTTTGGGAAGTGCTTTGGAGCTTCTTCTCTGCCTAACCACTGAGCTGGTCATTGTTGTATAAAATCCACTTTTTCTCATACGTCACAATCCGATCAAGAAGTGGTTTGTTGTTGCATAGAATAAGAGGAGATGACACTTCAAACTGATGATTTTTTTTTTTATTTTCGCTCAGTTCATGAGGCACTCACTTATTGAGCCTTTTCTCCTTTCCAATTTGCTTCAAATGCCAAATGACCTAGAATGGTCGACCTTGAGTTCTTCTTGTGTAGTTGTAAGAGATCAGCTTTGATGACTGGTCTCAATTGGTCGTTGTCAACTTCCGATGGCCTGCCACTAAACTCCTCATCTTCAGGGCTCTGTCTCCTTTGCAAAACTTCTTGAACCACCACTGCAATGTACGTTCAGTAGCAGCTCCAGGGCCAAATGCATTGTTGATGTTGTGAGTTGTCTCCCCTGCTTTACGACCCATTTCAAACTCAAATAAGAAAATAGTTCAAATTTACTTTTTGACTAACATCATTTCCATAGTCTAAAATAAACATGAGCAGAAAGTAATAAGTCGTTAGCAAAAAATCATAAAGCAAGAAATGCCCATTAAAATGATGCATAACATAACCACATTTATTTAAGAATGTATTCCAATATCAAATGGCAAGATCCAGCAATGCAAAAATCACAATTACATTTGCACCAACCTAGTAGAATTGTTGTGTGTATTGAATCAGATGATCCACGGAATAGTTTAACATTGCCTAATACTTATTAAGATTCATTAAGTATTTATTTGAATAAATAGTCAGAATTTGGTTGAACAATCATACAAAACTGAGTAATAATATATAAGATTTAAACATCACCACAATTGATTTATTCTTTCTTTCTACATAAATATAGATATAGATATAGTTAAGTAGACCTCATATATCTTTTGCATATGTAAATATCTATATATAAAAACAATGTATCTAATATGCAAAATATACATTCTTTTCAAGCACTCATGGGACATTTAAAAAAATTAACCCTGCAGTGGTAAATATAATATGTTACTTTTTAAAAGGTTAAAATCATTGTGATGAATACAATAAATTATGCTGGATAACTATAGAATATTACTTGAAAGAATATACATACATATATTTGGAATTCAAGAAACACATATCTAAAAAACCCTATGCATCAAATACAAAATTTTAATATAATTTATAATATAATTATAATGATTATAAATAATTTATAATTATAATAGCTATCTATAATTTATAATTATAATTTATAATTCAATATAAATTACTAAGTGGTTTAAATTATATATACAATATATATAATAGTCATTCATTTAAGCCACTTGGTAATTTACATTAAAATTTTGTATTTGACTCATAGGTTGTTTAGATATGTGTTTCTTGAATGCCAAATATATGTATATATATATTTTCAAGTAATACTTTATAGTTATCCAGCATGGTTCATTGTAATCATCACAATGATTTTAACCTTTTAAAATGTGTTGTAACTTATTATATTTCCCATACAGGGTTAATTTTTGTAAATGTCACATGAATGCTTGAAAAGAATATATATTTTGCATATTAGATGCAATATTTTTATATAGATATAGATATTTACATATGTATAAGATATATGACGTCTACTTAACTCTATATATTTATGTAGAAAGAAAGAATAAATCAATTGTGTTGGTGTTCAAATCTTATCTATTATTACTCAGTTTTGTATGATTGTTCAAAATATATATTATATATATAAATATATAATATATATTCAAACGTGTGGGATATATTATATATATTATATATTATAAT